>NC_000011.10:71055696-71358726 GCF_000001405.40 Homo sapiens
AATATGATCTCATTCATTTCACATGTTCAGAATAGGCAAATTCATGGAGATGCAAAGTCATGAGTGGTTTTCTAGGGGCTGGGGGAGGGGGAGGGGGAGTGGGGAGTGGCTGGTTAGTGGGTACAGGGTTTCCTTTTGGGAAAGGAAAGTTCCCAAAGCTAAGTTCTTAGCTAGACAATGGGGATGGTTTTGCACAGCATCATGAATATTCTTAATGCCACCAAAGTGTACACTTTAAAATGGTTCAAATGTTAAATGTGATGCTATATGTATTTTGCCACAATTTTTAAAAAAGTTTAGGACCTGGGCTTGTGCATTACACCACAGAACACCCTGGCCCATGATTGGCTGGGGTTGTTCTCCCTCCACTCTGGGACAGCGGACCCCATGGGGGTGCCAATGGAAGGCAAGCCCCCTCCTGTGTGATCCTCAGGAAGCTTGTCCCACTGGATGGAGGGGCGGCAGAGCCAGCATCTCCCAACAGCTGCACAGTTGGAAGCACTTACGTCTTTGCTGCCTTTCCGGCGCTGACTGCTGCATGCATTTCCACATTATTTGTGCCATTTGCTCTAATAGGAAGGAGCCAGTGTGAGCAAGCACACTGAGACGGGGCAGCAGCTTTGCACTAAGAGAGGGAGGCACCTAGAGCAGCCTCCGAATAAGAAAACATCCGCAACAAAACGAGCCGACCTCATGTCACACATACAAACACGACCGTGGAGACGCAGAGCCATCACCCACTGTGATCCACACACATCCTTCCTGATGCTGAGATCTCTTTTACCTGAAATGGAGTCTGGCTGTTGTAGTTTTTTAACTCCTTATTTCCGCCTCGAAACAGAAGCACTCTTGCACAGCTGTCCTGCAAATAGAAAAGGAGAAACCTGTTTGTAAAATGGTAGCACAGACATTCTCCAAAGAAATCTGTCCAGAGTCTCAAGCTCACGGGAAACCAGGGAAACAGAAGTGCACAGTTAAAAGGGAAAGCATGTTGCTTTCATCTGGCTCCTGTATGCTGTCAGGTGAGGCTCACCTGCTGCCAACTATGGCCAAACAATTTCACTTTTTAAGACTATATCCTATAGAAAGTCTTGCACATGTATATAAAATATACAATAAATGAAATATCTTCAGTAAAATACAGAAAGGAAGAAAGAAGAAAGAAAAGAAAAGAAGAAAAGAAAAGAAAATCTGGAGCTAGCATACATGTTCTAAAATAGGGGAGAGTGGGGATATATTCTAGAACATTCTTCACCTAGGCAGTCTCAGGACAAAACAAGGCAGATGACTATGAACTGAGAAAAACATATCCAGGAACTTCTAAATAAAAAAGGCAAGTCCCAAAACAATAATATTGGCCATGCGCAGTAGCTCACACCTGTAATCCCAACACTTTGGGAGGTCGAGGTGGGCCAATCACCTGAGGTCAGGAGCTTGAGACCAGCCTGACCAACATGGTGAAACCCCATCTCTACAAAAATACAAAAATTAGCCGGGCATGGAGGCATGCGCCTGTAATCCCAGCTACTCAGGAGGCTGAGGCAGGAGAATCACTTGAACCCAGGAGGCGGAGGTTGCAGTGAGCCGAGATCGCACCCACTGCCCTCCAGCCTGGGCAACAAGGGTAAGACTCCATCTCAAAACAAAAAACAAACAAACAAAAAAAACAAAACCCCCAATAATATTGTTTAAGTTCATTTACATTTTAAAGGCTTAAAGAGAAACTAATAAAGGCTTAAAGTCTATATTATAGAAAAGCAGGGACTATGTCTGGAAGGATATGCACCAGTTAACGGTATTTACTTTCATGGAAAGGAAAAGGATTAGGGAGAGAACAGAAGGAATCTTTTTACACTTTATTTTTATTTTTTGAGACACAGTCTTGCTCTGTTGCCGAGGCTAGAGTGCAGTGGTGCAATCTTGGCTCGCTGCAACCTTCATCTCTTGGGCTCAGGCAATTCTCCCCACCTCAGCCTCCTGAGTAGCTGGGACAACAAGCATGTGCCACCATGCCCAGCTAATTTTTTTTTTTTGGAGAGCCAGGGTCTCAATATATTGCCCAGGCTAGTCTCGAACTCCTGGGCTCAAGTGATCTGCAGGCCTCTACCTCCCAAAATGCTGGGATTATAGGCGTGAACCACCATGCCTGACCAGAGATTCTTTTTTTTTTAATATGTGGGCTTATATTATTTAATGTTGTTAAAAGCAAGCAAAACGGTTTTTTTTTTTTTTTTTGAGACAGGGTCTCAGTCTGTCACCCAGGCTAGAGTGCAGCGGTGCGATCACAGCTCACAGCAGCCTCGACCTCCCACCTCAACCTCCTGAGTACCTGGGACTATAGGGATGCGCCACCATGCCCAGCTAATTTTTGTATTTTTTTGTAGAGACGAGGTCCCCCGTGTTGTCTAGGCTGGTCTCAAACTCCTGGGCTCAAGTGATCTGCCTGCCTCAGCCTCCCGAAGTGCTGGGATTACAGGCGTGAGCCACTGCACCCAGCCTCTTATGCATTTTCATAACAAAAATGAATCTGCATCCATCCATTGATTGGGCAGCTACCATTTGCCCGTGAAGCTGATGGAGAACTTCTCGCCAACCCCTCTGAAGCTCCCAGTGAGGACTGCAGCAGCAAATAACTACTAATAAAAAGGCAGTGGTAGAATGTTGACGTAGCCAATAAAAGGCAGCAGCAGAATGTTGATGTAACCAGTGGGGACTGCAGCGGCAAATAACTACTAATAAAAAGGCAGCAGTAGAATACTGATGTAGCCGTACCGACTATTAGAATAATTTTGCCTAGCAAATGCAGTTGGCTGTTTAGAATAAGCAAACTCTGTTTTTGGAAGTGCATTTAAATGATCAGGGGCTGGGCTGGTGCTTGTGCCTCGGCAGCAGGGGCCTGACACCGGGCTGGGGGCACCTTCTCCTACAGGACTCAGGGCCTCAGCGCAGGTCACAGCCGAAGCCTGTACTGGGCAGATCCTGGGAATTCCATCCTTACCTACAGTCTAGTGTACAGACAACAGGTGTGACCACCTGGACTCAACACTGCACAAATATACACCGAATAAAGGGGTAAGTGGATTAAATGACCAGGGCTTCCCACCCACGACAGGTCAGAGACCCCAGCCCGGGCCCCGGGGGAACCCCATCCCTGGGAACAGCAAAATGCCAAGCTGAGTGGACACTGCACAGGCGGTGGGACCTGGCAGATCAGCAGATTTGAAAGAGAGCTGATTGGTTGGGCGCGGTGGCTCACGTCTGTAATCCCAGCACTTTGGGAGGCTGAGATGGGCGGATCACCTGAGGTCAGGAGTTCAAGACCAGCCTGGCAACAACATGGTGAAACCTTGTCTCTACCAAAAATACAAAACTTAGCTGGGTGCGGTGGCAGGTGCCTGTAATCCCAGCTACTCGGGAGGCTGAGGCAGGAGAATCACTTGAACCTGGGAGGTGGAGGTTGCAGAGAGCCAAGACTGTGCCATTGCACTCCAGCCTGGGCAACAAGAGCGAAACTCTGTCTCGAAAAAATAAATAAATAAAATAAAAATAAAAATAGAGAGCTGAAAATCTAGAAGGAAATAGGGAGCAGCTGCCAACAGGTCCTGGGTTTCAGTCTGGGTGAAAAAAAATGTTCTAAGGTTGACGGTTGTGATGGTTGTTGGTGGTGATGGTCGATGGTGGTGATGGTTGACGGTGGTGATGGTTGATGGTGGTGATGGCTGCACAACTCTGTGGACAGACCAGCGATCATGGAGCTGTACACTTTAGATGGGTGAACTGTATGGTGTGTGAATTGCATCTCAATAGAGGGTCACATACATATTTAAGAAGACAGACAGCAGGAAGGCAGGCCACCCTGGCAGAGAGTCTTCATCCCTGGCTGGGTGGGTCGGGCAGGCCAGGAGCACACTGAGCTCTCAGGATCCGGCTGATTTCAGGGTGGGGAGCCCACCAGGCCTCCACCCCATGATGGTGATTATTAATGAGGGAACCACACCCTCTCCGGCAGCTAAGAGTGTGGGCTGCGCTCACTTGGGAGACACAGGTGGGCGGATCTGAGTTGGGTAGTAAAGGCCGCCCCGTCTCTGCGTTCTCCAGCATCCTGGGGCCTCGGTGACTGTGGCCAGCTTTGTTCATCGACTGTGTAAAAAGCCACCTGCATGCTTGGGGGTGCACTCTGCCTCAAGCCCCACTGAGGCCGCCTCTGTACAGAGTGGGGGGCTCTGGCCACAGATGCCAATGAGTCAGGCATGTGGAAGTGAGTGTGGACCGCTCCACAGACCGTGCTGAGTGTTCTGTCCCACTGCCCTACAGGAAGGTCAGGTTGGTTAGAGGGGGATCCCCAGAGCCCCTGCACCCCGATTCCAATTAGAAGCAAAACCACCATGGTTTCCCCACCCTCTGACACAGTGGTTCTCAACCGGGGGTAATTTTGCCTTCACGGGAACATCCGGCAATGTCTGGAGACATTTTTGGCTGTCACAACTGTGAGTGCTACTGGCACTTACTGGGTTAAGGCCAGGGATGTTGTGAGGCATCCTGCAATTAATAGGACAGCCCCCCATGGCAAAAAACCATCCAGCCCCAAACCTCAATAAAGCTGAGGTCAACAACCCCTGTCTTCATGGCTCCAAATGTTACTGATGATGGATATGAGTCGTGAAGAGCTGCATCCCTAGAACGGTCTCAGAACAACACGGACTGTATGAATCACATGCCACTCCCCAAGCCCACTGGCCCCTGGCCCCAGCCGGTCAGGCCTCAAGGGGGGACGCCAAGCCCTATGCTATTCAGGGTCTCGTCCCTGGAACGTGTCCTCAGACTCAGGGACAGCCCAGCAGGTTTCACAGAAGATGTTCACCCACTCCTGGGGAGCAGGAAGGCAGAGGCGGCTTCTGTCACCTCTCACTATGAGGACCATGCATGTCAGCAGGGGAGGGACAGATGCCCATGGAGCTGTCAGCCTGAGGCCCACAGGGCAGTGGTGAAAGGAGAGCTGGCAAAGCCACGTGTGAGGCTCGAACAACACTGCAGATGGAGGCTGAGCTGAGAAAAAGCAAACACAAGGAAACGAGCTGCTAGAAGCCCATGGTGTTTCAAAACAACGTGTGAGTCTGCAAGAGCATGCAGCAGCCGATATAGGGTGACGCTCCGCACAGGGTTTCAGGGTGGGAAACCCCTGGAAAAAGCACAAATGTGGATTCCAGTTTTTACGCTGAGATTTCCATACTCTACTAATTATTGCCATAAATATATGTTGCTTTGAGTACAGGAAAAAATATGTAAGGGAATTTTCAGACATAACTATGTTCAGCAAACGAATCTTTCATTTCTGGGGTACAATTAAATCCAGAGTTTCAAAAACAGAAAGCCCTGGCGTCAGTTCTGCTGTGCCCAGGGTCCACACTGTGGGAGGTGCAGGTCAAGACTGCAGGCCTGCTTACTTCATTTTAGGGTTGCAAACTACGGCCCTTGGGCCTAATCCTGCACATCTAATTTTGTAAATAAAGTTTTACTGGGATGCGACCACATCTACTCACCTGCATATTTTCTGTGGCTGCAAAGCCTGAGGTATTTACTCTCTGGGTCTTTACAGAAAAAAGGGTACCCAGCCCAATTTTAATAAAGCAGTCCTGCACCTCCCTAACGTGGTCACACATTCACAGAAATGACCACGCTGGCAGGATGCCCTAACAGTGGACATATTAACAACGGTCTTCAGGCCCCACTTAGGCTGATGACAGGGAGTGCAGGGTGATAACCAGCTTCAGCACTGAGAGAGCGGTTCTGCCTCTTGTCTTCTGAGCCTCAGTTTCCTCCTTTTTAAAGTGGGGATACCGGGCTTAGTGGCAGCAGAATGAGCTTAGTGCACTGTCAATGACACAGGTGGGGGTCTCCTTCCACCCCCAGCAATGCCCTTTCCCTGGAAAGTAACCCCTGATCCCCAGGAGAGGGGCCCACTCATATTAGTACAGCCCCTCCAAGTCCCAGGCACATGGGCCCATCGGGGTGTCACCGGGAACCTGGGAATGGTGAGTTTCTGCAGGTGACCGGCATTTCAAGAGATGCACAGAATGCAGCCTTCTCCACCAGGATGAGACAGAGTGTGGAGAGCACTGGGCAGGTCCCTGGCTTTTCCAGTCCCGACCTAGCCCTTCCCCCGCTCTGCCCCAGCTGCAGGACTTGCCCTGTGTCCTGATCATGAGCCCAAAATTTCCCGTCAAATCACCCCCAGTGGGATCCTGTTATTTCCAACTCCAAAAAGTCTTTCTTTCTTTTTTTTTTTTTTTTTTTTTTCTTGAGACAGGGTCTTGCTCTGGTGCAATCTCGGCTCACTGCAACCTCTACCTCCCAGGCCCAAGCGATCCTCCACCGCAGCCTCTCAAGTAGCTAGGATTACAGGCGCACGCCACCATGCCGGGCTAATTTTTGTATTTTCTGTAGAGACAGGGTTTCACCATGTTGCCCAGGCTGGTCTCCATCTCCTGGGCTCAAGCAATCTGTCCACCGTGGCCTCTCAAAATACTGAGATGACAGGTGTGAGCCACTGCACCCAGCCCAAGGTCTTTATCAAAATCACAGTATTATCAGGTTATGGTGAGCAAAAAGTTTGTTTTTTGCTTTGGTAAGAGAGAAAACGAAGAGGAGGCGGAGAGACCACAGGGCCAGGAGAATGGGATGATGGCTCTCAGCCAGTTCCCATCTGGGGCCTGGTGGGGTCAGCAAAGGGAGAAGAGGGCAGCAAGAGAGGAGGGACCTCATGGGGGTAGGCATCAGTGGGGACATGAAAGCTGGCCCCTGGGGGTCTTGCTCACCCATTTGCTCTGGGCTGTAACTGCACCCTGGCCCAGTGGCCTAGAAGAATCACCCAGCACCAGCAAAACCCAGATGGCTGAGAGTGGCCTGGCGAATTGGAATACAGAATATGAGAGCCCTGCTCAGGGAGGAGCCTGGGACACTCTTCCCCATCTCCTCTTATTTCTCAGTAAGAACTTTTTCTGAAAATTCCCTATTATAGGCTGGGCATGGTGGCTCACACTTGTAATCTCAACACTTTGGGAGGCTGAGGTGGGAGGATTGCTTGAGTCTAGGAGTTTCAGACCAGCCTGGGCAATATAGCAAGATCCCGTCTCTACAAAAAATGAAAAAAATTAGCCAGGAGCGGTGGTGCGTGCCTGTAGTCCTAGCTACTTGGGAGGCTGAGGCAGGAGGATCTCTTGAGCCCAAGAGGTCGTGGCTGCAGTGAGCTGTGATCGTGCCACTGCATTCCAGCCTGGGTGACACAGCAAGACCCTGTCTCAAAAAAAAAAAAAAAAAAAAAGATAGAGAGTAAGAGAGAAAGAGAAAGAGAGAGAAAGAAAAGGAAGGAAGGGAGGGAGAAAGAGAAAGAGAAAGACAGGGAGGGAGGGAAAAGAAAGAAAAAGTAAAGAAAATAAAATTCCCTATTATAAAGGACATGTACTTCCTATAGAAAGTTAAGAATAAATCCTCAGCAGGCACTGCCATTCCAGGGCGATACAGTTAGGATCCAAGAAAAATCCTCCACTACCTCCAGTCACTCAATGACTTTGACGGAGTCAATATCATACCTCCGACCCATTACCACGTGTTTCCCAGACGTCAAAAAGAGCTCAGGTTCCAGTTAGTTATTTTGAAATTCAAGGGTACATGGTTCACTTGGCTTAATAACAATGATACCTCCATGTATGTATGCATATCACACATGTGTCTGTGTACACGTGTGTGAACATGTGTGTTTGCAGTTCAAAATGCCCATCTACCCGCTCCTTCTGGTTTAACTCTCAAGGTATGGGAGAACTCTCTGCCAGGGAGAACAGGAGGCCCATTTTACAGAGAAGGTTAATGTGAAAAACTGCAACAACTTGCGGCTTCAGAAAGGAGGAGAAAGGAAAAACTGTGATCCAGGAGGTGCTGGTGGGAGCTTTTGGCTCCCTTGCGAGGCTGCTGGCTGCCCTGGATTCCTTTCAGAGGTGTATCTTATCTGACAGGTCTTTATCCTTTTAAATAATTCAGTGAAGTATAAATATAGAAGCAATTGGAATGCTTTTTGAAGACCCGAGCATCAAGAAGAATATCATTTTCACTGCCACTTTTTCTCTTGGCATGAATTTTCCGAGACACTTCCCTTAATAAATGTACCTCCCCACGAAGGAGCGTTCCTGGGGCTCGCACTGTGCCCGCTGAGAACACAGTGTGCCTGCAGTTCCCATCAGCTGCTGGACCCCCAGACCCCATCATTTCCATTTACAGATGAAGACCTGCAGTTCCCACCAGCTGCTGGACCCCCAGACCCCATCATTTCCATTTACATATGAAGACCTGCAGTTCCCACTGGCTGCTGGATTCCCCAGACCCCATCATTTCCATTTACAGATGAAGAGACAGACAGAGAAAGCCACTCATCGATGCATGCAGTGAGTCCTCATGGAGCTGCCAGGTACTGTCCTAGTCCCTGGGGACACAGATGCAAACCAGAAAGTCAAGGTCTCTGCCAGGCTTGGGCTGGAGAGGGGGCACAGAAAACAACCACACAACGTCAGGACGGGTGGGTCTGATGCAGACAGTGGAGAGGATGCGGCTGGCTGGGCAAGCTGAGTCCTGGGATGGGAGGAGAGAGAGCCTGGGGACAGCTGGGCGGAGGCAGAGGCCACCCCAGCAGAGCACCAAGAACCGAAGTAGAAACCGGCAAGGGGCCGGGAGGCAGGAAGGCAGTGGTGGGGCCAGGCAGCAGCAAGCTGGGATGAGCTGGGCTGGATAGGAGAGAAGGGCACAGGACACAAGCCCTGGGTTATGCAAAGGGGGTTCTCAGCAGGGGAGGGATGAAGAACTTGGGTGACAGAAAGTGGATTTGAGGGAAGACAGACTGGAAGGAAAGAGGCTGGATGGTGAATACATAGTCCCAGGGAGAGACAGCAGGGCCCCAGGCAAGGGTGAGAAGGGTGGTGGGGACAAGAGGGGTGGAGGGGACAAGAGGGGTAGACGGGCCCAGAGAGGGTGGAGAGGGAATGGACAAGTCCCGGGATGAGAGGGACGGTGAGAAACAGGAGGTGGCCAGGTTTCGGGCCTGAGCTCCAGGGGAAGGGCGTTATTTACAGAGTGGGGAGCAGCTGCCACACTGGAGTCTCCTAAGAGGTCGGCACGTGGGGCCATTGGCAAGGAGCAGACATCACTGCCAGAGCTCAGGGCAGAAGTGAGCTGGGAGACTCCGACTGGGGACTCTTGGGGTTTTCTAGAAGGCGCACAAGGACACAGACAGGCCCGCCGGAGGTCACCTCGGGAGTCACTGCAGGAGGGAATCTGGGTAACAGGAGCGTGCAGTGCAGACGCCGAGAGATGCCACAGAAACGTTGAGCTGGATGGGGACAGAGACGGGACCTTGGAAGTGCCATGTGGGTGTGACTGGGTTTGAGCAAGCAGGGGTGAAAGTCTGACCACACTGTGTCAGTGAGACAACAGCCATGAGAAGGTGGAAGCCACGTGTGCAGAACTCTCCCGGGGAGATAAGCAGTGAGTGGGGAAGTTAGGGGTCTGTGTGCAGAACTCTTCCAGGGAGATAAACAGTGAGTGGGGAAGTTGGTGGGAGGTGTGTGCAGAACTCTCCCAGGGAGATGAGCAGTGAGTGGGGAAGTTGTGGGGGTGTGTGTGTGCAGAACTCTTCCAGGGAGATGAGCAGTGACTGGGGAAGTTGTGGGGGGGTGTGCAGAACTCTTCCAGGGAGATGAGCAGTGAGTGGGGAAGTTGGGGGGTGTGTGCAGAACTCTTCCAGGGAGATGAGCAGTGAGTGGGGAAGTTGGGGTGTATGTGCAGAACTCTCCCAGGGAGATGAGCAGTGAGTGGGGAAGTTGAGGGGTGTGTGCAGAACTCTTCCAGAGAGATGAGCAGTGAGTGGGGACGTTGCAGGGGGGTGTGTGCAGAACTCTCCCAGGGAGATGAGCAGTGACTGGGGAAGTTTGTGGGGGGTGTGCGGAACTCTTCCAGGGAGATGAACAGTGAGTGGGGAAGTTGGGGGTGGTACAGAACTCTCCCAGGGAGATGAGCAGTGAGTGGCGAAGTTGGGGAGGAGGGGTACAGAACTCTCCCAGGGAGATGAGTGGTGAGTGGGGAAGTTGGGGGCGGGGCATACAGAACTCTCCCAGGGAGATGAGCGGTGAGTGGGGAAGTTGGGGGGGATACAGAACTCTCCCAGGGAGATGAGCGGTGAGTGGGGAAGTTGGTGGGGGCGGGGTACAGAAGTCTCCCAGGGAGATGAGCAGTGAGTGGGGAAGTTGGGAGGGGAGTACAGAACTCTCCCAGGGAGATGAGTGGTGAGTGGGGAAGTTGGGGGAGGGTACAGAACTCTCCCAGGGAGATGAGCAGTGAGTGGGGAAGTTGGTGGGGGGGGTGTGTGCAGAACTCTCCCAGGGAGATGAGCAGTGAGTGGGGAAGTTGGGTGGGGGGGGTGCAGAACTCTCCTGGGGAGATGAGCAGTGAGTGGGGAAGTTGGGGGGGGTATAGAACTCTCCCCCGGAGATGAGCAGTGAGTGGGGAAGTTGGCGGGGGAGGGTACAGAACTCTCCCACGAAGATGAGCAGAGAGTGGGGAAGTTGTGGGGGGTGCAGAAGTCTCCCAGGGAGATGAGCAGTGAGTGGGGAAGTTGGGGGGGTGCAGAAGTCTCCCAGGGAGATGAGCAGTGAGCAGGGAAGGTGGGCAGGGGGTCCGTGAAGCCAAGGAACTTCTGGAGACAGAAGTGGGTGGAGTGTCTTCATAAGCAAATGGGCATGACGTAAGAGAAGGCAGAGGTCAAAAGTAGAAACACTGGTGGCAGACATGCCCACAGGCACAGACAACGTTGCAACCAGGATGTTAACTCGGAAGCTCCAGGCCCCGTCAAGCCATTTCCTTTCAACGGCACTGAGGCTGTCTTCACTTAAATGTCACAGATACAAATTACTGCACACTCCAAAGTGTAAATCAGGAGTTTGTTTTCAGGTTAAGCTATCTTTTGAAATAAGGCCTTTTGGGCAGCCATAAATGTAAAAACAACTAAGATGTCTGCATAAGTAAAACGGGGAAGTGGCTGGGACGCTTGTGTCATTGGGACAGGGCTGGAACCTGGTCCCTCAGACCAGCCCACCCCTTGAAGAGCTGTGCCTGTAAGTAAGGGCCAGGGTAAGTACGAACACACCCCTCACTGCCGTGGACATAGGTGCTTCTGCCTGACCTGTGCCCAGTAGAGGCCCCTTCCCCAGTCAGTGGGTTACAGGAATGCATCCACAAGGCATGGGTTGGAAACCTGGCTTCCTCATTTACTAACGGAGCGGCCTTTGACCACTCCTGCATCTTCTGGCCTGTATAAAGGGAAAGCCAACCAAGCCAGCCACCCACCAGAGCTGGGGGAGGTGAAGGAAAGGGCGTGTGGACACCGTCGCCATTCAGCGAGACCCACACCCACAACGCCCAATGCTCAGGGGGCCATCACCCCATGATGGCCCCATGGGAGCTGCCACAGCTCGGACAGGTTCCCCGTGGGACACCAGCAAGGGCACAGATGCAAACAGGAAACACCACGTCTTCCTACCCTGGCTCGTGCTGGTATCAAAGACAGGCAGACTGTTTTTTATTATTTTTACCTTCCAGACAAATTGGCCTAGCCTAGTAACCTTTGATATTTAAAACTTGCTTCGCTCCTTCATCATCCAGGGCAGAAAAATGAACCCCAGGCTGCTCCCCTCCCTCTGGAGCTCTTGGAGAGCCAGGATGAGGTGAGGGGTTGACAGATTAGACACAATTTGATACTTACAATCAAAGCCCTAATTAGGTGATTTCATAAAAGAAGAGAGAACATTCTAATCATAGTGTATTTTATTACAAGTGTGGAGGTGGTAAGGCCTGCCTAAAACTGATAAAGCACATGTAACAATCCATACACCTGGGTGCTTTTAGATCTAACAAGGAGAGGCTTGTTACAGGAATATCGTCAATAGCAGCATCACCATCATCATCATCATCACCAGCCTGCATCAGTCACCATCAATGAGACCATCGTCACTATCACCGTCGCCACCATCACCATCACTGCCATCATCACCACCACCACCACTACCACTATGACCATGAACATCACCACTACCACCACCATCGCTCACCAACAATATGACCACTGTCACCATCACCATCACCACCATCATCACCACCACCACTACCACTATCATCATCAATATCACCAGCATCACCACCATCACCATCATCATTATCACTGTCACCACCATCCTCACCACCATCATCACCACCACCATCACCATCATCACCATCCATATCATCACTAGCATCATCGCCACCATCGCCATCACAACCATCATCACCATCACAACCATCACCATCACCACCATCATCACAATCATCATCACCATCACCTGCCGTCACTCACCATGAACATGATCACCGTCACTATCATTACCATCAGCACTGCCATCATCATTAGTACCATGACTTAATCTACAAGTAGAAAGAGGAAGGGGGTGATGTACACAAGTAGTCTCAATGGCTCACTGAGTGACAGACACTCCTGCTGTTTAGAGCCCAGAAACTGTGAATCCTAAATGCCCAGCAATGCTTGGCACAGTCCTAGACAACAGAAGACTGCATCCTGACCCCCAGTGTCTGTAGCAGAAAAGCTCAAGGGCTGTAAGACTCATCCAAAGAGACTGGAAGAATCTGAATATCTAGGGAAGGCAAATAAAGTGCCTTTGCTTGACAAGTTCCCCAGCAGCACAATGCAACACCGCAACCATGACTGTGTATTTGGCGACCACAGGCCATGTTCAGGGAGAAGGGCTGTCAAGCCACCATTAGATGCCATAGTGACTTTGGTCATGCTCTGTGAGGGCAGAATGGAAAGAGACCTTAATGGGCATGGAGTCTGGTATGCTGGTCCTGTCTCACAGTGGAGCCAGCTGCTGCTCTGAAGATTCTTCAGCATCACTGGGATTCTGGGTTATGGGCTGGAAGCCTGGCAGCTGTACTATTCACAGGTTCTTTGGGTAATTCCAATGTGGAGGTTACAGCTCAGCTAGAAACCTCATTTGTTCTGCTGCACTGCCATCACCATCACCATGACCATGCTCACCACCATCATCAGCACCATCGCTGTCACCATGACCACTGTCATCACCATCATCATGATTACCATCACCATCACCACCACCATCATCACCATCAACCACCACCATCATCACCATCACCATGGCCACCATCACTATCACCATGACCACCCTCACCACCATCATCAGCACCATCACTATCAACCACTACCATCATCACCATCACTGTCGCCATGACCACCATCATCACCATCACCATGATTACCATCACCATCACCACCACCACCACCATCATCACCATCATCATTATCAACCACCACCATCATCACCATCACCATGGCCACCATCACTATCACCATGACCACCCTCACCACCATCATCAGCACCATCACTATCAACCACCATCATCACCATCACTGTCACCATGACCACCACCATCACCATTACCATGGTTACTGTCACCATCACCACCACCACCATCAGCACCATCATCATCTTCACCTTCACCATCATCACTATCAACCACCACTATCATCATCACCACCTTCATCATTGCCACCACCACCATCACTGCCTTCATCATCAACACCTTCATCATTATCACCATCAGCCTCACCATCACCACCTTCATCATCACCACCATCATCAGCACCACCACCATCGCCAGCCTCATGACGACCATCAGCAACAGTATCATCACCACCTTCACCATCACCACTAACACCACTGCTATCATTACAGCCACTATTTACTGAGCATCTACTATGTTCCAGGAATACCATATTACCATATATTTGTTTTCTATTTTTAGCCTCTTAGCAACCCTGTGAATTCGGTTTAATTATCCCCACATTACAGATAAGGAAATTCAGGGCCCTAGAGAGACAATAGGTTGTCCAGGACAGCATAGCAAGGCAAGGCAATGGGCTAGTCCAGATGAAACCCAGACCACCATGCCTCTTTGAATTACTGTTCCACTTCCTCAGGGCTGCCTCCTGACTCCTTTCCTTGAATCCTGTCTTGATTCAAAGGCACCTCTGTCCCATCCCTGAACAGTCTGTTGTTCAACACTACTCCCTGCATGCCCTGTGTGTGTGTGCCCTGTATGGCACCCTTTCTGCTTAAAGTTGCTAGAGTGGTTTCTGCCCCCTGCATGAGTGCCTGCTCTAATGAACCACATGCCTCATACATGTGTAGACAAGGGGGAGTGAGTATAGCAAGGTGTTCAAATGGTGACTCAGGAAGGAAAGAAGCTTTGGGTCAAGTACAACACGCAGTGCCTGCAGGACAAAGGTAGGGGTTCTGCATTCCTCCTGGTCACTTACTGGCACCTGGAAGATGCAGACATGAAGCTGTGCCTCTCTTGGCATCACACGAGATGTGGTTTGGACCAGCTTCTTTAACTACATCAGTGAGACACTCCAAAGAGTTTGGGGAGGGCATGAGGGAGGAGATTAAAGACACCCTAGAACCCTAAGGAGGAGTATGAGGGATACACGAAGCTGGATCCTAGACCACTCGCAGACATTCCGACTGACACTGTAGCCAGAGGTCAAGGGGCCAACCAGTCCAGAGCCTATGACCCTGCCCACTGGTTCTTGGAGGCTAGGCAAGGCTGGAAATCAAAACCAGGGGAGCCAGCTAATGCATTTCTACCCAGACAGAAGAGGGGGCACACAGGCAGGAGTTGGAACAGCTGTCCGCCCTGGAATGGGAGAGCTCTCCATACTACCTCCAGAGGCTTCCTGGCTGCAGGAGAAGCCACTCAATCCTGGGGAGGGGGATCCATCAATAAGACAAATGGGGGAGAGGAGGAGATGCAGCCTTCCATTCCAAGGCTTAGAGAAGAATGGCCTGCAGGCCAAATCAGCCCACTCCCTGTTTTGTAAATAAAGTTTTATTGGAACACGGCTACACTCTGACTTACATACTGTCTATGGCTGCTTTTGCACTACAGTGGCAGTTGAATCGTTATGACGGAGTCCATGCGACACGCAAAGCCTAAAATGTTACCCAACTGGCTCTTTATAGCAAAAGCAGATGGCTCATGTGCTAACCTGAGGCCCGAGGTGGGGAGAGGATGTCCTGAGAGCCCCAGCCAGCTTGGGACCCTCCTGGAGCCGGCAGCTGAGGCATAGGACAGATATGGGGCATGTGGAGTGTGGAGTGATACCAAGTCAAGCTCAATACAGATCATCAAAATGTGTTAACCTTTTCTAATCAGAAAGAAACATCAACACTTTCAAATACCATCTTGTCCACAATTATTTCAAGTGACAAAAAACAGACTTTTCTTGAGTTTTCAAGATAAAATGTGCTTGCAATCTACTGGGGAAAATTAAGGAATGTTTTTTCCATCCAAAGCAGTAATTAGGAAGCAGATGTTGGTGCAGATGTGTTTACCAGCCACAGCCAAGCCTCATGATGTGTTTTTCTAATGCAGCTGAGTAATGTATCTCCACACTCACACAGACATTTCAGCATTCACACCCCGTGGCATACCTAGGGACACAGCTGCATACAAACTACATCAATGTGCTTTCTTTGAGTGGGGGAAGTCTGCAGCTCTGCAAAATGCTGCTCACAGCTCAGCTGAAATGCCACCCAACCGCAGCTATGAAAGATGGCGGCTTATGCCTCTGATGATATCCACACGTGCTTCCTCTCAGGTGGACCCAAGGGGAAGGGAGCATCAGCAGAGAAAACAGGGAAGGCATAATAACTGCCTGGTCCTGGACATTTTGCCCTGGCTATGTCTCACAAAGGGCTGCAGAGAAAAATGTACAACTATGTGAGGGAGTCATCAGCAGAAGGCTTGACTGAGGGTCAGGAAGTCTGAATTGGATCTTGAAGGATGCATAGGAGTTTTCCAGGGCAAAGAATCCAGGAAGATTGAACAGCTAGAAGCAAAGTGGGACTCCAGCAGAGTGGCTGGAGGGGCCTGGGCTGGTGAGGAGCCATGGAAGGGCTGGGGAATGGCTTGGGTAAAGGATGAGGCTTGAGATTCCACCCCGGAGGCCACCATGAGCCAACAGGATGGGAGCACTGCTTTGGGATGGGAAGAGAATGCTGACAGCCTGCAGAGGATGGACCCTGGCACAAAGAGCCCTGGGCATCCAGCAGAGTTCCTCCTCTGAGATCTCCCTCTGTTCCTCCAGGATAAAGAGCCACATCCCCTCCCAGCCCACGCTGCTCTGCCGCTTAGTGTAGCATCCACATCTCGACACCCTCCAGATTTGAAGTTCCTTGAGATCAGAGAAAGAGAAAAAAGAAGGCACGGACAGAGAAGTCCTTCAATAGTGATGTCCAGGAATTCACCTGACTTTGAGCACCAAGGAAACAGAGAAACAGCCCCCTGTCCTCCTAAAGCAGTGCCTGCACCCCACCTATGCCCCCGTGAGCCCAGGGCCCCTTCTCACCAGCTCCACTCCACAGGCCGCCCCCACCACTTAACCCCCCATGGCTTCCCCGCTCCTACAGGACCAGCAGCCTCCTGCGGGACCAACAGCCCCCCACGCCCCTGCTTCACCTCCCCGTGAGGCCACGGTGCACACACTGGGCGGGGTGTCACTTGGCCTTGTCATTTAGGATGCAGCCTCCCAGAGGGCAGGGCTCACATCCCAGAAGCCTTCAGTGTTTCCTAGATACATTCACGTCCTGCTCTCCTCGGCTCTCACACTTGGTCTTACAGGGAAGTGTGAAGATGATTTGCTTTTTCACATCAAGGTTCCACTTGTGGGCATTTTTCCCCGAAAGAAATGAAAACAGGGTCTTGAACACATGGTTGCATCTATGCTCATAGCTGCATTATCCACGACACTCAAAAGGTGGAAGCCACCGAGGGTCCCCTGACAGATGTCCACGCACATGATCCACACAAGGGAGTATTATTTACCTTAAAACTATTATTCAGCTTAAAAAGGAAGGATAAAAAATTCCGACACAGCCTACAGCGTGGACAAACCTCGAAAACATTGCACTCAGTGAAATCAGCCAGACACCAAAGGACAAACACTTTATGTTTCTACTCATATCAAGTCCCTACAGCAGGAAAATCTACAGACACAGAAAGTGAACAGGGGTTGCCAGGGGCTGAGGAGAGGGGAGAGTTACATTTGATGGGGACAGAGTTTCAATTTTGCAAGATTAAGAGAGTTCTGGAGATGAATGGCAGGCAATTGCATAGCCATGTAAATGTACTTAATGCCACCGAACTGCATACTTAAAAGTGGTTAAAATGGCCTAAATTTTGTTATGTGTATTTTACCACTTAATGAAAAAGCACATTGGGGCGTATCTGTCCCATGCAGTGGTGGAAGGCTTGCTTTTTGTTTTTTTTCTTTTTCTTTTCTTTTTTTTCTTTTTTTTCTTTTTTTTTTTGAGATAGAGTCTTGCTCTGTCACCCAGGCTGGAGTGCAGTGGCACTATCTCAGCTCACTGCAACCTCCGCCTCCCGGGTTCAAGCAATTCTCTTGCCTCAGCCTCCCGAGTCGCTGGGATTACAGGCACATGCCATCACACCCGGCTAATTTTTGTATTTTCAGTAGAGATGGTGTTTCACCACATTGGCCAGGCTGGTCTTGAACTCTGACCTCAAGCAATCCGCCTGCCTTGGCCTCCCAAAGTGCTGGGCTTACAGGAGTGAGCCACCGCGCCTGGCCAGGCTTGCTTTTTTAATTTTTATTTTGGAGACAGGGTTTTGCTCTGTTACCTAGGCTGCAGTGCAGTGGCATGATCTTGGCTTGTTGTAGCCTTAAACCCCCAGGGCTCAAGTGATCCTCCCACCTCAGCCTCCTGAGTAGCTGGGACCACAGGCACATGCCACCATACCCGGCTGATTTTTAAAATTTTGTAGAGATGGGGTCTCACCATGTTGCCCAGGCTAGTCTCAAACTAGATCAAGTAATCCACTCCTCCCTCGGCCTCCCAAAGCACTGGGATTACAGGTATGAGCTGCTGCACCTGGCTGGAAGGCCTGCTTTTTTCATGTGATGGTGCCACGCATGCCTGGTGGGGGTACCAGAACTATCCTGGGGCTTTGTCCGCCACGTCCTTCCCCATCTCATGACTCTGATCTGCCCCTCTCCATGTTCCATATAGAGACCTGCTGACGGGGTAGATGGCTGACTCCAGAACTGAACAGAGTTTGCATCCCAGCTACAGAGGGTGGACAAGAGAGCCCGGCTCCTCACGCATCTTATGGAGCATGGACAGCATGGAGGCGTGGCACTGACCAGACCTGAGTCTTGAGCCCAGTTCTGGCACCAGCTGTGGGAGTGGGATGCTCGCCTTGCTTTCCTGGGGCTCTGTTTCCTCCCTTCTACAACAGGGTAACAGTTCCCACTGAGGCAGCAGGTGAGGATGACCTGAGATGCCCCCTGCAAGGCCTTCCCGGTGCCCCCCAGGGTCAGGGCTGGCTGGGGTGCGTGCCACTGCAGCGTGTGAGAAACAAACTTACCCGTTTAAACCCAAAGAATGGACTTAGAGACCCGGAGAACAGCGAAAGTGAGACTCTTAATGATGGTTTTGCAAATCAGGTGTCTGATGGGCAGGCACACCCAGCATGGTTTCAACAAGCAATTTATCCCCCAGTACACAGGTCCCTCCCCCAGCTCCTCAAAGGCTGAGTACTGTGGGTTACAATTTTTCTGGACGTTGCCTATTGGTTGTTGGGTTGGGGCTTTACGTGTTTTTTTAAGGATTGTTTTGCTGTGTTTTGCTGCAGTCCACAATGTGTTGCAATTTTAATTAACTTAGGGGCTTTTTAAGTATTTGACTTATGACCCAAGTAGCTGGGCAGGCTGATAAGAACAGACAATGCGAGCTATTTTGCAAGCTAGCAAAGTTTCATCTTAGACTAAACTTTTTTGGTTTGGGTGAGGGCCACTAAGGGGCAGGGGCTGACAAGCAGGCATTGGCTAATTAAGCAGGGGCTTAGTATATTTTGTTTCTTTTGTAGTTTGCTGACCTAAGCCAATTTTTTTTTTTTTTTTTTTTTTTTGAGACGGAGTCTCGCTCTGTAGCCCAGGCTGGAGTGCAGTGGCACGGTCTCGGCTCACTGCAAGCTCCGCCTCCTGGGTTCACGCCATTCTCCTGCCTCAGCTTCCCGAGTAGCTGGGACTACAGGTGCCTGCCACCATGCCCGGCTAATTTTTTGTATTTTTAGTAGAGACAGGGTTTCACCATGTTAGCAGGATGGTCTCGATCTCCTGACCTCGTGATCCGCCCGCCTCAGCCTCCCAAAGTGCTGGGATTACAGGCATGAGCCACCGCGCCCGGCTGACGTAAGCCAATTTAAGGCACTTTGTTTTGGAAATGGACCACTGTATACATTATTTCCTTTAAATGCGCTCAGCACTCACCTGGTTGTAGAGGGCGCAGATGTGCAAGGCCGTGTTCCCCGAGGCATTCTGGGCACTCATGTCTGCCCCGTAGAACAGCAGGTGCTCCAGGTGCTGCACGTGCCCGTACCTGCAGGCCTGAAACACAGAACCCAGGCTGTGAATCAGGAACCCTCCGCCACGACAGCCGCATGCACACACAAAGTACACCAGCCACTCGGCTGCTCCACCAGAACCCCAAGGCAGGGCAGGGCCTGTGCAGACCCCAACCACCCACCCACCATCTGGGCAAGCGCTCTAAAGACATCAGCATGCACCACCAGACCCCTGGCTGTGGATCAGGGAGAAAGACCTTCATGGTGGGATTGGGGACTGGTGCTCAGTTGTGAGACAGAGGGTCTGGGAAGGGGCCCCAAAGTCCCTTCCATCCTGATCCCGGGGCCTAGAGCCCAGAGGTGCAGGATGTCTTTCTCCCATCCTCAGTGCCCAGCTCCACAAGATGCAAACCAGAAGGCTCAGACCCGGCTTCAGTTACCCAAGCTCCCCCTTCCAAGGGGGCAGCACAAAATGGCCAGGAGAGGCCTTCACAGCCCTGCACTGCATCCACAGGAGTGAGCCCTGTCCTTCGACGTGCGACGGACGGCCCCACGACTGCTTTAATGCAGTCCAGCTCCTAAGTAAGTTGCAGGACGCAGGGGTAGGGCAGACCCATACTATGATAACTCCTCTCTGAGAACTGCAACATGTGTGACTTGTGAACCGTCAGGGCCCAGGGGTCAAACAGACCCAGTCCTGAACCATTTATCAGAACTTTCGCCTGAGTACCTATGTGCACCCTCATCTGTAGGCAGAAACAACCCTTAACCCTCACAGGGTTCAGATGAGAATCACGTGGGACAAAGAACACCACAGGGCCTCACACGAGGCTGGGCACTGAGTCAGCACTTGGTGAGTCAGTGATGCCCCTCCCCACCCAAGCTCACAGGGGCCAGGGAGGTCCCCGCACAGGTGATGAGGGCCCCTCTGTCCAGCCACACACTGCTCGACATGGTGGCCACAACCTTGGACCTGGAGAAAAGTCGGTCCTGACCTAACACATCTCAATCCCAGGGTCGGGAGGGAAAGAGGTGAGCCCCACCAAGGGCAGGCAGCCTAGGGGTGTTGAGAGCAGTAGGCGCCATGGTAGCCCAGGAAGGGGTTCTCATGAATCCTGCTCTACTGCTAATTGAGACAGATAGAGGTGAATTTCACCTTCTCAGGGTCCACGAGAAAGAGCTACACCTCAGCAATTAACAGTGAGGAAAGATGACAGGGAAGATATTGAAACTATTAATTGGATGAGCTATAAAAACAAAACAAAACAAAAAAAAAACAAACAAAAACAAAAAACGAAAAACAAAAAAAAAAACCACACACACACACGAGAAATTTCCATTTACCATTGCTGTGTCTCCCACAAATCTCATTAATTTATAAAGTAGATCCCTGTTGCAGGTTTCCTTGCTGTCACCTGCCCGGCCCCCATGGCCCCTTCTTCTGGGAACTCCACCTGCGTTTGCCTTTGGGGGCTACCCCAGCTCCACTCTCAGAGGTCCAGGGAAGGCCTCCCCACCCTGCTCCTGCAGAGGCACAGGACATAGGCAGGAGCCATCAGGTTCCAACTCCCCAGGCACAGTAAGGGACGCCCAGCTGACCTTAGAGAAGCTACCAAGTCCCAAGCTAGAACATTCATCACAACTACTGGGGAAAAAGTTCTTTCCTTCTTCCAGAGTGGGGAGCAGAAAAGTGACAGAGCCTGGGAGCTGCTGGGACCCTCAACACAGAAGGGATGTGTGACAGGGGCAGGGAGAGGAAGAAAGGAAAGGAAAGAAAGAGAGAAAGAGAGGAGACAGGAAGAGACATGCACAAAGCCAAGATGACACTGTCTGAGCCCCTCTAAGCTGCAACTGACCCTGGAATTTCCGGGACATAACAATGAGGCATAACTCCCTCCCCTCACCCAGTCGTTTGCATTGGGATTTGTGTTCCTTGAACTGAAGGATCCCTGGCTATTTGGCACTCCCCAAAGGACTTCTGGGAGGCAACACTTTGTTAAAGCTTAATTTAATTGCTCTGTGGTCAATAAAGACAACTAATGTTAGCATAAAAACACTGAACAATTAATCCACACTCATTATTCCCCTTCCCCCGGTTAATCTGAATTTATGAGCTTGTAAGTTCCATCAGTCAGATGGCACCAGAGCACTCTTCCCTTGCAAGGGCAAAATAGGCTCAATGGGAAGAGATGAAACGGAACCGCTGACTCCGGGTGGATGTCTCGTAGGCGTGTTCCCAAGAGCATGCTTCCATTTTCCACTTTTCCCACATCCATTGTTTTATAACACACAAACCCGGGAAATACAGAAAAGGGCTGAACAAAAACCAAAAGTCACCCAGAATCCCACAGTCTTAGCACTAGCAGTAATTTTTTTTTTTTAAGTGTCATTTCGGCTAGTCTCTTCTTTCTGTTTTAACCCCTGGTGGTTGAGGCACGGAGCTCACACCTGCTGAGGAAGATGCAGCTGCCATGCAGGGGGGTGAGGGGGATCCAAGCCAGGTGGTGGGCAGAAGGGTCCACAGACGGCTGCACGCAGGGCTCTGCACACACAAGGACACTCAGGAAAGGGAATGGGAGCTGGGCTCTCACTGTCAAGGAAGTTACAAATACAGTACAGGAGAAAACTAGAATATGCCTTGTGGTGTTGGCTTGGAATGGGAGTATCAGTAGAAACTCACGGTTCCTAATATAGAGACTAATAAAAATGAAAATGTGGATGCCTGTGTGTCTACCCATCCCTAACTCTGCCTACTGAGAGGGTGCAGGACCAGCAACAGCCCAGCAGCCATCAGCACCCCAAGCACCTGCACCTTGGCTTCTAAATACCACTCCACACTAAAAAGAATCAGGCTCCTTGGAGAAGCAGCTGATTCCTGAGGCAAGGAAAGAGCAAGGTGAGCTTGAAATATCTTGTTGTGCCAGAAATAAAGGAAATGGTAAAAAAAAAAAAAAAATCAATGGGGCTGTGTCCCAAGGACACAGGAGCCATCCTGAAGGGACACCCACTGGCTAAAACTGGGATAATAATAACAGATTATTACCTCCTGAATAAAGAGAACTCTGCAAGTCTGCCTTGTTGTAAATATATGAATAAATAAACAAGAAGAGAAAGCTTTTCTTTACAACAGCAAGCCAACTAATAATGTAGAAGCAATGGTAGGATTAAAAAAAAATCTCCATTTAGCAACCATAATAGCATTAATTCTGGCAAGAAAGGCCAATGGATGCCAAAACTGTCAGGTGAAAGGGGTATGAGAAAACAGATTTTTGCATAGCCTCAAAGATCACCAAACAAGATCTATTAATTACAAAGGAGCAAAGTAAGGCAGGAGGTGGGACTCAGGAAGCGGGACTCAGACACCGGACCAAACTGAGGACTAGCTAAAACAGGGCGGGGCAGAAGCAGCTTTCCATAAGACACGCCCATCAGTGTGCCACATCAGTTTACTGTTGCCATGGCAACACCCAGAAGTTACCACCCCTTTCCCTGGCAATGGCCTGACGACTCAGAAGTTACCACCCTTTTCCTAGCAATTCCTGCAGAACCTGCCCCATAATTTGCATGTAATTAAAAGTGGGTATAAATGTGAGTGCAGCCCGGCCTCTGAGCTGCTGCTTTGGGTACACTGCCTCTGGGGCAGCCCTGCTCTGCAAGGAGCAGTCTCTGCTGCTGTTCACAGCTGCTTCAATAAAGGTTTTGCCAACATCACCATCCTGCCCTTGAATTCTTTCCTGGGTGGAGCCAAGAGCCCTCCTGGGCTAAGCCCCCATTTTTGGGCTCACCTGCCCTGCATCAAAAGAGGAGAAACCCAACAGACCCCACCTGACTAGGTGGTCGGTGTGACCTCCACAATGAGTACCAGGCGAATGGTCCCCATGTATCCCCGTGAAGGTGTGATGCTGACAGCACAGCATCCTTTCTAAGGCATTCCTGCCAAATGCATATGCTGGATCCCATCACGAGCAAACACTGAGCAAACCCAACAAAATGACCGCCCCAAAATCTTCAAAACAGTCACAGCCATAGGAATTAAGGGAAGCCCGAGGGAGTCTCCCAGATGGAAAGGCTCCAGGCAGGTCCCAGGCTGGATCCTCTTCTATCAGGGATGTTACTGGGACACCGTCACCACTCAAATGTGCTCTCCGCGTGGAGGGCATATGGGAGTTCCTTGTACTATTCTTGCAACTATTCTATAAGCTGGAAATGGAAACAGTAATTTACAATTTTAAAAAGAAAGTTAATAGGCCAGGTGTGGTGGCTCATGCCTGTAATCCCAGCACTTTGGGAGGCCGAGGCGGGCGGATCACGAGGTCAGGAGATCGAGACCATCCTGGCTAACACAGTGAAACCCCGTCTCTACTAAAAATACAAAAAATTAGCCGGGTGTGGTGGCGGGTGCCTGTAGTCCCAGCTACTTGGGAGGCTGAGGCGGGAGAATGGCGTGAACCCGGGAGGCGGAGCTTGCAGTGAGCCAAGATCACGCCACTGCACTCCAGCCTGGGAGACAGAGTGAGACTCCGAGAAAAGAGAGAAAGAAAGAGAGAGTAAGAAAGAGAGAGAAGAGAGAGAGAGAAAGAAAAAGAGAAAGGGAAAGGGAAAGGGAGGGGAAGGAAGGGGAGGGGAAGGGAGGGGAGGGGAAGGGAGGGGAGGGGAGGGGAAGGAAGGGGAGGGGAGGGGAAGGAAGGGGAGGGAAGGAGAGGAGAGGGAAGTGGGGAAGGAGGGAAAGAAGGAAAGAAAGAACGAACTCGCTTGACACAAAGATACTGAAAGCTACCAAAGTGTTAAAAGAAGGAATTCATCCTCCCACAAGAGAAGCAACACTAACCTCCTTTTCTTATTTTGAAAAGGGTGTCTGGTCTCTGGCTGTTGAGACAGCTGAGAGGGTGATAGGAGGGTGGAGAGTAATGGGATGAAAGGCAAAACACTGCCCTTGACACCTGCACCCCGTACCCACTCTCCTGAGGTGCTTTTTGGAAAATGCATGTGTGGGAGGCTCCACCCATGTCTGCTGCCTCTGAATCTCCTGCTGAGGCCTGGGCAGGGGCACCTGGAGATGGCTCCCCTCGAGACTGTTTGCCCCAGCGATGCCTAGCGTCCCACCCGCCCTGTGCAACCACAAGACTTGGTGTGAATTAGAAAAAAGGGTGCTCCTTCCTTCAAGCCATTTAACGCCACCTGCTGGACACTGGTGATACATCTACAGGACCTAAAACTATGGCAAGAGGAACGGCGCCACCTGGGGTTGTGCAATGCCCAGCACAGCAACCAGAGCAGCGGGGAGGTCACTGCACTGCAGGGGAGCAGCACAGGTCGGCTGAGACGAACCCCCTATCACTTCTGCTTGGCTCTGTGCCCCAAACAAAATTGTTCCCAACCACACTTAGGCATTTCTCCCAAAACATATGCCTTGTGACATGAGGTAGAGACACCACAGCCCACACAACAAAGAGTCACATCATTTCGGCTCTCACTGGGTCAGGAAGTGGGCTGCCCGTCAGTAGAGAAACAACGTCTCGTCCAAACACAAGCAAATCCCCCTCGCATGGCCTGAGCCACCAGCTGCTCCGTGGCCCCGCATACCACGGTTTTCAAAGGCTGGCTGTGGTCTTCCTGCTGGCCCAGTAGTCAAGGAGGCCAATGCACCTGAATGAATGCAGGAACACGGGCAGCGGACGGGCTGTGATGCAAACCAGAAAGTGGCTAGTTCAGTTTTGTTGGTGTTGCGGGCTGAATTGCATCCCTGCAGCATTCATGCGTTGGAGTCCCCACCCCCAGTACCTCCGCATGGGGCTGTATGTGAAGAGGGTCTTTCGAGAGGTGATTAAGTTAAAATGAGGCCATTAGGGGGCCCCTAATCCCATCTGGCCTGGCTGGTATCCTTATAAGAAGAGGAGCTGGGGACACAGACACACAGAGGGACGACCCTGTGAAGATGCAGAGAAAAGGCGGTGTCTGCAAGCCAAGGAGAGAGGACTCAGGAGGAACCAGCCCTGCGACGCCTTCGTTTGGGACTCCAGCCTCCAGAACTGTGAGATAATGAATGTCTATTGTTTGAGGAACTTTGCAGTGGCAGCCCTATGCAGCAAACACAATCACTTTGGGTCTACTAATGTGTGCTGTTCAGCCTGAAATGATCACAGACAAAAGACATCATGCTATAATTCCAAAAGGAGAGATGACTGGCATTCCCACATAAAGCTGCGGCCCTTGCCCACCTTCCCCATGGAGCCCATCACTCTCATAACATGATTTTTGGAAAGATGAGGTCTCTTAAAGATGTCACCTATGTCAGGAGGGCAGGATAGAGGACCTGCCAAAGTGCAGAGGGTGGGGTGCTGGTCTCGGGGTCTTCACCCATCCCCTCTCCTGTTCCCCGCATGTCCCTGAAGAGTCAGGGCTGACTGGGAAGGCAGGTACTCAAGGGTCCTCATTCCCTCTGGAGGCTCAGAGAGAGAGGATGCCTCTCTTCCTTCTCCAAACAGAACCTTGCCAGGCCAGAGGGGCTCAGAATATGGAACTGACCTCCCAGGTCAATTCAGAGCTGATCCCCTGAAAGCACAGCTCACTGTTGCGGCTCCAGACACGGGGGCCACAGAGGCTCGGCCGCTCGTGCCCAGGGGCAGACCCTGAGCCCCAGGTCCAGAGTGACACGGGGAAGGGCTCCCGTGCTCTGGTCCTGCCACCTGGCAGGGACCCCACACTCTCACACCCTGGAGGTGCTCATCTGGAAAGGTGCAGTACCTGCCAGCACCCACGTCCCACAGTGAGGCTCGGTCCCAGTTCCAAGGCTGCCAAGCACATGCCAGCACAAAGGGCCAGAACCCTGTTCACAATGTCCCCCCGGAGCCAATGCATGCCAGCTGCCCAGATCTGAGGGTCACCTGCCAGCACCACAGCCTGGTTCCAACACTGCTCCCACGTCCCCTGGCCAGAATGAGCCACTCCTGGCTGGCACTGTGGAGCTCCTGGGCTCTCCACCTGGCTGCTGTTCACGCTGGCCCTTCCTGTGCTACCTGGCATTGTGCTTACCGTGACCAAGCCCAGGCTTGGACACCGCGGTCACTGCGGTGCCTGAACAGTGGTCATCTCAGTGCCTAGGCAATGGTCATCTTGGGGCCTGGACACAGCAATCACCTCGATACCTAGATGGACAGTGATCGCCTCAGCACCTGGACACGGTGGGTACCACAGTACACTAGAAAAACCTCAATCTGAAGGAAGACCACAACCCATGTGGCTCCATCCCATTCTAAATGCTAACTTTCCAGTCAAGCATTGACTCCCATCTCTACCAGGCAGCTCACGCTGGGCTGTACACAGTCCCACCCTGGCAGGAAGGTAACCAGAAAGCTTGGACCCAGAACGACATAACGTGGGGCTCCAGCAAAGAACCTCCCACAGGCCTGGGAGGATCAGGGGCCTGTCCCCTCGCCGTGGGGCCCAGAGAGGCTCAAGAGCTGAGGGCATCCGGCCAGGGATGGGCAGGGGGCAGCCTGGAGCAGGAGGAGAGGAGAAGTCACTGTGGCCCGAAACTATTTCTTTAAGGCGGACACTCTTCATTTAAATGCGATAAATAACAAATAGCAGCCAGTAACAACATTCAGACTGATGTCACACCCATTGCACAATGGGAGCAAAATCAAACGAGGGGCTGGGAGCAGGTGTGGTAGGCACTCTCTGAATACAACGGATTGTTTCTTAACGCCCGCCCCCCCCCCAACCCTTCTGAAACAGGTTCTCACTCTGGTTGCCCAGGCTGGAGTACAGTGGCATAATCTTGGCTCACTGCAGCCTCCACCTCCAGGCTCAGGGGGTCCTCCCACCTCAGCCTCCAAAGTAGCTGGGATTACAGGAATGTGCCACCATGCCCTAATTTTTGTATTTTTGGTAGAGACAAGTTTTGCCATGTTGGCTGGGCTGGTTTTGAACTTCTAGGCTCAAGTGATCTGCCTGCCTCAGCCTCCCAAACTGCTGGGACTATAGTGTGAGCCCCTGTGCCCAGCCTAATGTATTATTTACTTCTAATGATGACGTCAGACGTGGCCACATGATGATGACAATGATGACAATGAGGATGATGATGGGGGGACAGATGATGACAATAATGATAGGGACATTTATTAAGCACCTGGTCTATGCCGGGCACTGCAGAAAATGCCTCACGTAAATTCTGTCATAGCTGTCTCCAGAGCTCTACAAACTGTTACTCAGCCAACCTGAGAGATTAGCACACAAGCTCAGAGAGGGTGGGGCACTTGCTCAGGTGAGCCAGCGAGCGATGAGGTGGGTTTGCAACCCCAGGCTGCATAACACCCAGGCCAGAATATGGCCAACAGACAGCATGAGGAGAGTCCCTCATCCCGAAGATACTGAGTCAAACTCAGAGAGGGAGGGAGAGAGCCAGGCTTTGCCCCAAGGAAGGTACCGGGGTTCAGCACATGGAAACGCAGGGTCTGGATCCCTCACCAAGCGGCATCCTCTCCAGGACCACACCCCCTGTGGCCAGGGCCAGCGTGCTGTGAAGTTGCACGGTGGATGTAAAAGTCTTTAGCAATTAAAAATACAGAATGAATACCCCCAAATCTGACCCCTGATGTCCTTGGGTTGTGGGAATGCATTGGGGTGTTTCTTAACTTGCTTCTTTATACTTCTTTGTATTTTCCAAGATTTCCATGATGCATGGGTAATTTTTTGGTAATCAAAAACAAAACAAAACAGGGTAATTTGAATAACAACTTTTTTTTGGGGGGGGGAGACAGAGTCTTGCTCTGTCTCCCAGGCTGGAGTGCAGTGGCGCAGTCTCAGCTCGCTGCAAGCTCTGCCTCCTGGGTTCATGCCATTCTCCTGCCTCAGCCTCCCGAGTAGCTGGGTCTACAGGCACCAGCCATCACTTGCTGCTAATTTTTTTTGTATTTTTAGTAGAGATGGGGTTTCACCGTGTTAGCCAGGATGGTCTCGATCTCCTGACCTCGTGATCTGCCCGCCTTGGTCTCCCAAAGTGCTGCGATTACAGGCATAAGCCACCGCACCCGGCCCGAATAACAACTTTTAAGATAATTTGCAGACAGCCTGAGCTCAAATGGGGCTCTTCTAACATCAGCCTGTGGGGATGGGGCATATCCCCACTGTGTGAAGTGGAGGGTGGATCTGAAATGTGTCCTTAGGCCATGTGCACCTGGCCTGAGACAATGATGGGAAAGCAGCGGCCTGGGGAACCCTGGAGTACACCTGCAGCATCTGTGAGCAGGCCTGGCTGTGGCCGCGCAGGCTCTCCCACACGATGAACGCCCAGAACCCTGGGACAGGGCTGTCCATTCTCCAGGTGCTAGAACAGAGACACAGACTTTAAATGCAAAGCCCATCAGCCTGAGAGCTCGGAGGTGCTTCTCCCGAGAGGGCAGAGCCAGGCACAGCCCAGTGAGGTCCAGGAAAACCCACCTGCCCCTGTAATTTCTTCTGCCACAAATGTGCTGTGAGTGGTTTGGATGTGAGAACCCTACAGGCAGCATAGAGAACCAGGCTTCTGGTAAGAGACAGGCCAGGAGTGAATCCAGCTCAGCCAACTGCTTGCTCCGTGGCCTTGGGCAAGTTACCTGCCCTCTCTGGGCCTGTGAACTCATATGGGAAACAGCAATGAGAAGTAACCAGCTCTGAGGATATAGAATCATAGTGCAATTAAAGCAGCTCAGGACAATGAATGCCCCCAAATTGCTACGGGTCCTATACACATTTGACCATTTTTACAAAGACAAGCCTCTGTCATGTGCCTGGGTTTGCTACGGGTCCTATACACATTTGACCATTTTTACAAAGACAAGCCTCTGTCATGTGCCTGGAAGGGTTTGTTCATTAAAGGAAATCTGAAATTAAATGTTCCTCTTCCAGGAGCACTCCTGTTTTAATGATATCAGTGACAGCTCTCAAAATCAGTAGACTTTAGGCTAGGCATGGTGGCTCACTCCTGTAATCCCAGCACTTTGGGAGGTTGAGGAGGGCAGATCACTTGAGGTCAGGAGTTCGAGACAAGCCTAGCCAACATGTTGAAACCCTGTCTCTACTAAAAATACAAAATTAGCTGGGCGTGGTGGCACACGCCTCTAATCCCAGGTACTTGGGAGGCTGAGGCAAGAGAATTGCTTGAACTCAGGAGGCGGAGGTTGCAATCAGCCAAGATTGCCCCACTTCACCCCAGCCTGGGCAACAGAGCAAGACTCCATCTTAAATATATATATATATATAATATATATGTTATATAATATATAATATATATGTTATATTATATATGCTATATATTATATTATATAAAATATATAACATATTATATTATATAAAATATATATTATATAATATATTATATAATATATATATTAAATATATATTATATTATATATTATAATATATATAATATATTATGTTATATATTATATTATATATGTTATATATATAATATAATATATAACATATTATATGTTATATATATTATATTATATAAAATATAATATATTATATAATATATTATGTTATATAATATATATTATATTTATATTATATAATATATGATACAACATAATATATTATGTTATATTATATAATAATATTATACAACAATAATATATATTGTTATTTTAATATATTATATATTTATATAACCTTAATATATATATTAATTATATATTAATATAACATAATAAATTGTTATATATTAATATGTTATATATATTATGTTATATATTATATATATTATGTTATATATTATATTATGTTATATATTATTATATATAACATATTATATGTTATATATATTATATAATATGTTATATAATATATTATATAATATATTATGTTATATAATATATTAAATTATATAATATATTATGTTATATAATATATTAAATTATATAATATATTATGTTATATAATATATTAAATTATATAATATATTATGTTATATAATATATTAAATTATATAATATATTATGTTATATAATATATTAAATTATATAATATATTATGTTATATATGTTATATATTATATATGTTATATTATATATGTTATATAAGATGTTATATAAGATATAGTATATGTTATATTATATATGTTATATAAGATATAGTATATGTTATATTATATATGATATACATTTATAATATATGATATATGATATATTATTTATAATATATAATACATATTATATATTTATAATTTATATATTATATTATATATAATTATGTAATATATAATTTGTTATATAATTATGTAATACATAATTTATTATATATAATATATAATATAAATATATATAAATATATTATATATAATAATATATATATCATTAGACTTGGAGTTAAGCAGATGATTCTCCATAATATTGAGTGGGCCCCATCCAATCAGTTGAAGGCCTTAAGACTGAGGTCCCCTGAGAAGGATGAGATCCTGCTAGAGATGGACTTGAGACCCGCACTGTGGCATTTACCGGGCCACTTGGCAGGGTAAATGTGAGCACTTATGAGGATGATCTGGGAGGCAGGCGGCACTGTCCGCTGCTCCTGCAGGCCCGTGCAGGGCACCCGCACCCATCCCTTATCTGCTCCGTCCCTTATCATCTGATAGGCACAAGGGCCCTGCAGATGAATGAGAGGAGGCTCGCGAAGGCAAAGTTGCTTCACATTATCACTGAGAATCTTTAGCAGGGGAGAAAATGGCTTTCCGGGCCTTTCATGAACAGGCAGCAGACCACCAGAGGGCAGTGAACGCACCTGGCTGGCTTTCCAAACCCTGCTCCACATTTTCTAAGCTGAGGTGGGAGCAGGTGCACTGCCCCAGAGCTCAAGCCTCCAAGGTACCAGTGCAGCTGCACAGGCTCAGGCCCCGGGACCAAGGTGGCCGGGTGGCTCTGGGACAGCCAGGCTCTGAATGCAAAGCGCAGGGCCTCAGGGACAGAACCTGGCCCTTTGCAGGCCAGGAGTCACAGCTGAGAGCTGCAGTGAGTGACTGATGGTCAGGGCTCCTGCCAGCCTCCACCGTTACCTCCATCCCAGGGCCAGCTGGAGAGATGGGCCCGGAGACATTTGCCTGGTTGGGAGAGAGGGCAGGAAAAAGGAAAAAGGAGGGGTGTGGGAGGGGAAAGGACGGAGCTCCAGGAATCCCCAAAGTTGAGACACAGGGGCTATTCTGGCAAAAGGGCTGGCGGCTGGATTCAGGACTCTGTGAACTACTCCACGTTTAAGGAGGTTTTAGCCTGCATCACACCTTCAGAGCTCAACAGGAAAACAGCAATGCAACCAGAGCACTGTGATGTCTAAAGGGAAGACATGTCTGGAAAACACAAATTCAAGCAGGCATTCTCACAGAGAACAAGCGAGCTTCGGGTCCCATACGCATTTAGCTGGTTTTGTTGTTGTTGTTGTTGTTGTTGTAGTTTTGCTCTTATTGTCCAGGCTGAAGTGCAGTGGCGCAATATCGGCTCACTATAACCTCTGCCTGCTGGGTTCAAGCGATTTGCACGCCTCAGCCGCTCAAGTAGCTGGAATTACAGGCGTGGTACCTCCACACTTGGCTAATTTTTGTATTTTTAGTAAGACAGGGTTTCACCATGTTGGCCAGGCTGGTCTCGAACTGCTGGCCTCAGGTGATCCACCTGCCTCAGCCTCCCAAAGTGCTGGGATTACAGGCGTGAGCCACCGCACCTGGCTGCATTTGACTATTTTTACAAAGAGACGCCTCTGTCCTGTGCCTGGAGGACTCATTCACTAAAGGAAACCTGAATTTAAACCTTCCTCTTCCTTGGGCGCTCCTGTCTTCATGAAGTCAGTGACTGCTCTCAAAACCAGTAGACTAAATTGATGATTCTCCATAATGTGGGTGGGCCCCATCCAATCAGTTGGAGGCCTCAAGAGAAAAAAGACTGAGGTCCCCTGAGGAGGAAGAGATTCTGCCAGAGACAAACAGGATCCCCGCAGCGGCATCAACTCTTCCTGGGTCTCCAGCCTGCCCTGCAGATTTTGGACTTGCAGCTCCACCACTGCATGAGCCAATTCTTCAAAATACTATTTTAAAAAATTCTGTATCTGTACACACACACACATGCATGCATGTGCACACCCTATTGGTTCTGTTTTTCTGGAGAACTCATCACACCTGAACACACAAACAACATTGAGTGGTTTCTATGGTGTCATCCAGCGACATCAAATGACAGTTCTGTTCACGTGAATCACCGACTTTGAGTTGACTGAGAACAAGACTCATTATCCATTTGGCCAGGCGGGAGGGACGTCCCCAACGTCCATGTCTCTTAGAGACTCACAACTCAGCCTTGTCCCCTGGGGGCCGGCAGCTGTTCGGTGGAGACCCTGTGAGACTCGAGAAAGATGTGGGTGTTCAGGGTTCCATGACTCCCGCCCCTCGCCCAGCCATGTTTGCTGGTAGAAATGTCTCGTGGGTGACTGCACCACCCCACCAGGGGCCTCCCCTCATCCTGAACTTGACCTTGTGGGTGACTGCACCACCCCACCAGGGGCCGCCCCTCATCCTGAACTTGACCTTGTGGGTGACTGCACCACCCCACCAGGGGCTGCCCCTCGTCCTGAACTTGACCTTGTGGGTGACTGCACCACCCCACCAGAGGCCTCCCCTCGTCCTGAACTTGACCTTGTGGGTGACTGCACCACCCCACCAGAGGCCTCCCCTCGTCCTGAACTTGACCTTGTGGGTGACTGCACCACCCCACCAGGGGCCTCCCCTCATCCTGAACTTGACCTTGTGGGTGACTGCACCACCCCACCAGGGGCCGCCCCTCGTCCTGAACTTGACCTTGACCTCAAATCAGCCTAGTGAGTTTTAAAAACCAAGCTCATTAGCGCTTTGGCAGTCCCAAGAACTGCCCTTTTCCAAGCAGGTCACCTTGGAAGCTTGGGACAGCTCCCAACACAGCTGAGATTCTCCTTCGGGAGCTGCCTCTTCCACATCCTCAACAGGAGCCGAAGCTCACGCCATGCAGACGGGCTTGGCCTCAAAAACACCAGCACAGAGCTGACAGCCAAGCGCAGCAAGGAGAGGAGACGGGCAGAGGAACGGGGCCATGTCTCAGGGCGTGAGCGTCTGCATGGCCACTGCATGAGCACCAGTGCCCAGAAATACAGAACACTGTCAGGCCTGCTCAGAAGCATGTCCACGCACATGTGGACCTGTATGTACATGCGTGCGTGCGAGTGTGTGTGTGTGTGTAATTTATGTTCGTCTTTCTATCTCATGTCTGGTTTCCCCCCACGGGAACACCAGGGGCTTGCATCAGGCATTTCTGTTCACTGCTGCAGGCTGTGTATTCAGGACACCGAGACACATGGCTGGGGCTCACACCCAGTAGACGACGTTTGTGGCTGATGAGCACCCATTAGCAGTGGGTAGGGTCTGTGGTGCACCCGGAATGGCTGGAAGTGGGTCAGGCGTGAAGAGGCGAGCGTGGTCAGGCCAGGAGACCTCTTGGGGACCCCCTGAAACAGCTCAGACACAAATGAGGAGGGGGCCAGGGAATGAGCGTGGCCAGGGCCAGATGCTGTGGAGAGGCTCAGAAGGGCCAGGCCTGACACTGACACACAGCCGAGGGATGGCAGGGCCATCTGGGGCTGGAACCGTTGGTTGACAAAGGGGGAAGAGGTCAAGGGGAGGAAGGAGGAGGGAACAAGGACAGAAACACTGGCGAGTTTCCACCAGGGACAAAGCGAGGGCAGGGCAGGAGACTGAGGAGGGGAAGCAGCTCCCCCAACCCAAAAACCTCCGAGTGCTGTGCAAGAATTCACCTGCTGCTTCCACATTCAGGATATATCAGTCAGGGTTCTACAGAGACACAGAACGTGTGTGTGTGTGTGTGTGTGTGTGTATCCTGCTGCTTCTACATTCAGGGTGTATCAGCCAGGGTTCTCCAGAGAAACACAACCTGTGTGTGTGTGTGTGTGTGTGTGTGTATGTGTCCTGCTGCTTCTACATTCAGGGTGTATCAGCCAGGGTTCTCCAGAGAAACACAACCTCTGTGTGTGTGTGTGTGTGTGTGTGTGTGTCCTGCTGCTTCTACATTCAGGGTGTATCAGCCAGGGCTCTCCAGAGAAACACAACCTCTGTGTGTGTGTGTGTGTGTGTGTGTGTGTGTGTGTCCCCTGCTGCTTCTACATTCAGGGTGTATCAGCCAGGGTTCTCCAGAGAAACACTACGTGTGTGTGTGTGTGTGTGTGTGTGTGTGTGTGTGTGTGTCCTGCTGCTTCTACATTCAGGGTGTATCAGCCAGGGCTCTCCAGAGAAACACAACCTCTGTGTGTGTGTGTGTGTGTGTGTGTGTCCTGCTGCTTCTACATTCAGGGTGTATCAGCCAGGGTTCTCCAGAGAAACACAACCTCTGTGTGTGTGTGTGTGTGTGTGTGTGTGTGTGTGTCTGTGTACATAGATACATTTATATGTTATATATGTATATGCACGCAGAGAATTTTTAAAAGTTTAGAGCTTAGACACATAAAATTAAAGATAGAAATATTTTAAAGAGTTGGCTCATGCAATCACGGAGGCTGTAAGTCTGAAATCTGCAGGGCAGGCTGGAGACCCAGGGCAGTGTTCAGCGGGAATCTGGAGTCTTTTTCTGGCAGAATTCCTTCTTTCTTGGGATCTCAGTCTTTTTCCTCTTAAGGCCTTCAACTCATTGGATGGGGCCCACCCACATCATGGAGGGTCATCGGCTTAACTCAAAGTCCACTGATTTAAATGTTAATCCCATCTTAAAAAACACCTTCTCAGCAACAACTAGAATATTGTTTGATCAAATATCTAGGAGCTAGAGCCTAGCCAAGTTGACACATAAAATTAATGATCACAGGGGAAAATTATTTTCCTTTTTCATAAAGAAAAGCACAATAATGACAAGAAATCTCATGGCGGGTGCATGGAAGAGGACTTCCAAAGACCAGTCATTACTGCTTCCCTGCCTGCGGGCTCCAGCTTGGGTGTGGGCCGGGGGCTGCCATGAACAGCCCCACAGACCCCTACTCATCCCTCGGGAGGAACAGGGGCTTCTCCAGGCTGCAGGGCCGACGATGAACCAGAACTGACCTAGCACAAGAAAGCCCAGGGAGGGCGGGGCCTGCTGGCACCCCCACTGCCCAGTCTGACCACAGTGGGCAGAGTGCATAACCTCCCTTACAGGTGTGTAAGGTGGTAATGGCAGAGGAGAACACAAGGTAGCCAGAGAAACCATGGCAGTCACTGTGTAGAGAACCAAGCAAGAAACCAGTCAGGGCCCTCTGTCCTTGACCTCCCCTTGCTGTTCCAGAGCCTCCTCTTGACCTCCTAGGTAGACAGGTGCTATCAGCTCTCCCAGACCCACCTCACCCCTCTGCCTGGAGACCCTGGCCTGCAGCCTGCACCACAGCACTCCCTCACTGTCCTCCAACTCTGGCAGGGCTCAGCCAAGAGAAGAGAGGCAGATATTCCTTCCCTGAGTCCTCCCTGACATGGGCCTGCGGGCCCCCTCCTCAGCCCTGGCTCTCCTGCTCCCGGGAGCATCATCTCCTCTCCCTGCCCATCAGCTCACAGGTGCTGATGGCTCCCCAAGACTGCTCTTCTATGGGGTCCTCAGCCTTTAACCCCGTCCACACCTCTACCTGATCAGGTAAAGACTTTTCACTGGAGACAGCCGGTGAAATCTGTTTCTTGCCAAGACCAGGCTGACCTACCTCCTAACCCAACTGTTGCAAGGTTGGGCCTGAAAAACACGCCCCTCGTGCGTGCAAATCAGGACTTCCTGGGGCTCACCTGTGCTCAGAAAACACCGGTGCTTTCTGGTATCCTGCCCTGTCAGGACGGTGGGAACTTGGAGAGGGCAGGGCTCCTGGGAAGGGGGCGTCCACCCCATAACTGCAGGGCACTCCTGCTGTGCAGAAACTCAGCAGCCTTGCCTCATCTTCCAGTTTCTCCAGAGAAGTCAGAAATGTCTATTTCTATGCAAATGTGTCTGTTTTCAAATACTGACGTTCACATTTTAAAATCATTTTTAATTCACATATTTTCAGGAACTCTGGGCAGGCCAAACAAAATACCTGAAGGCAGGATCTAACCTTTGGGCCACCCTGCTTATCTGCGGGATCGGAGGAGAAGGGGAAGTCAGTTCGTGGGTACAACAGAGTGGAGAAGCGGGCCCACGTACCTGGTGGATCTCGTGCCAGCCGTTCTCATCTTTGCAGCACACAGTGGCGTGTTCGTGCAGGAGAAGCTCGCAGCAGTAGGGATCACCTCCGACGATGGCTGTGTGATACAGCGGGGTGAGGCCGTAACTGTCTTTATAATCTGGGGATGCACCAAGCTCTAAAAGGGTCTAGGAAAAAAAAATTGAAAGCCGTCGTTATTGGTCTCATGACCCCTTTTGCAGAGTGAGGTGATCCAGAAAGCAGCACCAGGACCACCCTCCCCCAGGTCAAGGCAACCCACACCCTGAGTACCCAGTGCTTCTCCTGGGCTCCCCAGAATTAAGAAGGGTATAACCTGGCCGGGTGTGGTGGCTGACGCCTATGATCCCAGCATTTTGGGAGGCTGAGGCAGGTGGATCACCCGGGGTCAGGAGTTCAAGACCAGCCTGGCCAACATGGCAAAACCCTGTCTCTATGAAAAATACAAAAAAAATAGCCAGCGTGGTGGCAGGTGTCTGTAATCCCAGCTACTTGGGAGGCTGAGACAGGAGAATTGCTTGAACCTGGGAGGTGGAGGTTGCAGTGATCCAAGATTGCACCATTGCACTCCAGCCTGGGCAACAAGAGCAAAGCTCAGTCTCAAAAATAAAGGGGGGGGGGGGCAGGTATAACTTTAGACAACTACATTTCTAGTTCTGAAATAGCAAACAGTGCCCAGAAATGCAGGGCAGGCTGACATTTGGGAGACGAGGAGACCTGCAGCACTCAGACCCTTCCTCGGCCTGGTCAACATTTTGTGCCAGTGGTGTGGCATGGGCAGCAATACAGTGACTGCAACATTTGCGGAAGAGAGAAAAGGTGCATGGTTTAACCTACATGCCCAGTGGAAAACCACCTCATTCCGCACGCTGAGGGTGGCGAACCTAGCAAGCATCGCGTCTTCAAGAATGCTCCTGATTTCCGAGGAAGCCAACGGGTACGGTGTGGCTCTGCGTCCCCACTCAAATCTCAATTCAAATTGTAACCCCCAGTGCTGGAGGTGGGGCCTGATGGGAGGTGATGGGTCATGGGGGCGGATTCTCAGGAATGGCTTAACACCACCCACTCAGTGCTGCTTTCGTGATAGTGAGTGAGTGCTCATGAGATCTACTGTTTAAAAGTGTGGCATCTCCTCCCTCTCTGTCTTCCTCCCACTCCGGTCACAGGAACTGCCTGCTCCCGCTTCACCTTCCACCATGATTGGAAACTTCCTGAGGCCTCCCTGGAAGCAGAAACTGCTCTGCTTCCTGTACAGCCTGCAGAATCATGAGCCAATGAAACCTCTTCTTATAAATTACTCCGATCTCACATTTCTTTATTGCAACGCAGGAACAGACTCACACACCAACAGAAGGGGTGCAGCTGAAATGAAGTGAAAGTCCTGAGACTTTAGGGACAGCGAGGCCCCCGTCTTGGGGGTCAACCTGCAGCGGCACGTCCCATCCCTGCTGGTGTGGGCTCTGGTGGAGGATGCCTGGGCGTGCACCACCCTGTCCAGAGGCGCCGTGGCTGCAGTGTGAGGCAGGGGCACGGAGCAGTAAGACAGCAGCAGGGGAAGGTGAGGCGCGGAACCCACAACAGGGCAGGCTCCCACGGACCCGCCACAGGGTGCTGGGGGGATCTACCATGTGGCTCTGTGTCCCCTCCCAAATCTCAATTCGAATTGTAACCCCCAGTGCTGGGGGTGGGGCCTGGAGGGAGGTGATGGGTCATGGGGGCGGATTCTCAGGAATGGCTTAACACCACCCACTCAGCGCTGCTCTCATGATCATGAGTGAGTCTTCCTGTGGATGGGGTTGGGGTTCACCACTGGCCTTACGGGTTGAAAAGACAAGTCCCTTGACTGAATAGAAGGTGAAAGATGACTTCTTGGGAACCATTAATTCTGAAAGCATCGACAACCAGGAGAGAGAACAGGAAAATCTGAAACCTGGCTTCACTTCCAAGCTCCAGCCGGAACACTGTGCACGGACTCCTAGGGTGGGCCGGAACACTGTGCACGGACCCCCTAGGATGGGCACTGCGGGGATGGGATGGGGCAGCCGCACGGAATCAGAGCACGGGGTGGCACCCAAGTAAGATGGGCCCGAGTTTACCTTCAGGGCAACTTGGTTCCTCGCTCGGGCAGCTTTGTGTAGGGCGGTCATCCCATCTTTGGCACGGAAGTCCAGGTGAGCTCCACCATTTTTGAGAGCTTTGATGACCTCCACAGAGTCGTCCAGCTGAGCGGCTAAGGTCAGGGGGGTCTCTGAGGAACCCAAACACACACACTTTAGAACCAACATTTGTCACACTGCTCACAAAGCCATATTCAGATGCCCAAAACTAAGCTGAAAGAACTGACTCCCCTCCTCCACCTCCAGGGTGTTTACAGCTCCCACCACCTGGGAACCCCAAGAGTCCAGGCGGGCAGCGTGGCTCAGGCACCCCCGTGCGATGCAGTGACACGCAGGGCCACGCGTACAACACAGCGGTGGCAGAGGCAGGGATTCAACAGGACTGCTGTGTGGGCCACAGTCCAAGAGGCTCCCTTGCTGCCCTTCCCTCTGAGTACACAGAATCCTGTGGTACCATCTGGGTGCTTCCCGTACAGAAGGAGTGACGGACTAAAGCCCTCATTAGAGATGGGAAAGGCAGACACCCACCTTTCCTCATTCAATGTCACATTTATGGGCATCTTGGGAGATGCCAGCCATGGGCTGCAGGGACACAAACACAAATGAGACATGAAGTCCGTGCCCCCTGGAGCTCCCAATCTGGGTAAGTGGAAACCTTCCTTCATTAACGCGGCGCAGGATGACCCAGGAGGCAGGGCAGAGGCCCAGCAGACAGAAGGATGCCGTCTGCCTTTGTAGGGACAAGGGTCCCGTGCAGATGACCCTGGACCAGTCTGCAGATGAGCGTGGCTAAGGACGTCAGTGTCTATTACAACAAATCTTTCCGTCCACTCTTCATCTTTCTAATATGCCCACCATGGCCACTGCTAAACAAGAGGAACTACTTTGAGGTCCTCTTTTGAGAGTTCCTCATTTGAGAGGCTCTTAACGTTCCAGAAAAGTGCACAGAGTACCAGGACAACACACAAGTTCCCATGACCCAGAAACACCAACAATGAATATTCACTCGGTCTCGAAGCACATTCCAGTGAAAGAAAACTCGGATGCCTTTCACAAGGCGTGTGTCTTGCTGACCCCTCACCCCATCCCATCCCCCTCCATCCCAGAAAGGGCACCTGCCTTGTGAGTGTGCACTGACTATTCCCATCTATTTTTAATTGTGATGTTTACTTATCCATACATGGGTACCCTCCTGAGGACTTTTAACATTCACCCTAGGAACCACTCTGCAGCTTGGCACTTCATGGTGATATGCACATGCTTAACCCCTCCATGTCAGGAGTGTGCTGTGTGTAGACATGCCAGCATCTTCATTCATCCTGTCTCCATGTGAAAAGCAGGCTTCCTGTCTTCCCCAACTAGGATGCTGTGTGTAGACATGCCAACATCTTCATTCATCCTGTCTCCATGTGAAAAGCATGCTTCCTGTCTTCCCCAACTAGAATGCCGTGTGTAGACATGCCAGCATCTTCATTCATCCTGTCTCCATGTGAAAAGCAGGCTTCCTGTCTTCCCCAACTAGGATGCCGTGCGTAGACATGCCAGCATCTTCATTCATCCTGTCTCCATGTGAAAAGCAGGCTTCCTGTCTTCCCCAACTAGGAACGATGTTCTCATGAATGAATGCCATTGCACATGACTCTGTTGCATACCCTCCTGATGCAGAAGTTTTAAAGAAAAATAGAAATTTTCTGGGACTAAGGGACTTCAGTGGCAGTGGGGGATGTTTCTTGCATAGAAAACAGCTACAAGGCAAGGAAGGCTCAGCAAGGGGTGTGGGGATTGAGACCAGTTGGAACATGGCCAGAGTTCCACATGTGCACAGAGAGGTGGAAATGGGGCAGACGCCAGAGAAAAACAAACTCAAGGGGTGACCCCTGCCTGCTAGAGAGAGGAACAGTCAGCCCCTCATTCTCTGTCTCTTCCCTGGTGGCATCCAGGCTGAAGCACGAGTGTCCGAGGGCATCTGGGGAGTTTATTCCTTGGAGCATAAAGGCCACCATGGGAGAGTGGACAGTCAGGGAAGTGACTGATCCTCGAAGGGCACGAAAAGACTGGGGCTGTCGGGAGCCACCAATATCGACGCTGAACATTCAAATCTTACAGCGACTTAATGAGCGTGTGACACTCGTTCGGGGCAAGGTTAGCCTTCAAAACAGTTAGGATTTTCTTTCCCATTTGACTGTTCCCTTTTGCCCAATGCAAAAAGGCAGTCCAAAGCAGATTTTTTAAAAGATATTTTAAATTAACATATAATTTTCATAGCTGACAACCTCAGCTGTTCCATTTTATAAATGAGAATGCTGTCTCAGAGAGAGCTGGTGGCAAGTGGTAAAATCAGATCAGAGGCTTGAATCCTGACTTTTGACTCAGAATTACAGATGCCTGCAGCCAAACCACATCCTGTTGGTCAGTGCCAGGCAGTTAAAGGTGGCTGCATAAACGCACCGGTGGAGAAAATGATCCCACTCTGTTCATGGCTGTGTCTCACGTGCAGGATGGGGAGCTATGTGTGGTCCTTGGGTGGCTTCCAGGGCCATCCAATGACAAGTGGCAGCCTTCTCAAGGGTTCCGGAATCCCTCCTCAAGTGATGTTCCAGACTTGCATGTTCACCTCTGGCCAGGACCCACCCTGGGGAGGTCAGGAGACCCCCTCTTCCCGCCCTGGCTTAGCCACCACATTTGCAAAGAGCACGTCCGCTGAGGTTCCACATTTGGGGCTGATGGAATCACCCCCGAGAAGATGCTGGTTGATGAGCTATAAACCGGTGACAGATATAACAGCACTGCCCGGGATGCACACCCAGTGACTGCACTATCACTCCCCTGATGAGCATGGGAACCACACAGTTATCTGGCACCATGATTCTTAAGACTATTCCTCAGGTTTTGCATTTTGAAATTTCTTTAGTTTTAAAAATAGACTGGAACCTCAACAAGCATAACCTCAGAGTGGCCCCAGTCTCCCTCAACGTGAACAACGGGTGGGAGTAGAAACACCTGTAATATTTTGAGATAACCTCAGAGACACGCAGACCCTCCAACTAGAGGCTGCCCAGCAGACTGTTGGCTCCAGGGATAAGCAGGATGTGCTTCGAAAGGGTGAGAAGCGGGGGCTCCCGGAAGCGCAGCAGGAGGGCACTAGCCACGGCTGTTTGTCCTGACACTGGGAGGTGGCACAGCAATGGGGGGTGGGGTGGGGGCAGGAGGCAGGAGGAGTGTAAGTGTTTAAGACAGCTGCTGCTACCCAGCGGGCACAGGGCAGTGCAGGCTGGAGCATGTGTACGCCAGTGTATGTGTGCACACCTATGTGCATGCCTGTGTGCCTGTGTGTGCATGGCTGTGTGTATGCACACCTATGTGTGCATGCCTGTTTGTGTGCACGCCTGTGTGTCTGTGCATGCCTGTGTGTGCATGTGCCTGTGTGTGCATGTGCATGCCTGTGTGTGCATGTGTGCCTATGTGTGTGCATGCCTGTGTGTGCATGTGTGCATGCCTGTGTGTACATGCCTGTGTGTATGCATGCCTGTTGTGTATGCAGGCCTATGTGTATGCATGCCTGTATGTATGTGTACATGCCTGTGTGCATGCATGCCTGTGTGCATGTGCATGCCTGTGTGCATGCCTGTGTGTATGTGTACATGCCTGTGCGTGTGCATGCCTGTGTGTCTACATGCCTGTGTGCATGTGCATGCCTGTGTGTGCACATGCTTGTGTGTGTGCATGCCTGTGTGCATGCCTCTGTGTGCATGTGTGCACACCCGTGTGTGTGCTCCTAGGTGCATCCTAGTGTCCAAGATCAGTGGGCTGCAAAAATCAAACGACTGGGCAAGCGATTCTTCCTATGAGGGGAAGTGACTGGTGTCAACAAAACCCAGCTCTTTCCCTGAAGGGCTGGGTGGCCTCCAGCAGGTTTTTTAGAAGATGATAGTTCAGGAGGCTGGGGATGCTCAGAAGGAAACCATGATGTGAGAGAAGACCACAGAACATATCACAGGTGTAGGAATCAACCTCGCTGAAAGGGATGGGGAATGAACCGCTGACCTCAGTAGCTCCAGACATGAGTGGAGTCTGTAAGACTAAAGGCAAAAGGAACAGAATAAATAAAGCTGGGTTATAAGTCAACCAGAAAGTGAGTGCAACCACATTGATAGAAATAAGCAAGGGATTCACAAGTGAACGGGAGGAAGGGGCCGATCTTGCAATGCAGACAAACTCCAAGCAATTCGCATCACTTCTCTGTCCTCAGGGGGTGATGCGTAGCCCGCACCACCCCCCACCCCGATCCCCTTATGTGTGGGCTGTGCACAGTGGCTTCCTTCTGAGAGCATAGTGTGGGAAACAGAAAAACGGGACCATCTCTCCGTGGGGAAACCTGATGGACACGAGCTCAGCCAGGAGATGGGGGGGCAGCATCGCCCAAGATGAGCCACACCAACAGGACGGGCCCTCGGCACCAGGTGATGAGAAAGGCTCTGTGCTCTTCCTCCTCACACCCACAGCCCCTAATCGTGAAAACACCAGATGGATCCCAATAAGGGGCACCCTACAAGCACCTGACCAGTCCTCCTCTGAAACTGTCCAGGTCATCACCAACAGGGAGAGCCTGGGAAACAATCACCACCAAGAGGTGCCCAGGGAGACGAATGAGGGAATGTCATGTGGGAACCCGGGTGGGGCCCAGGGACAGGAAAGGACAAGCAGGTAAATGCTTATGAGAGAAGAAAAAGGTGTGGACTTCGGTTAATAATAATGCATCGATATCGGTTCTCTAACTGTGAGAAGCGTACCATACGACTTCCGCTCAGAAGAATACTGGAGTAAGATGCTGATAAGGGGGGAAGCTGGGTATAGGATATATGGTAACTCTGTGTACTATCTTTGCACTTATTCTGCAAATCTAGAACTGTTCTAAAATGAAAAGTTTGTTTACAAATGTCTCCTGGCTATTGTGCGGGTTAACAGATTTAATGTAAAAAATGCTGCTGCTCAGAGAGGCAGAAAATGTTTGTGAAAAGCGTATAAAGTACTTGTAGCCAAATTATACAGAGAACCCTTAAAACTCCACAAGAAAGCAAACCACCCAATTAAAAAGGGAACAAAATATTTAAATGGATACCTCACAACAGAAGATATTCAGATAGCCAACACACACGAGAAGATGCTCCACACCGTATGTCATTAGGGAACTGCAAACTAAGACAGCAATTAGAGGCTGTGTTCAGTGGCTCATGTCTGCAATTGCAGCACTTTGGGAGCCAAGGTAGGAGGATCATTTGAGCTCAGGAGTTCAAGACCTGCCTGGGTAACATGAGGCCTCACCTCTACTAAAAATTTAAAAATTTGCCAGGCATAGTGGCATACGCCTGTAGTCCCAGCTACTCAGGAGGCTGAAGCAGGAGGATCACTTGAGCCCAGGAGGTCAAGTTTGCAGTGAACCATGATCACACCACTGCACTCCAGCCTGGGAGACAGAGTAAGACCATGTCAAAAAAAAAAAAAAAAAGACACCTCAACACAATCGTCAGAATGATGAAAATCTAGAACACTGACAACACCAAATGCTGGGGAGGATGTGGAGCAACAGGAACTCTCATCATTGCCAGTAGGAGTGTAAAATGGCGCAGTCACTTTGGAAGACAGTTTGGCGAGTTGACACAAAACTAAAAACGCACTTACTCCACAATCCAGCAACCCAGCTCCTAGGTGTCTCCCTGAATGAGCTGAAAACTTACGTCCACAAGGAAATCTGAATGTTAGTGTTTACAGCAGCTTTATTCATCGTTGCCAAAAATGGCAAACAATCCAGAGGTCCTTCAGTAGGTGAGTGGATACATTATCCATTGCACATGCAGACAACAAGATGTTGTTCAACACTAAAGAGAGACAAGCTGTCAAGCCACAACACGATACGAAGGAAGCTTAAATGCATATTGCTAAATGAATGAAGCCAATCTGAAAAGGCTGCATGCTGTGTGATTCCAACTCGATGACATTCTAGAAAAGGCAAAACTATAGAGCCAGTGGTTGGCCAGGCACAGTGGTTCACACCTGTAATCCCAGCACATTGGGACGCCAAGGCGGGCAGATCATGAGGTCAGGAGATCGAGACCATCCTGGTTAACACAGTGAAACCCCGTCTCTACTAAAAATACAAAAATAACTCAGGCATGGTGGCACACGCCTGTAGTCCCAGCTACTCAGGAGGCTGAGGCAGGAGAATTGCTTGAACCCGGGAGTCAGAGGTTGCAGTGAGCTGAGATCACACCACTGCACTCCAGCCTGGGTGACACAGCAAGACTCCGTCTCAAAAAAAAAAAAAAAAAATCAGTGGTTATGAGGGGTTAGAGGGCAAGGGAGGGATGGACGGGTGGAGCACAGAGGAGGGAGGGATGGACGGGTGGAGCACAGAGGAGTTTTAGGGTAAGGAAGCTATGCTGTGTAATTCTGTAATGGTGGGTACAGGACAAGATGCATCTGTCCAAACCCATAACATGAGCAGACCCTCATGTAAACTATGGACTTCAGTTATTGCAACAAATGCCCTAAACCAGTGCATGCTGTCAATAACAGGCGAGCTGGAAGTGAAAGTGCATAGGGGAAAACTCCATGCCTTCTGCCTGGTTTTTCTGTCAACCTAAAACTGGGCTCTGTCCCCGACCCCAAGACAGGCTCCTGTGGACCCTGGCCCCTGCCTCCGTGTCACCCTTACCCTCGCCACTCCCTCTGCCGCATTTTCCTTACTGAAGGCACGGCACCTCGCTCCATCTAAGAGTCACCTATATTCCCTTTCAGAACATGGCAGTGTGTACATAGAAAAACCCTGAAAGAATGAGACACTGTATTTGAAATAATTGGACCCTTAAAAACAGGTCTCTTTTTATGAGAAACTGTACTGAACAAACCAAAGGCACTGGTAGCAAAGGGAGTTATTTACTCGAAGTCTTCCAGCTCCTTCATTGGCACTGGGTAATTTCTGCACCTCTCACCCTCTGCAGATGGAGGTTTACGAGGTTCCAGAACCATTATTCTCTTGAATTGCCTCACATTCCCGGGTGCCGTTAGTTCTGGGGAATCGCACTTGGCGATTCATTCAGGGGCCAACGTGAGACTGCGGAGCATGAACCGTCAGTCACTGCACACATCAAACAAGCCCCTTCTGCTCTTCAAGACGATGCTCTGAAGGTGCTCAGTGCACTGGGACCCAGAATGTCCTCGAGGCCTCCTAACTGAGCGGTGCGGGAGCTGGGAAGGGGCTCCCCGTGACACAGCTACAGCAGCAAGAAGGGGAAGCCGGAGTTGGGGGGCGGCCGAATGGGAGGAGCTCAGCCTGGTATGCAATGAGTACACCCCGACCCTGGAAACAGATTCAGTAACTGAATCTCATCAGTGAGGTCCAGACACATCACAGGTGCTCTGCAGAATCTGGATCCGTAAAGGAACCATCTCTTTTTGACCTCTCATTCAGATACTAAAAGAGTCGAAAGGCATTTCTAGCTTTATTAGCCAGATCTCTTTTGTGGTGCCTGAGGCTTCTCTCAAATTTGGAGACAACAGTGCAAGATAAAAGGGCCAACCTAAATTTTGTTCAAGTTGCCAGGTTCGCTTCCTGTTTGGGGCTTGGAAACACAACTGGTCTCATCTCAGAGTTTCCAACCAAAGCAGGAGAAGAGGCCTGAGACTCTGCTGGAGGAAGTCTTTATTTTTTTTTTTTACACTACTTTTATCATTGTTACTTAATAAAATTTACATTTAGAACAGGTACCAGATGGTCGCCTGCAATCACACAGGCTGTTTTGTTTTCATTGACAGGTCGTTCCACTGGGATTTAATTATCTCAGGCTAGAGGGCTGCTTCCCTCCGCTCCGGCCCCATGTCCAGCCCCAAAACAGGGACGCGGGGCCCAGGTCTGCAGGGCCCGGGACTGAGCATGGCGGCATTTCCTGAGCTTAGCAAAAAGGCTGCTTTCAACTCTAAGCACAGACTCTGCTGTCCCCTGGGTGGCTTTGAGAAGTCACCAAACTCACTGTGGAGAGGCTAAAATATGGGATGGGAACATGCCCAGGCTGCTGCCGACAACCAGGTGGAAAGTGGGAATGTGAACAGCTTGTCCCCGACCTGGGCCTGCCTGGGTCATCCACGTCCAGCCAGGCCGGCTCATGCCAAGAGACCCCTGTTCGTCCCACTGCCTTTTCCCCCAGGAGTTGAGAGCAGGGACCCCCCAGGGCAAGTGGAGCCCAGGCCCTGCCTCTGCCCTCCCTGGTGACTCAGTGACTGGCCCAGACTGGGCTGTGGTAACAAGATCCCAGAGGCTAGGTGGCTTAAAAGTGACAGACATGCATTGCTCATGGTTTTGGAGGCCAGAAGTCCAAGATCAAGGTGCTGGCAGATTTGGCGTGTGTCTACCTGGTTCACATAGGGCACCTTCTTGCTGTGACCTCACCTCACAAAGTGGAAGGAGCGAGGGAGCTCTCTCTGCCTCTTTTGTAAGGGCACTAATCCCATTCACAAGGGCTCTGCCCCCAGGAGCCCATCACCTGCTGAAGGCCCCATCCTCCTAATACCATCACCTAGGGGGTTAGGGTTCAACAGTATAGAGGATGCAGACATCAGCCCTAGCGGCCACCCAGTTGGGCTCTCAGAGCTTCAGATTCCTCCCAGGACAGCGGTGCCTGCAGGGGACCCCCTTGATTACAGAGCTGAGGCCTGGCAAGGCCCTGTGTGCTGCTGGAGCACAGCAGGTCACCAATAGACTGCAGCTATCACTCTTTAAGTGCCCTTGTTACTGGTAGGGTGGGTAACAGTGCCAGTCTCCCTGGGACCAACAGGCTTCCCAGGATATGAGGCATTCAGTGCTAAAACCAGGGCAGTCCCGGGAAAACCGGATACACTGGTCACCCTGCCTGTTTCCTGGAGGCAGCCCGCCAAAGCCAACTCTGTGTTTCTCCCTCTGCATCCAAAACCAGGAGAAAACAACATTGACTGAGCTGCCGTAGTTGATGCTGATGACAGGAACATTCTGGAACTCTATTAAAGGTGACGCATACCCCATACGCTTAACCACTGATATGGTTTGGATGGGTGTCCTGCCCAAATCTCACGTGGAGATGTAATCTCCGGGGTTGGAGGTGGGGCCTGGTGGGAGGTGACTGGATCATGGGGGCAGATTTGTCATGAATGGTTTAGCACCATCCCCTTCCTTGGTGCTGTCCTGACAATTGTGAGTGAATTCTTGCAAGATCTGATTGTTTAAAGGTGTGTGGCACCTCTCTCTCTCTCCCTCCCTCCCTCCCCCCCTCCCCTTCTCCCTCTCCCCCCCTCTTTCTCTCTCTCTCTCCTGCTTTCACCACGGGATGCACCTGCTCCTCTCTCTCTCTCTCTCTCCCTTGCTTTTGCCATGCAATGCACCTGCTCTCCCTTTGCCTTCCGCCATGCGTAAAAGCTCCCTGAGGCCTCCCCAGAAGCAGATGCCACCAGCTTCCTGTACAGCCTGCAGAACCTAGAGCCAATTAAACCTCTTTTCTTTATAAACTACCCAGCCTCAGGTATGTCTTTACAGCAATGTGAAAATGGCCTAATAGCACCACAACGCTCACCTAACGCTCACATTTTCCCGGCACCACCGTAGGTGTTATCATTCAATTTAGGAGACAAGAGGATGGAAGCTGAGAGAGGTTCATTAACCTGGTCTTCACACAGCCAGCTGCAGAGAAGTAGGGGTTAATGTCTCCTCTCTGGGGGCTCTCCATGGACTGGCACTGAGCTGGGCATTGGAAGGGTCGCCTCTGCAGTCCCAACACAGGGCCCCCCCCATCCTGCATCTCTGAAGCCCAGTGTCTCCAACAGTGATGTCATCCGTGTGGCCAGGTAGTGTCTGCATTTCAGTCAGGAGGATGCGTATCCGTCCCTTATGCTCTGCCTTGACAGAAGCAAAGTGAAGGTGGTGTCTTCCCTGGCAGCACTGGGCTCTGGCCTCTCGTTGGAACTTGCGTTTAGCTTGTCCCCACTGATACTTGCTCCATGTGTGCCTGAGGGTTGCTATAAGCCATTGTGCTGGAATTACCCGCAGCTTCCTTTGTTTCTGAGAGCACCCACCCTGGTTCACTTTTCTCTTTTCCCCCGTCACCCTGGGTCCTCACTTTTCTCTTTTCCCCCATCACCCTGGGTCCCCACTTCCCTGCCCCTCTAACAGCACTGCTGGTTTCTCTCCTGATTTGGAAAAAACAAATGAGAATTCTTGAGACACTGGTGGCAGGCGCAGAAGCTGGGAAGCAGGGTGGTGTGAGACCAGGGCCATCTGCGCTGTCTGCAGCCGACCTGTGGGTCTGCACTTGGCCTTCGGTTTCAGAACTTTCTGCCTTAGTTACCCCTTTTCCCTTTTTATTTGCCATAAGTAATGTTTTTGGCCTTACAAAAAAATGCCACTGTGTATGATCGCTGTTAGTTTGATCTGTACAAAAACCCACACACGGGTGTTTATGGCAGCTTGACCCACAATTGCCAAAAGCTGGAAGCAGCCCAGATGTCCTTTAGGAGGCAAGTGGATAAGCAAACTGGGGTACATTGGAAAATGGAACATTATCCAGCACCAAAAGGAAACGCGCTTCCAAGCTGTGAAAGGGCCTGGAGGCACCTTCCGCACGTGCTGCCATGTGAAAGAAGCCGATCTGAAACCCACTGTGTGATTTTAAGATTCCAGCTCTAGAACATTCTGGAAAAGGCCAAACTACAGAGACAATGAAAAGGTCAGCAAGGTTGAGTGCGGTGGCTCACACCTGTAATCCCAGCACTTTGGGAGGCTGAGGTGGGTGGATCACTTGAGGTCAGGAGTTTGAGCCCAGCCTAGCCAACATGGTGAAACCCCATCTCTACTAAAAATAAAAAAATTAGTTGGGCGTGGTGGTGCACGTCTATAATCCCAGCTACCAGGAGGCTGAGGCAGGAGAATCACTTGAACTCGGGAGGCGGAGGTTGCAGTGAGCCAAGATCACGCCACTGCACTCCAGCCTGGGTGACAGAGAGAGACTCAGTCTAAAAAAAAAAAAAAAAAAAAAAAAGAAAGGGTCAGCAGCTGCCAGGGGCTCAGGGATGAAGAGGGGCACAGAGGAGCTCTCGGGCAGTGAAGCTGATCTTTATGATACTGTGACGGTGGATACAGGACATCTGGCAAAACTGACAACGTACAACACCAAGAGTGAACTCTCATGTAAGCTCCGGACTGGAGGATCACTGTTGGGTACAACTCCAGGCGTAAACCCTCATGTAAGCTCCGGACTTGAGGATCACTACTGGGTACAGCACCAAGCATAAACCCTCATGTAAGCTCTGGACTTGAGGATCACTGTTGGGTACAGCACCAAGCGTAAACCCTCATGTAAGCTCTGTACTTGAGGATCACTACTGGGTTACGACTCCAAGCGTGAACCTTCATGTAAGCTTGGACTTGAGGATCACAACTGGTTCACTGATTGTAACAGATGTCCTATACTAAAGCAAGATATTACTAACAGAGGAAACTGGGGGAGCAGTCAATATGGGAACTCACAGTACTTCTATTCAATTTTCTGTCAGCCTAAAACTGCTCTAAAAAATCAGCTCTGCTCATTTCACAAAAGGGAGGCAGGGGAAGAGGAAGTTCTGCTTTATAGAGAAATATCAGCTACTACAAGAAGCAAAGCTGGTTCATAAAATTGCCATTTGGCAACAACCAGGAGAGAACTGATTCCATAATTCTGCCTTAAATTTTAAAATTGAAAATAAGAGGCTGGGCTCAGTGGCTCACGCCTGTAATCCAAACACTTCAGGAGGCTGAGGTGAGAGGACTGCTTGAGCCCAGGAGTTTAAGACCAGCCTGGGTCACATAGGGAGACCCCCATCTCTACAAAAAAACACAAAAATTAGCCCAGAGGCTTGTCATCATGAGAATATTTCAGAACATTCATAAGGTAACTCTGTGCTACTGTCTCCATGGATCAGGCTCCCAAGCCATTTCTACTCAGCTCTGGGAAACATGGTCAGGTCTTTCTCCTTTAATTATGCTGCTTCACAACGGCTCACAACAACTATGGACCTTCTGCTTTGGTACCGGCCTAATCCAGAATTCCAGCGGCAGAATTCCAAGTATGGTGGCACGTGCCTGTAGTCCCAGCTATTCAAGAGGCTGAGGTGGGAGGATCAGCTGAGTTCAGGAGGTCAAGGCTGCAGTGAGCTGTGATCCTGCCAGCCTGGGTGACACAGTGAGACCCTGTCTCAAGAAGAAGGAAGGGGAGGGAAGGGGAGGGGAGAGGCCAGGCGTGGTGGCACACACCTGTAATCCCAACACTTCGGAAGGCCGAGGCCGGTGATCACTTGAACTCAGGAGTTTGAGACCTGCCTGGGCAACATGGCAAAACCCCGTCTCTACAAAGAATACCTTGGTGTGGTGCCACATGCCTGTAGTCCCAGTTACTTGGAGGGCTGAGGTGGGAGGATCACCTGAACCTGGGAGGATGAGGTTGCAGTGAGCTGAGATTGTGCCACTACAATCTAGCCTGGGTAACAGGGGGAGACCCTGTCTCAAAAAAAAAGAAAGGGGAGTGGAGGGGTAATGATTTCTGTCAAGGCCAAAACCAAAACACAATAAACCCCCAACCTCTATGCGTGGTCACCATCTCCCTGGGTGACGCAGGGAAGTGTCCCGTAAGGAAGCACGCAGGCATTCTTCCCTGCACGCATTCTGTCCTTGAGCACCAAACCCACTGGGCCCTGTCCCAGACCCTGGCCCCGTGGGTCTCTGCCTTTGCTGGAGACCCTAGAATGCCTGTCCTTAACTATGTGCTCTTTCCCAGGAGCCACTTATCGGGGACCTGATGACACCAGGGGTTCCTCTGTCTTCTCTGGGTTTGGTCTTTGTGATCAGTAAACCAGCCCAGAGGCTTGTCATCGTGGGAATATTTCAGAACGTTCGGAAGGTAACTGCGTGGTACCATCTCCACAGATCAGGTTCCCGAGCCTTTTCTACTCAGTTCCGGGGAAAGTGGTCAGGTCTTTCTCCTTTAATTATGCTGCTCCACAACGGCTCACAACAACTATGAACTTTTTGCTCTGGCACCAGCCTAATCCAGGATTTGAGTGGCAGCAGTTTTAACTCCAGGCAGGACCCAGAGAAATCGCTGCTTACCTGTTTCAGAGTCTGCACTGATGTGTTTTTAGCAGTGAATTGAGAGTCTATTCTGGAATAACAGTCATCTCAGAACCTTAAAGTCGAGACATTAACAGTCTGGTGGAGGAAGCCAGGGGGAGGCTTGGCTCAGGACAGGGGCCAATTACAGGGGGCACATCAGGAAGAGAGGTGCAGAGCAGCTCAGAGGGGACATCCAGCCTCCTTCTACTGCTGGCCAGGCCAAGGCGAGACAGAGAGCCACGCTGCCCAGTCCCCCGCAGCAGCATCAGAAATAGCCCTCGACGAGGCCAAGATGAAGACATAAGTGGCTCTGCCAGGGTGGTGAGAGCCACGGCCAAAGGCTGCCTCCAGGGAGAATCCGGGTCAGCAGCTCAGAATGAAGGCTGCCCCTGGATGTGCCCCAAGGCTCAAGGTCATGCTCAGGAGCACCTGGGTCCATTTACCTTCACAGCCTCACATGGAAAGGGCTCATGCCCTCACAGAGCCAGGAGCTGGCACAGGGGCCATCACTGAAGAGAAGCTGCCACATCAGCGCAGCACGAGACGCATCCACGTCAGGGAAAGATGGTCGGCCAGGGCCCTCCCAAGCCTCCTACAGACGTACACGCCCTCCATCGCACCACCATGCCTGAGCTCAGGCCTCTCTGCTTCCCAGCTCAGCTCCTCTCCTCCTCCCACTGCCTGCCCCACAGCTGAGGGCCACTGCAGCTGCCCACCTGCCCTCCAGATGCCCTACTACCCACCCCTGCCCACCACATGCCCTTGTCCCAATCACTCCCTTTCCCCTCTCCCCTTCTCCAGATGTCCCTACCAACACAAGCCCAACCCAGCCTCCTGCTCCAGGCCACCGGCTGAGACTGCCCAGACCTCCAGCGGAAGCCCAGCCTTGTCCACGTCACTGCCCTGCAAGCAGACCCCCAGGCTTCCCTGCCTCATGGAGGATCGGCGCAGGGCCTGGGGCTGCTCAGCTGTAGCCAGGCACTCACCTTCCTTCTTTCCCCCTATCCCCGGGGGCACTCTGTCCCCTCTGAGCCTCGCTCATGCAGTCCTGCCTCCCAACGTCACAGGCATCAAAGCTACCAGCAGCCACAAGCCCGTGCCGGCTTCTCCTGCTGCTCACAGCGAAGCCTAAGGGACACAGACAATTGCAAAAAGGCAAGGACAGTCCCCCGGCAGTGCTCAGACAGAGCTGTGCAGGCTGAATCCACACCCAGCGGGCCCCCCCCCAGCGTTCAGAGGTCGAGGGGGCTCCCACAAATGATGAGAAAGTGGCATTCTTTGGTTGACAAACACATTTGTTGTGTATTTTATATTTTTGAGGTGTGACACCAGTATGTGATGATGGCACTATACCATGCAGGGGCCAGAAGCAGGGCTGGCACACTCAAGACAAGAGGGGAGGGAGTCCAGGAGGAGTATTCCCAGCCCAGGACAGCCCACCTGAGGGGGCATACTCTGCTTTGCATGGAGACCCTCACCTCCACCCCTCTTGGTTCTCCAGTAGGACCTAACCTCTGCCTGCCAACTCCAGCTGGTGCCCTGCTGGCAAGAGACTGTCACCTGGGGTGACAGTGCCCACACCCAGGGACAGTGGGTGATGTCTGGAGACACTGTTGGTTGTCACAACTAGGGGTTGCTATTGATGCTGAGTGGAGGCGGGTACTGCCACTGAACCCTGTGATACATAGGATGGCCGCGCTGCAAAGACTCACACACTCGTGGAACCACCAAGGGCCTGGGCCATCTTTCCCGACCGATGCCCAGAGGCCCGCACTCATGAGGAATGTGGTTTCCAGCAGGGGAATAAGATGCATGGGTGCAGATGCCCATCTGCTGGGCTGCCCGTGCCCAGCGGGAGGCAGAAACACACATCCTCCACCTTTACAAACATACGTGTCTGTAAAGATCTGTGTGCCCAAGGCTGGCACAACACATGCGTGTCATCTGCTCATTCATTCACTCATTCACCTCCTCAACAATTCTGCACTGAACACCTGCCGTGCTCCAGGCCCCACGCAAGATGCTGGGGATGCCCCATGGACAAGGCGGGCTCGGCCCCTTCTGACTGAGAAGACAGAGGAGAGTGAGAATGCACCTTTAAACACCAAACAAAACCAAGTAAAAGGTAACTGCAGCGTTATTCACAGGTAGCCTGAGCAGTGGGCTGGCCTTCTCTACGCTTCCGTAAAGCCTGGTAAGGTCCCCTCTAGCAAGTGCTCACCTCCGGTCTCCGGGTCGTGGAAATTGGGATCCAGGCCTCGGTCCAGCATCTTGGTGATCTTCTCCACCAAGCGATGCTGAATGTGATCCATGCATTTCTTCAGATTGGTCTAGAAGGAAAAACAATACAATTGAAACATCTTTATAAGAAATGTCCCAACCTGAGCAACAAAGTGAGACCCCGTCTCTACAAAAAATAGAAAAATTAGCCAGACATGGCTGCACACGGTGGCTCACGCCTGTAATCCCAGCACTTTGTGAGGCCGAGGCGGGCAGATCACGAGGTCAGGAGATCGAGACCATCCTGGCTAACACGGTGAAACCCTGTCTCTACTAAAAATACAAAAAATTAGTCAGGCGTGGTGGCGGGCACCTGTAGTCCCAGCTACTCGGGAGGTTGAGGCAGGAGAATGGCATGAACCTGGGAGGCGGAGCTTGCAGTGAGCCGAGATCGCGCCACTGCACTCCAGCCTGGGCAACAAAGCGAGACTCCATCTCAAACAAACAAACAAACAAAAAATTAGCTAGACGTGGTGGCACATGTGATTCCAGCTACTTGGGAGGCTGAGGCAGGAGGATCGCCTGAGCCGAGGCTGCAGTGAGCTGTGTTCATGCCTCTGCACTCCAGCCTGGGCAACAGAGAAAGACCTGTCTCAAAAAAGAAAAACAAATGTCTTTCCAGGCTCTGGGAAAGTTCCTGACTGGTGCACTCGGGAGACCCACCCTCGCCAGGGTGCACCACAAGCCCTGAGGCTCCTGGAGCTGAGGCTTTTGGAACCACAGGGTGAGCACAGTGTCTGGCACGTGACAAGTACAATCGGCCTATCCTGGATGAATGTTTAAAATCCCCTCACCGTTCGCCATCCTAGTGCTACGGACTTAACGTGTGTGTCCCCGCAAAATTCATAGGTTGAATAATCTCCAATGTAATAGTATGGAGAGGTGAGGCCTTTGGGAGGTGACGAAGTCAGGAGGATGAAGCCCTCGTGAATGGGATTAGTGTCCCTGCAAAAGAGGTCCCAGAGAGCTCCCTCGCCCCTTCCTCCACGTGAAGACACAGCAAGACAATGGCCATCCAAACCAGGAACTGGGCCTTGGCCAGATGCTGAACCTGCCGATGCCACGATCTCAGACTTGCAGCCTCCAAAATGGTGAGAGTCACACTTTTGTTGTTTATAAGTTACCCAAGGTATTTTGTAAAAGCAGCGTAAATGGCCTCAGACACTTGCTGAGAGCTATGAATGCTCCTTTGCTTTCGTAAGAGACAGCTGGGCCGCTGGAGCACTTTTCCAATCTCCAGTTTCCAGGACCCACCTCCTGCCTCCATCCCCAGGGAGTGAGGCCCGCAGATTGGTACTTAACCCACTTTGTGGTGAACCCCATGGCCACACAGGCAGAAATAGCGATGCCTGGTCCCCGAGTGGCTCAAGGTGAAGTGCGGGACTCATTTCCTGTGAGGTCATGATGGTCCGCAGATCAACCTGATGGGGTGGGAACTTTCCCAGCCTCTGCCAGCCTCGCTGTAAGAAAAGTCATGATTCTCTGCCCATCCAGAGCCAGTCTGGGCTGTCTGAGCAGGACTGTGGGACTTGGCACCCTTCCGCCTGCTGCGTCTAACACTCCTCACCAGCCTAATTCTTTGCCCCTACTCCGTACCTCTCTCAAAACACACAGAAGGGGGACAAATGCGGCTTCTGACACAGCAGGTTCCTGGGCCCTTCAACCTCCTGGCACGTGCTAGATTTCCACCTGCCCATTTTCTGTATGTTTCGGAACTAGAACTGATCAAATGCCCTCAAACACATGACTTACACATGGTGTCACTGAAAACCTGCATTGCTATTTACAAATCAGCATTTTTAAAATTCACAAATACGTTTTTATCTGCACATCAGAGGGTGATAAAAAACAAAAGCCAAAACCCAGAAGCACCCAGATCTTGCCGTCTGAATACCGCTTTCCAGGCAAATTCCAGGGCAGAGGCAGGGGAAGTATCGGAAGAGCCCAGAGCATCTTGTGCCATAAAGTGGCTGGTGTGTCAAGGATGGTGGGGATGCACCACATGGCAGAACACCACAGGAAGGGCAACTGCCGCCCACATCTGGACAACTTGAGCACAAAAATCAATAATGATAATGACAGATTAGAACTCAGTGAGCACAGTAAGAATCCTGCCGGGCACAGTGGCTCACGCCTGTAATCCCAGCACTTTGGGAGGCCGAGGCGGATGGATCACCTAAAGTCAGGAGTTTGAGACCAGCCTGGCCAACGTGGCAAAACCCCATCTCTACTAAAAATACAAAATTAGCCAGGCATGGTGGTGCATGCCTGTAATCCCAGCTACTCAGGAGGCTGACGCAGAAGGATCGCTTGAACCCGAGAGGCGGAGGTTGCAGTGAGCCAAGATTATGCCATTGCACTGCAGCCTGAGCAACACAGCAAAACTCTGTCTCAAACAAACAAAAAAGAATCCTTGCATGCATCTGATATAAGGAGGAGGGGCAGCAAAACAAAAACCGAGAGGATCCTGCTGGCTGAGAAAGCCATTGGTGAGCTCGCAGCTGCAGGGGAGCTCACCTGGAGAGCATCAGGGCCCTCAAAGGGAAGCGCTTCAGGCAGCTGCCCGGACTCTCCACCCCATGCTCTGCAGGGAGTGCAATTGGGCTCTCCTTAGGAACAGCACCAGGGGCCAGGGGCCAGGACAAAAGCCTCCTGGGTATTACAGATTCCTCCTCCTGTTGGTTAAGCAAAGTGCTCCGCCCACACACCCTATGCCTCAGCCCCCTCTCCACGCCTCCTCCTCGACTCGCACAGCACCCTGAAAGACAGCAGGGTGTTCATGGTGTGGATGTCTTATCTGGGACTCTGAGCTCAAGGCATAGTGCATTCCGCCAGGTTCTGAACACTCTGTGCAACGCCCCTGCTGCTCACCTGCAGTCTAACTTCAGTGCAATTTATGTGAACAGCACTTTAACAAGGTTTTTCCTGAAGCAACAACAGCAGAACACTAATACGGGGCTCACTGTGGACCCGCTTCCCTCCACCACGCCAGGCGTCCAGATCCCACTCTCTTCAGAGATGCCGCTTTTGACCCTCCCTGGAGCAGCCAGTAGGATCTGCCTCCCTTCCCCCAGCACCCACGGCCACACTAAGCAGCCCCTGCTGCCTCCCGGGTGGGTCTCCGCAGTGTGCACCGTAAGGGCCAGTCTGCCTGTACATCCCAGCCCAGCCACACGCCATGCCAGGTACACAGCAGGTGCCCCTGGAAGAGGAGCGTCTAAAGATAACACAACAAGATAACAAGGAGGACGCCGCCTGCCTAACGTGTAAATAACAGCCCGTTCCCTGCATACCTTCGTGTGGAGCTTGGCCAACTGTTTCTCATCGAGACTGGCTTGTTTATACACCCGCTTCTTGTATCGAAACTGGCACAGAAAACAAAAAAGAGAGAGAAAACAAGTCAATACTTCTCAGAGTTGTTCAGAGGGAAAACGGGCCTTTTCCTTGGCTATGTCACAGAAGACGGGGAACCCCACAGCAAACTTCCAGTTTTAAATAAATGACTGGTATTTGCACCCCAGAGCCTACAACATCCTCAGCATCACTTTTGTCAAGATTCTGTAGCAGTTTAGCTAAAAAGCCATATAAAGAAACAGGAGCAAGGGGAAGGGAAGATCCTGCAGGTGAGAAGCTGGGAGGTCTCCCTCCCGGTGACCGGCTCCCCAGCTAACTGAGTGGTTATGGTTCCTCCCAGGGGAATGGATCAGCCCTTGGCAAGGCATTTTTGGTAAATGAGGATGCTGCTTCAAACACCAGGTTTTTCTCCTACATTGTCCACCTTTGTTAAAACACACCCTAAAAGCCTGGGCTGGGAAAGGCCCCACCTCCTGTACTCCTGCAACCTCTGCCCAGATCGCTGAAGCCACTGTTTTTCCCTCCAAACAGCAGCGCCTCCTTTGAACTGGAAATTACATCACTGCATGAACCAAGGAGCACATCTTCCTCAGATGCACGGAGTAAGCAACATTGTCGGAGTGGGCTTGGTGAGACTCTAAAATACCTCCTCCCTCCTCCAGCCCCCCGCTTGGCTGGAGATGCTGCAGAAGGTCTGGGAAGGATGCTGAGCATTTAGGAGTCACTGGAGTTTGGAGCTGGGACCTCTGTTCCAATCCCAGCCCTAATGCTCTCAACTCACAGAGTTAACTCAGGGCTGGGCACTTTCCCATCTCAGTTTCCTTATCTGCCCCATGGGGATAATAGCACCCACCTCCCAGGGTGGCCTGAGCATTGAATGTGAGCTTCCTGGCACAGACCTGGCACTAGACAAGTCCACTTTATCTCTCCCTCCTTACTGCCCTTGATGCCGTCACCCTGCACGGTTACACATGTGCTCAGAGCCAGCAAAAACCGCCCCTGGGTAAAATGATGGTGCGGGGCAGGTGGCGGGTGAGCTCATCCTGAAACTGAAAGTCGCATCTCACAGAAAAGCTTCCAAATAAACAACCCTAGTCTCCTTTCTCCACCACGCCAAACAAAATGGCTATTTGACAAAAGACAAAATTCTTGTGCACAGACTGATACTTGTGGGGTTTTGTTTTCAACTGGCCAAATAAACCAGCTGTGAAATCGGAAAGTTCTGTGAAGCGCAGGCTGCACAGAGTTTGGGGAGAAAGTGCGCTGGTCAGAAGGGCATCCATTCATTTCCCAGAACAGAGCAGGCAGGAGGAGCTACAGGCCCATTTTAGAACTTCCACTTCTGATTCTAGATTTCAGGACAGCAGGTTCTGTGCGTCCATGCCCCGGGACCAATCACACCTCTGGTCCAGATTTCAGAAGCCACTGAGAATGATGCCAGGTGCCTTCTCAGGCTCATGATCATGTGGCTAAGCTTAAAAGTCTCAGGGAATTCAATTCCACGGGGCCCCTTTCCAGACATAAAACAATCCGCTTGGGCCCACAGCATCTCTGGGGCAGGAGGGTAAAGGACTCAAGGAGGGAGTGTTTATTCCAGAGTCACAAACATTTATAGCCCATAGCTACAGAGGACACCGGCTCAGGACCACAGACCCTTTTTCTTGCTATTTCTCCAACATTTCATAAGCAGCCCACCATATTGTGCTGAAATTATCTGAGGCAAAGAGCCCAGACTGATGCCCGCCCCTAATGTGTCAATCCCTGAGCCAATCTCAGCCTTTGCAGTGGGTCATGCAAAGGAGATTAATAAACCTAAGTATCGGCATCAATTTTGGCCGGGCGTGGTGGCTCACGCCTGTAATCCCAGCACTTTGGGAAGCCGAGGCAGGTGGATCAACCTGAGGCCAGGAGTTTGAGACCAGCCTGGCCAACATGGTGAAACCCATCTCTACTAAAAATGCAAAAATTAGCTGGGCGTGGTGGTGGGCACCTGTAATCCTAGCTATTCAGGAGGCTGAGGCACAAGAATCGCTTGAACCCAGGAGGCAGAGGCTGCAGTGAGCCGAGATCACACCACTGCACTCTAGCCTGGATGACAGAGCGAGACTCGGTCTCAAAAACAAAACAAAACAAAAAACAAAGTATCAGCAACAATTTCATGACAATGAAACCAGAGCAGCAGCTGCAAAGTCAATTTGGGGACTTGTGGATGGCCAGGCTCACAACGCACACACTGCTCCATGAACACTTCCTCTGGGCCTCACGACCACTCCCGGACATCACTACTAACATTCACTCAATGTCATGAATGGGAATCCGGGGCTGAGAGAGCATGGGTGGCTGGCTCGAGGTTGCACAGCTGCAGGTACTGGGGCCAGATGTAGAGGAGACTCCCAAATTCTCTGGTCTTCTCGCCCAGTTTTCCTGCCGTTATGGAAATGATCAGCCCCTGAAATGAACTGCATGGATTTACTCTTCCTGGTCCATCACCTCCCACTGGAGTGTAAGGTCCGTGGGATCAGAACCTTGACTTTTCTGTGCCAGAAAAGTGTGTGGTCCTTAGTTGGCCCTCAATGACAATTTTTTTCCCAATGGATACCCATTTTACAGATAAGCAAACTGAGGCCAGGACAGCTGAGTGATTTGCTCTAAACCACACAACTTCCAAGTGGCATCTCATCTTTTTCTACACTGAAACCCCTCCCTGAATCTGACACATGGTCCACACTGGGGATCCCAATAACCTCAGCCTCAGTGTCACAACGGAACTGAGAAACGTGCAGACGCGGCATCACCTTAGCCCTGGGTGGGCGTCCATGACATCTTGGGCTTCAGAGGAATCCCTAGTCACTGAGTAGAGAACCCACTTAGGTTGCTCAAGTGCCAGCTGCAATTACACACATGCAGCCTCTTGCTGTTGACTAAGCTAAAATGAGTGCAATCGCTGAATGATGCCAACATGTTGTGCAGGAGTAGAAATGATCCGTTTCTGGCTTCTCTTAACTGACGTAACCCAACACGTATACACTGCAGGAAACAATGCCTGTAAACTTGGGGCGTAGCAAGCCTGGGTGAGAGAGGTAGGGACAGGGGTCGTGCATCACGTGGAAATGTGTAGGGCTGCCCCGTCTTACGGATCAGCCACTTCTGGAGGGAGGCCCAGGAGCTTGTGGCTGCTGACAGCAGCTCAAAGAGCCCCGGTCACCCGGGCAGGAAGCAGAAGTGAAGCTGTGCTGTTGAGAACAGCTGGATGGTCACAGCCGCCCTGTTACTCAAGGACTCAGAGATGAATTGGAGAATGGTATGGTTTGACTGTGTGTCCCCTCCAAACCTCATGTTCAAATGTGATCACCGGTGTTGGAGGCGGGGCCAGGTGGGAGGTCTTTGGGTCCTGGGGCGGATCCCTCCTGAATGGCCTGGAGCCCTCCCCATGGTAGTCAGTCAATTCTCGCTCTGTTAGTTCACGGGGGAGCCAGGAACTACTCCTCCCCTGCTCGCTCTCACACCCCCTCTTGCCACCTAACATCTGCTCCTGCTTTGCCTTCTGCCATGAGAACAAGCTCCCTGAGGCCTCAATGCTGAGCCCATGCCGGCACCACACTTTCTGTACAGCCTGCAGAACCGTGGGCCAATTAAACCTCCTTTCTCTTAGCCAGCCTCAGGTTTTTTTGTTGTTGTTGTTTTAGATAGAGTTTCAGTCTTGTCGCCCAGGCTGGAGTGCAATGGCACCATCTTGGCTCACTGCAACCTCCACCTCCAGGGTTCAAGCAATTCTCCTGCCTCAGCCCCCCGAGTAGCTGGGATTACAGGCACACATGACCACACCCAGCTAATTTTTGTATTTTTAGTAGAGACGGAGTTTCACCATGTTGGCCAGGCTAATCTTGAACTCCTGATCTCAGGTGATCCACCTTCCTCGGCCTCCCAAAGTGCTGGGATTACAGGCATGAGCCACCTCACCCAGCCAGTTATTTCTGTATAGCAATGAAAGAACAGACTATCGCGAGGAATATGATGTAATTTAAAAATTCCTTCTTTGTGCCTGACTCCTGGCAGAGTTCCTAAAACCTTTGTACTGTCCTCAGTGATAAGAGTATCTCTGGAGCACTAATGAGATGACTCTCAACTCCCAGGTAGCTTCCAGGATGGGGGCTGGTGGCCGGAAGGATCAGACTATGACTCGAGGGTCAGGACTCCCAGTCGCCCTGCTGACTGGCAGGATGGAGTCCAATCACCATGGTCAGTGATTTCATCCTATGTAATGCCTATGTAATGAAACTTCCATAAAAATACCTCAACAATGGGGCCTGGGGGCTTCTGAGCCAGCAAACACATCCACATACTGGGAGGGTGGTGCACGCCCAACTCCACAGGGATGGAAGCTCCTGCACGCTGGGCCCTCCCGACGTCGCCTAGTGCACCTCTTCATCAGCTGTGCGTTTGTACACTTTGTAATAAGCCAGGGGTAGCAGTTAAAATGCCTTCTTAGGTTCTCTGAGCTGCTCCAGCAAGGGATGGAACCCAAAAAGGGGGTGGTGGGAACCCCTAGTTCACAGCCAAATGGGACAGAAATGTGGGTGGCCTGGGGACTTGACGTTTATGGAGGGCAGTCTTATGGGACTGAGCCCTTAAACTTGTAGTTAGTGTCAGAATTGAATTAATTATTGACATCCAGCTGGTGTCTGGAGAGGTGGAGAAGGAAAATACACCACCCATTAGGCGCTGGGAAGGAAAAATTTAAAACCCCTCAGAGAAGCATGGGGAGCCCCGTTCTCCATGCCCAGGGCCCATGGTCCTGGTTATGAAAGCCTGAATCAGACCCACGGTTTATTATTCACAGCAAGATTTCTCTGCAGGGATTCTTTGAATCTGTAGTGAAAAAAAAATGTATAAAAGTTGTACAACAGTGTGAGATTCATGGCAAAATCAGAAGCAACCTTTTATTAGTCCATTTTCACACTGCTATAAAGAAATACCTGAGACTGGGTAATTTATAAAGGAAAGAGGTTTAGTTGACTCACAGTTCCATATGGCTGCGGAGGCCTCAGGAACATTACAGTCATGGTGGAAGGCGAAGGGAAAGCAAGCACCTTCTTCACAAGGCAGCAGGAGAGAGAACAGCAAAGGAGGAACTTCCAGACACTTATAATAAAACCATCAGATCTCGTGAGACCTCACTTACTATCATGAGAACAGCATGGGAAACCGCTATGATCCAATCACCTCCTCCCTCAATACATGGGGATTACAGGTCCCTCCCTCAACATGTGGGGATTACAATTAGAGGTGAGATTTCGGTGGGGACACAGAGCCAAATCATATCAAACCTCAAGACCCCAGACTGATTTTTAAATGTGGGGATAATTTCCCAATGCAAATGGAATTGGTCTCGCCCCACCACCATGTCTCCCCCACCCACCATGGCATCCAGGCTGTGACACAACCACAGTCCATGCACTGTGGGCTGAAATATACCTCCAGGGAAGGAACGCCCTCACCCACGGGCTGTGGGTACTCGCGCAGGAGCCGCTCCTCATCCAGGAACTTGCCGTCACGCCCATTGCTGGCCGGCTGGAACAGGCCGTAGTTCAGGACATCTTTCAAACTCTGGGTTAATGTACACAGGATCCGCTGCTTTGCAACCCACACTGTGGCATCCGGGTTAAATCGAATGCATTTCTGCCAGGAAGGACAAAGACAGCTGATGAGTGACAGAGGACGCTACCTGAGTCACCCATGTGGGGCGCGTGGTCAGAGAGGCAAAGCTGCTTCCACCCCTTCCCGACACTTCCTCTGAGCAGTGAACCCACGGCTTTTCACAGTGAAAAATAAAGCCTACTGGTTGCTGGGACACAGACATTCGGTAAATATAAAAGGGAAAAAGGAAAGACCGAGGCATTGGTCTCTTTGGCCTTGATCTCACCATGGACTCAAATCTCCAGCACTGGCCGGGTGCGGTGGCTCACGCCTGTCATCCCAGCACTTTGGGAGGTCCAGGCAAGCAGATCACAAGGTCAGGAGATCAAGACCATCCTAGCCAACATGGCGAAACCCCATCGCTGCTAAAAATACAAAAATTTGCTGGGCATGGTGGTGCGTGTCTGTAATCCCAGCTACTCTGGAGGCTGAGGCAGGAGAATCGCTTGAATCAGGGAATTAGAGGTTGCACTGAGCCGAGATTGCACCACTGCACTCCAGTCTGGCGACAAGGCGAGACTCCATCTCAAAAAAAAAAAAAAAAATTCTCTAGCCCTCATAGTGTCTTTTTGGTCATCAATGACCACCTGTCACCTCAGGGCCCTCTCTCACTTGCATGGCACTTCTCAAACTCCAGCAGTTTGAAAAACACAGGTCAGAGACCCCACTTATGTCTCCCTAACATGATGTCTGATTCAGCAGGTCTGGGTGGGACCTGAGAACCTACATCTCAGACAAATCCCAAGGTGCTACTGCTGCTGCCGTCCTGGGGAACACACATTCAGAGCCACAGCCCGCGCATATTTCAATGTGACTTAATTTTGACATGGATCGTTCTTTAGCATTTCAGATTCGGTGGAAGCCTTGTCTTATAACCACACTGACGAGAAAGTTTTCATACTACCTACGCTGACTCTGAACACAAAAGCTTTAAAAATGCAGTCATCACCTCTCCTCCCAAAGGACACAGGAAAGCAATTACGGAAAAACGATTTGATGGAAAATCAAATCAGTTGCCATGAGAGTTCATTTTTGCAAAGTTAAATAGTGTCAACAGGGCCTGCAAACCAATCACAACACTTCAAACATATAATAGCACCTCTGAGGACTGAAATAACAACAACTTGGTCATGTTCCCAGGTCCCCTCTGTGAGACTCACCAGTGAGCCAGGAAAGGCAAAGGCCAGGCAAATCCACTTCTAGCCATGACTTCTAATTTTTGTTGAATTAAAATTATATTCTACTGAACAGCTGTCAGCAGGGGCTCAATAATTCACTTTGTCACTGTCAAAGTGTTCAGAACAAAAGGAGGTTTGATTGAATATAAGACTCAAACCAATTCTCTATCTGAGGATTCTGTGGGTTTGTGCCCAAGAAAGCAAAAGGCCCTATCATCTTCCCAAGACAGCCCGAGGGTAAGTTCCTCATCGCTGGGAAAATGATCCTGGGACGGCCAACAGGAGGTCGGGTTCAGTGGGCGGCCAGAGTCCTCCCTGCCAGGAAACCTGACCCTGTGCACAAAAGCTCCTGTTTCTCCCTTCCAATGTCAAAGGCTGAGCTCACGTGTGGCTCTCAAAGCTCCCCACAGGGCTGTGAGGCTGGGTGGGGGCAGTTGTTTATTCCAGAAAGATTTCCAGACCCGCACCCTCCCCCATCCTTGGCTAAGCAAGGACTCTCTGGAAACTCCTGGCACAAGAAACAAGCTGTATCAGGTGTGACCAGGTGGGGCCGCTCACTACTCACCCTTCAGTTGCAGGAATCCTTCTAGGCCCCTCCAATTCAAGCTCCAACATCCACAGAGCCCATGGCTCCCTCCCTGACACCTGCAGAGAAGCTTCAGCCAAGGGGCAATTCCTTGGAGGAGCACAGGGCTCCAAACTGCCTCTCAGGGGACTTCTGTGCCACTGCAGGTGATTGCAAAGATAGGTGTCCACCGTCATTTGTGGACAGGGTGGGGATGCTGTGTCTGTGCAGCACGGGGGCCAACCCCACAAAGCAAGAACCATCTGCTCCAGAAAATGCTAAGAGCACCACCTTGAGAATCATCTAGAAGGAGCAAGAGCTCAAAGGTCGGAAAGCCTGGGTTTGCAACCCAGTGGGGCACACCAACCTTGATTCCTAGGGAAACCCACCCACCCAGCAGTCCTCTGATTCCCCCATGAAAATCAGAGCCACTACTTAACTTCAGGGCTGCTGTCAGGATCAAACAGAATATAAATAAGACATGTTGTTATGGGCTGAACTGTGCCCCTCTAAATAAATGTTGAAGTCCTAATGCCCATACCCTATGAATGTGATTTATTTGGGAATAGGATCTTTGCAGACGTAATCAAGTTAAGATGATGTCATACAGGAGCAGGGTGGACCCTAATGCAATAACTGTGTCCTTAAAAAGGGAGTAAATCTGGATATTAGCCCTTTGTCAGATGGACAGATTGCAAAAATTTTCTCCCATTCTGTAGATTGCCTGTTCACTCTGATGGTAGTTTCTTTTGCTGTGCAGAAGCTCTTGAGTTTAATTAGATCCCACTTGTCTATTTTAGCTTTTGTTGCCATTGTTTTTGGTGTTTTAGTCATGAAGTCCTTGCCCATGCCTATGTCCTGAATGGTACTACCTAGGTTTTCTTCTAGTGTTTTTATGGTTTTAGGTCTAACATTTAAGTCTTTAATCCATCGTGAATTAATTTTTGTATAAGGTGTAAGGAAGGCATTCAGTTTCTTCTGCAAAGAACTTAAACAAATTTATAAGAAAAAATCAAACAACCCCATCAAAAAGTGGGCAAAGGATATGAACAGACACTTTTCAAAAGAAGACATTTATGCAGCCAACAGACACATGAAAAAATGCTCATCATCACTGGTCATCAGAGAAATGCAAATCAAAACCACAATGAGATACCATCTCACACCAGTTAGAATGGCGATCATTAAAAAGTCAGGAAACAACAGGTGCTGGAGAGGATGTGGAGAAATAGGAATGCTTTTACACTGTTGGTAGGAGTGTACACTAGTTCAACTGTTGTGGAAGACAGTGTGGCAATTCCTCAAGGATCTAGAACTAGCAATACCATTTGACCCAGTGATCCCATTACTGGGTATATACCCAAAGGATTATAAATCATGCCACCATAAAGACACATGCACACGTATGTTTACTGCGGCACTATTCACAATAGCAAAGACTTGGAACCAACCCAAATGTCCATCAATGATAGACTGGATTAAGAAAATGTGGCACATATACACCATGGAATACTATGCAGCCATAAAAAAGAATGAGTTCATGTCCTTTGAAGTGACATGGATGAAGCTGGAAACCATCATTCTGAGCAAACTATCGCAAGGACAGAAAACCAAACACTGCATGTTCTCACTCATAGGTGGGAATTGAACAATGAGAACACTTGGACACAGGGCAGGGGAACATCACACATGGGGGCCTGTCTTAGTGTGGAGGGTTGGGGGAGGGAAAGCATTACGAGAAATACCTAATGTAAATGACGAGTTAATGGGTACAGCAAACCAACAAGGCACATGTATACATATGTAACAAACCTGCACATTGTGCACATGTACCCTAGAACTTAAAGTATAATTTTAAAAAAAAGTGAGAAAATCTGGACACGGCATCATGCACACGGGGAGACGACCACGTGAATGGGAAGGCAGAGACTGGTGTGTCCCATCTGCAAACCCAGCAATGCTAAGATTTCTGGTAAGCCCCCAGAAGCTGGGGTAGAGGTAGAGAATCTGGGACAGATTCCCCCTCAAGCCTCAGAAGGAACCAACCTTGCCTACCCCTTGACCTTGGACTTCCAGCCTCCAGAATTTGAGACAATACGTGTCTGGGATTTAAGGCACCAGTCTGTGGTTGGTTATGGCAGGCATGGGAACTCATAAACGTGTGAATCACCTGCCACTAATTGTGGCAGCAAAAAAACAGCAGCATCATCATCTCTGAGAGCGGAACTCAGCAGGTCGAGCATTCCCAGCTCCCAGGGAGCTCCCCTCCCTCCATACGTGATGGGAGCCACCCACGTGTTCACACCAGCTCCCGGCAAGCCCACGACGTCAGAAGACACTTTGGATGAATCCTACTTCAATTCTTCACCTACCCATCATTGACTCACTGTCCAATCAGGCAAACCCCAGGTCCAAGAGCAGGCCTGACACAGTACAGGTGACTGACACTGGCTGAATGATGTGGGAGCCACAAAGACAATAAATAAGAAGCAAACCAGCCTGAGGTCACCATTTGTAGTGGGGAAAAACACCTACTCAACTGTCACACAATATGGAAAAGGTAAAAATCCATGCTAACACGAGCTCCCTTGGGGACCCAGAGGAAGGAGTAAGTGACGCTGCTTGGTAAGGAGCACACATCATAGGCTGCTGCCCAGGAATACAGAGGGATATGCGAGTCTGGGGTAGGACTTCCAGGTTGAGGGCCCATCATAAGGAGAGGGAGGGAGGCAAAGGTAGAACAGCGATGAGTCTAGCAGGTGGATGGCCCAAGACAGTTTCTGCCTTAAGTGACCCTTCCTGGTCCCACTGTTACCAGTGTGAGCCTTGGTCATGTCAAGTTCTCCTTGAGGAGAACAGTATCTGATTCTGGTCTCCCCACAGCCCTGCGAGGTGGCTATTCCTTTATAATTTGTTAGAGATGTTCTGAGTGAGTGAGTGATTTGTTAGATGACTCACAGATAGTACAGAAAGGATGGCAAAGACAACAGTGTATAGGAAGTCCCAACCCTGGCCAACTCCTCTAAAGGATTACTGGAGGAAACAACTCTCTTCTCCTTGAGCTTCTATCTTCTGTGCACAGGGTCCTATACCAGCACCAGGACAGGAGTGGGTGAGAGGACACGAAGATGACCAAGATGTGCTCTTGCCCCTTAAAGAGTTCAGTGTCTACAGGGAGGGGATGATGATGATGGTGGTGATGCTGATGATGAGGGTGGTTGTAATGGTGATGATGGTGGTGGTAGTGGTGGCAGTGATGGTGGTGATAATGGTGATGATGGAGATGTTGGTAATGGCGATGATAGTGATCATGATGGTGATGATGGTGATGGTGATTGATGGTGATAATGGTGATGATGGTATTATGATAGCGATGATGGTGATGGTGATGATGGTGATGGTGATGATGGTGGTGATGATGATGGTGACAATGATGGTATGATGATAGTGATAATGGTGATGATGTTGGTGAAGGGGATGGTAGTGATGATGATGGTGATGGTGACAATCATGATGATAGTGATGGTGATCATAATGAGGATGATGATGGTGATGATGACAGTGGTCACTGCAATGATGACAGTAGTGGTGATGATGAAGATGATGGTGATGACAGTGATAATGATAACCATGACACAGTGATGATTACCATGTATTGAATCCTAATAAGCCAGAAATTACGCTAACCTTATCACCTTCACCACAACCCTAAGTGGATATTATTATTACTTTTTGTATAATATTATTATTACTGTTTATATAATAATATTATTCTCATTCTCTAGATAAAGAAGCTGAGCCTCAGAGACTCCAAGTAACTACCCCAAGGTCACACTTCTAGAAAGCAGTAGAGGTTTGGTTTAAACCCAAGTCAAATCTCCCCATCTCCCGAGTTCTTGCTGTTCAAGTGATAGATGATGTTCCTCTCTATACACACCCACTGCCAATCTTAGTGCAGGCAAATCATAAATTAGAGGCATATCCCATTCTATTTCACTTGCTTTATTGAGCTTCACAGAGAAGGTGTTTTTGCAAATTGGAGGTTTGCGGCAACTCCGCAACGAGAAAATCTATCGGCATTATTTCTCCAACAGCACACGCTCACTTCATATCTCTGTGTCACATATGAGTAATTCTTGTACTGTCAAATTTTTCATAATTATTATATCTGTTAGGATGATCTGTGGTCAGTGATCTTTGATGTTACTATTGTCATTGTTCTGGGGTGGCATGAACCACACCCATATAAGATAGGAAACTTAATAAAAGTTCTGTGTGTTCTGACTGTTCCACTGACCAGCTATTCTCCCACCTCTCTCCCTCTCCTTGGGCCTCCCTATGCCCCGAGACACAATAATATTGAAATTAGGTCAAGTAATAACCCTACAGTAGCCCCTACGTGTCCAAGTGAAAGGAAGAGTCACACATCTCTCATTTTAAATCAAAAGCTAGGAGTGATTAAGCTTAGCAAGGAAGGCATGTTGAAAGCTGAGTCAGGCCAAAAGTGAGGCCTCCAGCACCAAACAGTAAGCCATCGTGTGAATGCAAACAAAATGTTCCTGAAGGAAATTAGAAGGGCCACTCCAGTGAACACACAAATGGTAAGTGAAACAGGCCTTAGTGCTGACAGGGAGAAGGTTTGAGTCACCAAACTTTGATGATCAAGACGGTCACAACATTCATTTAAACCAAAGCCTCATCCAGAGCAAGGCCCTGACTCTCTTCAATTCTCTGAAGGCTGAGAGAGGTGAGGAAGCTGCAGGAGAAAGGCTGGAAACCAGCAGAGGTTTATTCATGAGGCTGAAGGAAAGAAGCCATCTCCATAACAGGAAAGTGTGAGGTGAAGCAGCAAGTGCTGATGGAGAAGCTGCAGCAAGTTCTCCAGAAGATCTCGCTCAGATCATTGATGAAGGCGGCTACACTAAACAACAGATTTTCAATGTAGACAAGACGGTCTTCTATTGAAAGAAGATGGCATCTAGGACTTTCATAGCTAGAGACAAGAAGTCAACATCTGGCTTAAAAGCTTCAAAGGACAGGCTGTCTTGTTAGGGGCTAATGCAGCTGGTGACTTTAAGTTGAAGCCTATGCTAATATATCATTCAAAAAAACCGAGGGCCCTTAAGAATGATGCTAAATCAATCGGCCAGGCGCGGTGGCTCACGCCTGTAATCCCAGCACTTTAGGAGGCCAAGGTGGGCGGATCATGAGGTCAAGAGACAGAGACCAGCCTGGCCAACATGGTGGAACCCCAACTCTACTAAAAATACAAAAATTAGCTGGGTGTGGTGGCAGGCACCTGTAGTCCCAGCTACTTGGGAGGCTGAGGCAGGAGAATTGCTAGAACCCAGGAACAGGATGTTGCAGTGAGCCGAGATCATGCCACTGCACTCCAGCCTGGTGACAGAGTGAGACTCCGTCTCAAAAAAAAAAAAAAAAAAAAAAAAGAATTATACTAAATTAACTCTATCTGTGCTCTATAAATGGAACAGCAAAGCCTGGATGACAGCACATCTGTTTACAACACATGTTACTGAATATTGTAAGCCCACTGTTGAGACCTAATGCTCAGAAAAAGAGATTCTTTTCCAAATATTGCTGCTCCTTGACAATGTACCTGGTCACTCAAGAGTGCTGATGGAGATGTACAAGGAGATAAACGTTTTCATGCTTGCATACACAATATCCATTTTGCAGTCCATGGATTAAGGATTAATTTCGACATTCAAGTCTTATTATTTAACAATATATCTTGTAAGACTATAGCTGCCACAGATTCCTCAGATGGAGCTGGGCAAAGTCAAGTCAACTGAAACCTTCTGGAAAGAATTTAGCATTCCAGATGCCATTAAGAATATTCATGTTTCATAAGAGGAGGTGGAAATGTCAACATTAAGTTCGGAAGAAGTTGATTCCAACCCTCATAAACGACTTTTTTTTTTTTTTTTTTTGAGATGGAGTCTCATTCTGTCACCCAGGCTGGAGTGCAGTGGGGCGATCTTGGTTCACCACAACCTCCGCCTCCCACCTCAGCCTCCTGAGTGGCTGGGACTACAGGTGCCCACCACCCTACCCAGCCAATTTTTTGTATTTTTAGTAGAGACAGGGTTTCACCGTTAGCCAGGATGATCTCGATCTCCTAACCTCGTGATCTGCCCACCTCGGCCTCCCAAAATGCTGGGACTACAGGCTTGAGCCACCGCGCCCAGCTAAGAATATTCACGATTCATAAGTGGAGGTGAAAATATCAACATTAAGTTTGGAAGAAGTTGATTCCAACTCTCATGGATGACTTTGAGGGATTCAAGCCTTCGGTGGAGGAAGGAACTGCAGATGTGGAAATAGCAAGAGAACTGGAATTAGAAGTGGGGCTGACGATGGGACTGAATTGCTGCAATCTCATGATAAAACTTGAATGGATGAGGAGTTGCCTCTTTGGGATGAGCAGAGGAAGTGGTTTCCCGAGATGCAATCTACTCCTGGTGAAGATGCTATGAACACTGTTGAAATGTCCACACAGGATCTAGAATATTCCATAAACTCAGTGGATAAAGCAGTGCAGGGTTTGAGAAGATTTCATCCAATTTTGAAATAAGTTTTACTGTGGGTAAAATGCTATCAAACAGCATTGCATGCTACAGAGAAATCGTTCGTGAGTCAATTAATGCAGCAAACTTCTTTGCTGTCTTATTTTATGGAATTGCCACAGCCACCCCAACCTTCAGCAACCACCACTCTGATCAGTTGGCAGCCATCAACATGAGACAAGACACTCCACCAACAAAAACATTACAGGCCACTGAAGATGCAGGTGATTCTTAAGTATTTTTAACAAAGTATTTTTTAATTAGGGTATATACACTGCTTTTTTAGACATGATGCTATTACATACTTAATAGACTACATAGAGTATAAATATAACTTTAATGTGCATTGGGAAACCAAAAAATGTGTGTGCCTCATTTTATTGCAAGATTCATTTTATTGCAGTGGTCTGGAACCAGACTCACTATCTCTAAGATATGCCTGTTATGTAAGTCATTGAGAATACTGAAGAAGATGTTGATGTTCAGGTCATTTCTGGATCAGAAGACATATTCCCTTTGTTCAGACCTTCCAGGCTGCATACAACCCCGCGCCCCAGCCTCTGGTGGACCAGCCATCCTCTCCGCGTCTGCCGGCTGGAGCCCCACTCTCCTTTCCACCGGGGCCGAGGTCTCACGATGTCATCTCCCTGGCCTCCTGCAGGCTGAGCTGACCACTGGGCACCTTGGGTGGGAACACAAGGAGCTGCTCCGACTGCCCACGGCCCTCAGGCCAGCTGACTGGCCCTGCTCCCTTTCCTGTCTGGCCCATGAGTCTCGGCCTCTTCACCTTGCATTTCCTGTCTCCCAGGAAGGTGGGAGCAGTGCTGAGTTTCATATTTTGCCTTAGGATGTTTCTCCTCACTCTCTCCTAACTGGTAGGCAGGAGTTGGTCCCTCTGTCACTCAATCTCCTAAAGGCTGTGATGTCCAGATCCTTCCGAAACCTGCTGCGTGCCTGGCCCAAGGGGCTCAAGACACAGAAAACCTGCAAATGGATGTAACGAGATCTCCGAGACACAAACCAGGCTGTCTTCTCCCTTATCTCCAGAAAGGCAGTACATACAGCATGAGACCTGGGTGGTGATGGAGTGGGACAGGGGCTGACATGGTCAGGAGCTGTGGAGACGGAGTTTGTGGCTGACACCAGCCTTGCGATGATGTACACACCGATCCCGGAAAGTTCTCAGGACTTCTTCAGGCCAGCCTCAGTTCTCTCTAAGTTCCCTTCATACCACAAAGCCCCTCAGCCACAAAAGGGAGCTGTGTCCTAGCACAGATGAACCATCCACATCTTCCCGTCCCTCCTACTCCTCCCCATCTCTCTCTCCCCCGACATCTGTCTCAGCACCACTGCAACGTCCAGCCAGTTAAGTGCTCCTCCCTGCCCCAGCCCGAGCTGCCTGAGGACAGGGGTTTCTTTTTTTGAGTCAGAGTCTCACTCTTTCGCCAGGCTGGAGTGCAGTGGTGCAATCTCAGCTCACTGCAACCTCCACCTCCTGGGTTCAAGCAATTCTCTTGCCTCAGCCTCCAGAGTAGCTGGGACTACAGGTGCCCACCACCACGCCCGGCTAATTTTTGTATTTTTAGTAGAGACAGGGTTTCGCCATGTTGACCGGGATGGTCTTGATCTCTTGACTCCATGATCCATCCGCCTCGGCCTCCCAAAGTGCTGGGATTATAGGCATGAGCCACTGTGCCCGGCCATTTCTGTCTTTTTCTTTGCATAACCAAACCAAAGCTAGTAAACGTGGATGGCATTGAACAGCATTGGATCAACATTCCAGACATGGAACACTCCTGGGTAGTATCATCCAACAGTCAAGAAAGGTCTGGACTTCACAGCGGGGCTGACGGGAGTTTCTGCCTACTGAGTCTTGCTTGTACTCAGTGGACTGTGCAGACCATTAACTACAGCAATGATTCTGGCGAGGGGAGGCTACGCCACCGAGGTCTGCAGAGCTGTAAGTTACAGAGCTAGGGTTGGCCATGCTGTTGAACAGAGTGATACATCTACACCCCTCTTAGTACAGTTCATGGTCAAGCTCAAATCAAAACCAAAGAGCAGGCGAGGCAACATAGGGAAACCGTCTCTACGAAAAATGAAAATTTTTAAAAATTAGCCAGGCATGATGGTACGTGTCTGCAGTCCCAGCTACTCTGGAGGCTGAGATAGAAGGGTCCCTTGAGCTGGGAGGTTGAGGCTGCAGTGAACTATGATTGCACCGCTGCATTCCAGCCTGGGTGACAGAGCAAGACCCTGACTCAAAACAAAACAAAAGAAAAAATGGAGACAGTGAGGGAAGGTCACTCACACTTGGTTCACATGAGTTACAAGTATTCTGCAAGGTGAGAGGCTAAGAACTGAGACTACTGGACTGTGGGCAGAATGCGGGCACTGGAGACAGGCAGAGGCAGCTGTGTTTGGCCTGAGTCTGCCACTTACGCTGAGTTATGAGTCACTCGGGCTGCTGTGGCAAAGCACCACAAAACAGGCTGCTTAAACCGCAGACATTTATTGTCTCCCATTCTGGAAGCCATAAGTCTGAGATCAAGATGTCTGCAGGGCTGGTTCCTCTGGAGGCCTCTCTTCCTGGCTTGCAGACGGCCACCTTCTCTGTGTCCCCAGGTGGTTGTCCCTCTGTGTGTGTCTGCGTCCTCACCTCCTCTTCTCATAAGGACTCCAGTCCGATGGGATCAGGGCCCACTCTAACAACTTCATTTAACTTGATTGCCTCTGTAAAGACCCAATCTCCAAATAAAGTCTCATTCTGAGGTCCTGGGCTATGACTTCATTCAATATAGAAATTTTGGTGGGGGAGAGACTTAGCCCACAACACTGAATGACCATGGGGCGAGTCTCTGCAACCTACCAAGGGCCACCACCTGCCTGTGTTGGGACACGTCCGCACTGCTGAGTAAGACACATAAACAATGGTGGAGCAGCAAACCAGCGCCGAAAAGTATCCGGCCTGCCAGGGTCACAGGAGCTTCTTGGGCAAGGCTGTTTTGATTTACAGCAATGTAGCAAGAAGAGTTTCCTGTGAGAGACTAAATTGCTTTCCAAATCTGTTTTGGGCCCTGTAAAATGGCGATGATGACGGGTGATTTTGGAAGATTGTAGTGAGGGCAAGGAAGTGTCTAGACAAAGCTTGAGAAAATGGTAAATATTATACCATATAAAATAGGTCTTATTGCCATGGGTTATCTGAAAGCTGTGGAAAGGGCCATCTACAACATGAGGCTTGGATTACACAGATGGATTCAGGGACCTCCACCTCTACGGCATCTGCTAACTCACCTTCCTCAGGTGAGACTTACATCCACCTTCCTCTTGACTTCTACCCAAGGAGCCCAGGAAAAGCCAAGAGAACAAGGGGGAGGAAATGCCAGAGCATCTCAGGTCGTGGCCCCACAGGGATATTCCCTATTCAGGATCTGGAGCCAGAAACGCAGACCCCGGGGACGATCAAGATGCCAGCTCTGCAAACGCATGTAAGCAGCGTTCAGCAAGAACTTAGGAAAGCCGGAAAAAACTCCAAGTTTCTGAGCACGTCATTCATTACAAAGAAGCGCATTTCACATTCAGAATTTCCTCTGCAGCTACGGTTTCTGTCATCATCAAGTTCTGCATGATGCATTTTTAAGGACCCGTCATAAACACAAGCTTGGCAGGGGCCACGGAAAGGTGCGCGCAGGCGTCTTCGGGTCTTTGATAGCTGTTCACGTGCAATCCGTGTACTTGCACACCTCCAACAAATAACCAACATCAAGGTCACCCCAAACTACAATTGGTTTATTCCCAAATGCAATTATCCAAATGAAATAATACTTCTTACTGCGGACAGAGGCCCATTGGGCTGGTGCTCGTGGTGGCAAACACTAAAACCCCGGCACGGGTAACACACGAAGCTGAAATCAGACATGTCAATGGAACAGGGAAATGTGGGGTGACCTCGACTCAGAAGGACAGCCTAGTCGGGGGGTGCTGAGGTCCAAGAGTCAGGCTTAGTGCTTCTGCATGTTTAAACGCCAATAAAGGGTAACGGAGCTGTGGATTCGTTTTTCCAATCAGAACATTTTTCGCACAGTGAAAGCTTCATGGCAGCCGCTGGATGCTGTGGCGAAGCGGTGGGCAGACTGTATCTCCAGGCGATTAGTAAGAGGCTGCCTGTCTGTCTCTGCTATTGTCAAGGTGATGCTAAACTGGGAGACACTGCTTGGTTCTGCCAGTGGTCCATGGACTCCTTGGGGGTGACTTAATCTTCCTCTTTTCATAGCCATGATTTCAGGCAGAGCCATTGTAAAGCAGAGATCAGATGCTGGCCAGAGAAGTCCCTTTAGAAGCAATAAATTGAAGTGAAGTAAGTCAGCCATGGAAGGGGGGTTATAATTAAAAAGTCCTGACTGCAGACACAAAACACTTACTATGTGCCCATAGCCTGGCTCGTAAGCATGTTAAACACATCATCTCTTCCTTATGTTCTCCGGGAGGCCGCATTAGCACCCCCAGGCCCAAAGAGGAATGCTCCAAAAATGCCAGATCATTCCCAGAGCCACACAGCTGCAAGAGGAGGAGCAGGGATTAAGGGGGTCCCCGAGGCCGAGCTAATGAGTCCAACTCGATCCTGGCAGCACACAGACGGAGCCATGAGTCAGGAAGATTAAGCCAGCAGGAGGTCAGAAAGTGGATTAGCGACGAGGCCACAGAGGCAGGTGAGGCTGCTGCCGGGACGCAGATGCTGCTCAGAAGCTGTGGTGTGGGAGGCCTTGTCCGCCCAGAAGGGAGAGCAGCGAGGGAAGGGTGGAGGCTGGCGGGGAGGCAGAGTCGGAGCCAGGCTGGAGGAATCGCCCAGGTCCAACCTCAGAGCAAAGATGCTGGAAAAAAGCCTCACCCTTGGATTTAACACAGAAAAGTAAAAACTGATGATCTGCGGCCCTGGTATTGCCACCCTCTGGATAAGCCTTACCAGCTTGGGATGCCAGCAAAGAGGGGACGGCTGCTCCTCACCAGCATGGCCCCAAACCACAATACTCCCCCTACACTGTGGGATTTACAGAGCTTTGCTACAGAACTTGTAGTAATTCCAGACCAAAGTCACTTTTCCCGTACATTGTTTTCTCCATGAGATTTAAGTAGGCATTAACTCTAAGCCAACGATGAAGAGCACCTCAAGTCAAGACGTTTTATGTGCAGGCTACGGAGACCCTGCAAACTGGGCCAATCTCTCCCATATACAAAGCACGAACCCAATACGTAACAGAGGAAGGGTCCACATATAATCCTTACAATATTTGCTTTAAATGACGTGTAAGAAAACAAAGTCCTTCTCTGCCTTTATCGAGGATGCCCTGTGACGTGAATAATAACCAATATGATCAAGGCTTGACTTTCCATGGCAACTTTCATTGGAAGGCCCCACAGCCTTCCCTTTTTTTCTAAACAATTTGTAACTCACCAGTTTCTTGACTAAAATAGTCAAGTGTAAACCACTCCTCTTAAGGACAGGTAGGCTAGTTTTCATTGTTGTATTACAGAGACAGTGGAGGCAGAGGGAAGGCTGAGGGGCTGGGGAGCAGCACTCTCTTTGGTCTTAGCAACCAGTTAATGAAACCACAATCAGATTCCATGCCTTCTACCTCCCCAAGAGGTAATCCAAATGCATACTACAAAGGACATGGCGGGGCTACTCAAAGTGGAGACCAAAGATCCTAACCATGTATTTCTATAATCAAGAGAATGGATAGATGGGTGAATGAGTGGATGGAGGGAGGGAGGGAGGGGTGAGGTGGGTAGGAGGATGAGTGGATGCATGGATGGGTGGCTGGGTAGGTGGGTGGCTGGGTGGATGCACAGATGAATGGATGGATGGATGGATGGATGGATGGATGGATGGATGGATGGCCGGCCGGACGGCTGGCTGGCTGGCTGGCTGGCTGGCTGGGTAGGTGGGTGGCTGGGAGGATGCATGGCTGGCTGGCTGGCTGGCTGGGTAGGTGGGTGGCTGGGTGGATGCACAGATGGAGGGAAGGATGGATGGACAGATGGAGGGAGGGAGGGAGGGACGGACGGACAGACGGAGGGAGGGAGGGAGAGAGAGACAGAGGGATGGACGGACGGATGGATGGCAGGCAGACAGGCAGGCAGGCTGGCTGGCTGGATGGATAGATAGACGGATGAGTGAGTGGAGGGGGGATGTGGATGGATTGGAGGGTCAGGGGATGGGTGGGTAGGTGGGTGGAAGCGTAGAGTGGAGGGGTGGTCTAGGGGGCCTCCCTGGTTAGGCTGGAGTCAGTGTTGGGCCACACTCCATGGACTCAAAGTTTTTGAATAAAGACCATTATCATGTTACCATCTTCTGCCCAAGTCCTTTTTGATGACTTTTCTTTTAGGGCAGAAAATGTGCTCATGTCAAGGCAACATATACCTAAACTTCTAATTAAGTCTATAATCCCAGAAGAATTTCATTTAGCTAACAAGCAACTGGGAGAGAACATTCTGGAACAAAACATCTGAAACTGAAAGGGCAGCCCAAAGGAAAACTATGTATTTTTTTTTTTTTTTTAGGGAAGGGGTCTCATTACGTTGCCCAGGTGATCCCCCTGCCTGAGCCTTCTGAGTAGCTGGGATTACAGTTGTGCACCACTGCACCCGGCTACATTCGTGGATAAAAGAGCTTTTACCTTTCTCGGTGGACTGGGTGACTTGACAGTGCAGAAAGCTCCTCCGTGGCAGGAGGCCCGGAGTGGGCACTGGACACAGCACAGGTGGGAGGGGAGGGGCTCATCTCCAGCAGGAGAGGCAAAGAACTGAGACAAGGCTTCCCTCTCAGTCCACGTGCGGTGCCACCCCATCACTGACGATGGCCAGAGCAGGCATCTGGGGAGGGGAGAGGGGGAAAGGGGAAGTGACTGCCAACAGGGGTGGGGTTTCCTCTTGGGGGGATGGAAGCTTCCTGAGATTCACAGTGGTGATGGGCTCACTCATCCGTGAATTTCCTAAAATCCAACGACTTGCACACTTCCAATGGGTGAATTATATGGCATGTATATTACATCTCAATTTTTTTTTTTTTTTTTTGAGACGGAGTCTTGCTCTGTCGCCCAGGCTGGAGTACAGTGGCACGATCTCGGCTCACTGCAACCTCCACCTCCCAGGTTCAAGCAATTCTCCTGCCTCAGCCTCCTGAGTAGCTGGGATTATAGGCGTGCATCACCACACCTGGCTAATTTTTGTATCTTTAGTAGAGATGGAGTTTCACCATGTTGGCCAGGCTGGTCACAAACTCTTGACCTCAAATACTCCACCCGCCTCGGCCTCCCAAAGTGCTGGGATTACAGGCATGAGCTGAGAAACTGCAAAGACGCAGGCCTCACATCTTAAACCCTCTCTCCAGGACAGCCCCACTGGCTTTGTCATAGGGAAGCGTCTGTGGGTCTCCAGCTTTCCCTGCACTTCCCAGGGTCCCAGCCTCCAGCACCATTTACCTGGAGCCCCCATCTCTTCTAATCCTTCTCCTCTCACCAGAGAGGCCAAGATTACCCTTTTCAAATATAAACGATGTCACATGCTCTGTACCAAACCTCTGCCCATCAAATACAACCATGGCCTCCTTGTCATGACCCTATACCTGGACGCCCACCGCCCACCTCTGCTGCCTCACACACACTGCTCCCGCAGCCCTCAGCCTTCTCTGCTGAGCCAACACACCAAGTTTGTGCATACCTCAGGCTGGCTGTCCCTGAAGACCCTCACCCTAGAAGATTCCAAGCAAAGACCCTCTCCCATCCTCTGAGGCTCTGTACAGCCATTGGCGCCTCACCCCACAGAGGCAAGGGTTTAAATGAATTCACTCACTCCATAGCCAGATACCCAGCATTCACTCGGTTGTACCGGCTGATGGGGTACAAGGATGAGCAGAGCCTGCACTAGGTGTCCTTGTGGAGCGGAATTGCTGCCCAGCTGCCCCCCAGGCGCTTAGCTGTGAAATCCCCCTGTAAACAAAGAGACCGAGGAGAAGCCATGGAGCCATGGAATCCTCAGGAAAAAGAATCCACTGACTTGCACACTTCCAATAGGTGTGTGCCCAGACTAGGGGGGATATGTTTTTTTTTTTTTTTTTTTTTGAGATGGAGTCTCACTTTTGTCACCCAGGCTGGAGTGCAATGGCACAATCTCAGCTCACTGCAACCTCCACCTCCCAGGTTCAAGCAATTCTCGTGCCTCAGCCACCACACCCAGGTAATGTTTGTATTTTCAGTAAAGATGGGGTTTCACCATGTTGGCCAGGCTGGTCTCGGACTCCTGACCTCAGGTGATCCACCTGCCTCAGCCTCCCAAAGTGCTGGGATTACAGGCATGAGCCACCGTGCCCAGCCGGGGAGGACCTGATTTTTATCCTCAGACCGGGAAGAAGTCACAGGAGGGCTGGGCTCAGCGGTGGCCACGGTGTTCACATGTACACAACCACCCAAGGCCTCACCTAGAGAACTTCTGACAGTCTGGTCTGAAGCTGTTCTGGTTGCCCAAGAGGAAGATGACAGGAAAGGTGGGGTGGTGATGAAGGCTGAGGGAACAACACAGGCTTGCGGGGGTCTAGAAGGTACAGTGACCAGACTTAGGGAGGGACTGGCTATAGGAGCTGTAGAGATGGAAGCTCAGGAGGACGCCTACATTCTGGTTGCGACGGCTGAATCAAAGATGGTCCCCACGGCGAAAAAGTGGAAAGAATCCAGCTGACCATTGAGTGGGAATGGATCCACAAGATGTGGTCCCTCCATGCAAGATGATGAGAATCAGAACAAGGCTCAACAGGGCTCTGCTAAACGCCACCCTGGGGATGGACCTCAAAGCTGTCATGCTTCAGCCTCAGGGTCCACCAAGACTGGATCAAGGAAACGTGGTGCATATGTGCAACGGAATACTACTCAGCCATAAAAAAGGAGAGCATGTCTTTTGCAGCAACAGGGATGGAACTGGAGACCATTATCTTACATGAAAGGACTTGGAAACTGAAACTCAAATCCTGAATGTTCTCACTTATAAGTGGAAGCTAAATAATGTGTGTGCAGGAATGCAGAGCGTGGAATGATGGACACAGGAGACTCAGAAGGGTGGTGGGGGGTGAGAAATTACTTAATAGATACAAAGTACATCATTCAGGTGACGGTCACACGAAAAGCCCACACTTTACCTCTATGCAACATTCCCATGTAATAAAACTGCATTTGTACCCACTGAATTTATACCCAAAAAAGCTGATTATGCTGAGTCAAAGAAATCAGGCACAGAAGGCCACATGTTGTTTGACTCCATGTCTGGAATAAGCAAATCCACACAGACAGAAAGTGGCTTCCTGGTCGTCAGGGGCTGGAAGTGGGGGTGGGGATCCACTGCAACCCAGCATAAGGGATGGAAACCTCCCACACCAGGATGGTGGTGACAGGTGCACAACTCAGCAAATCCACTAGGAATCATCAAATGGTATTCTTTTTTATTTTTTGAGATGGAGTTTTGCTCTTGTTGCCCAGGCTACAGTGCAGTGGCGCGATCTCCACTCACTGCAACCTCCACCTCGCAGGTTCAAGGGATTCTCCTGCCTCAGCCTCCTGAGTAGCTGGGATTACAGGCATGCGCCACCATGCCCAGCTAATTTTTGTATTTTTAGTAGAGACTGGATTTCACAATGTTGGCCAGGCTGGTCTCAAACTCCTGACCTCAGGTGATCCACCCACCTCAGCCTCCCACAGTGCTGGGATTACAGGTGTGAGCCACTGTGCATAGCCCTGAATTGTATTCTTAAAGTAAGTAAATCCTATAATTTATAAATTATAACTCAAGAAAACTTTTTGAAAAAAAGAAAGTTTTAGTCTTTTCTTTTTTTTTAAATCCTTTTTTAAAATAAGTATTAAAATCCTTACTTAAAAAAAAAAAAAAAAAAAAGGTAACTGCTATCTAAGAGAGCAAATAACAGTGGGGCCAGACCTGGAGGTTCCTAGAGAAAGTTACGGTCATAGCATTGGTTTTGCACAACTTGAGTTGAGGGGCATCTGGGCTTTCAACAGAGAAGGTATGGAGGGGGAAATAAGGCCCAGCCCCCCCAAAGGAGGCTGCAGCAGGAGATGTGACCGTGGATGCTGTGTGAATGGAAATTCTATCGCCGCCAGGGTGCTGGGTGCAGGGAGCCGCTAACAGAAGTTCTATCGGTGCCAGGGTGCTGGCTGCAGGGAGCTGGGCCTGGCCGAGAAGCCCTCCCGCCACCCACTCCCTGGAAGGCCCAGGTGTTGAACAGAATGCAGCAGAAGGCAAATCTGACCAGAACTGGCTTTCTACCTGGAAAAATCCACCCGAGGGAAACAAGGACAAACCTTCTTGAAGTGGAATTAAGAGGCTGCCATTCAGGATCACGACCACCCAAGCTGCCAATCTCTCAGGCACATGGACTCCATCAACTCCTAGAAGACACCCAGCTCTCACCTTGCAGGGTCCAGGAGCAAGGAATCAGACACACACACAGCAAAGCATCGAAACGCAGCTTCTAACGGTAACGAACCACCCCTGCACCAGCCGCCCAGAGCCCTCTCTCACAATGGGCGGGCGCACACACACAGCAAAGCACCCGAATGCAGCTTCTAATGGTAACGAACCACACTCCTGCACCAGCCGCCCAGAGCCCTCTCTCACAATGGGTGGGCGCACACATACAGCAAAGCACCCGAACACAGCTTCTAACAGTAACGAACCACACCCCTGCACCAGCCGCCCAGAGCCCTCTCTCACAATGGGCGGGCGCACTCACACAGCAAAGCACCTGAACACAGCTTCTAACGGTAACTAACCACCCCTGCACCGGCCGTCCAGAGCCCCCTCTCACAATGGCCGGGCGCCTCATGGTCTCTGAGGATGAGGAGCCAGCCCCAGGTACAGGAGGGGAAGATAGGCTCAGACGTTGCCAGCACAGGTAGAGTCCTCCCAATATTCAAAAGTAGAGGAATCCTCAAATACAAAATGCAAATGCGGTAATTATGTGCCTGTGACCAAAAAGAGGGGATTAAATCCTGAAGGTGGAGGAGGTGAAACCTCCTTACTTTTGGGGTTCTATTTTAATCCACAATAATAAGCAGACGGGCCAAGGCCACTTTGGAATCAAGCATATCCGGCCGGGCGCGGTGGTTCACGCCTGTAATCCCAGCACTTTGGGAGGCTGAGGTGGGAGGATCACTTGAGCCCAGGAGTTCGAAACCTCTCTGGACAATATAGTGAGACTCTGTCTCTACTAAAAAGAAAAAAAAATCCCAGTGTGGTGGCGTGCACTTGGGAAGCTGAAGCAGGAAGATCCCTTGAGCCAAGGGTGCAGTGAGTTGTGATTGCACCACTGAACTCCAGCCTGAGTGACAGAGCAAGACCCTATCTCAAAAAAAAAAAAAAAAAGAAAAGAAAAAGAAAAAGAAAAAGAAAAATCTGAGAGTCCATTTGGAAGCAGCAGACAGACGAGAGGACATCCCCGTCAGCAGATGCATGCCACAGGGTGAGGCAGCACAGCGGGAATGAGAGGGCAGGGCCCTCCCAGCATGGCAAAGGTAGTGGGGATTTTGAGTGACTGTACAGGCGGGGAGAGAGGGAGGACAGCTGAGTGACAATGCATGGTCTTTGAGGGGGTCAGGTTGGCAGTGCAAATGCTTTTTCCTAAATGAAGTACCCCACTGGAAGATGCACGTGCTTTATAAATGGAAGCACTGACTCAAGCACAGAATGGGACACTCATTTTCCCTGAGCGTCTGCTGGGAGGTGGGCCAGGTCGCAAGGATCAGCCCTCAGAGTGACAGCTTCAGCTGAGCTACTCGGTGCCAGGCCTCAGGGAGAGGCGGATGCGGGGCCGACGTAGACACCCCAGCAGAGCCCGACAAAGGCCGCCACAGCCCCGTTCTATTTTCTTCTCTGCTCTCCTTGCAACATGGCATTCACTGTGGATTAAAGGGGTAGGGGGAGGGGGGAGGGATAGCATTAGAAGATATACCTTATGTTAAATGATGAGTTAATGGGTGCAGCACAGCAACATGGCACATGTATACATATGTAACTAACCTGCACATTGTGCACATGGACCCTAAAACTTAAAGTATAATAATAATAAAATAAAATAAATAAATAAATAAAAGAAAAACCACTTTGGGCCACGGGGCCAGTTTTCTTCCCTCTTCCTCATTCACACTCCCCCAGAAATAACAGAGCTCACCAGTTTGTATTGATTTTGGCACATGCCACTTGTTTTAAAGGCCATGCTGAATGTCCAGAGCCAGCACTCCACCACTGTGCATTTGAGAGGATGCAGAGAGGCTGCCCTCCCTGTGCCCAGAGCCCACCCCACCACTCCCTGCGTGGCCCGGGAAGCCCACCCACACACGACTATTCAAGTGAGGGCTCCGGTTGTGCCTGAAGGGTTGTGAGCACTGCTAGAGGCTCTCACTCAATGACTTAAAGCTTCAGTTCCACTGGAGGGTGAGGCTCAGAAACAGCACTCACTCGGCCAGCAGCAGTGGGCCCGGACAGCAGCGGAGGAGGGGTGGCATTGGGGGAGAAAAGGGGCCGCCCAGGTGCTTCTCCAGCACCAACTCCCAGTGGACGGGCACTGGGGCCTCGGTGCAGACTCACTCGGCAGCTCCTGGCTGGCTCCTCCGGGCAGGGTTCCAGGAACTGTCTCGTGTCCCTGGCTCCACAGAGGACTCAGCCCCACAAGGGATTTCTCACACGGGAACAATGTCTGCTTTGTTGCTGAGAGCTCACACCCGGGGGATTTCTGGTTTCAGCCTCCAGGGGCTTTGTTTGTCTTGAACAGAGTGAAGCAAAGTGGTCTTCAGAAGGTTCCAGAAACAACCAGGCTCCCACGAGTAGAGACTAAACCCTGAAGAGGCCCTGGCTTTCACGAGGAGGTGCTGTAGGTTAAATCTGGGCTGGAGCAGACCTGTGGCTCCATCCATCACTCCAACAGGTCTCCAGTGACTCTAGCAAAGTGGGCAGAACACCTGCTGGGGAAACAGCCCCTGCCCTGCAAGGGGAAGATTACCCTGCCAAGGAAAGCGTCAAACAGGCAGGGAGGCAGGGTCCGGCCGGGTGTAGAAGGCCCCTGATCTCCCAACACCCTTGCCCCAGTGCCGATGGAGGACCTCAGTGGCTGAGATGACCGGGGCCTCCCTTCTACGTGGCTGATGAGAGCCTCCGAGTGTGGGTAGCACCAGCAGGAGGGTGGACCCAGGAGAACAGAAACAGTAATGGGCCCCTTGTGGCTGCTCCCCGGGCTGAACGCCAACCCGCAATGGCTCACTTCACAAGTGGTGTTTGTTCCCGACAGGTGGAACCCCGAGGCTCAGATCTTCAGACCCTCGCCCAAAAGTGTAGAGTGAATGGCGAGGGAGACGTGCTTCTGACTCATGCCAGGACGACTGGGGCCGGGGCTGCTTCCCACGCAGCGCTGCCTGCTGGCTGCCTTCCTGCCGGGAATTCAACTTGCAGGTGCAAATCAGCCCAGTACCAAGCAGTTGGTGGCACACCCAACGCCAGCCTCCCAGGGCTTCCATCCAGCAGGTTTCAAGGCCCAAGGCTGGGTGTCCCCAGGACAGTGGCTCTGCCCCTCACTGGCTCTGAAGTCTGACCCTCCTGTTCCCATCTGTAAAGTGGGATTAAGCATAAACCCTCCCCATGAGTAGGAGGGAGCAGTGGGGCTCCCGGGGCTGGCTGGCGTCCTACGCCTTCCTCCACCTGCAGGTTACATGCTGCGTTCCGTTTGAGTGTACGGGACACATGCCCTGTGGACGGGTGTGTTATCCTTCAACAAAGATGCTCACAGTGCTGTCTACCTCAAGGCTGACAGCAGTTTGGGAGATCGAGGTGGGCAGATCACCTGAGGTCAGGCGTTCGAGACCAGCCTGGCCAACATGGTGAAACCCCCTCTCTACTAAAAATACAAAAAAAAAAAAATTATCTGGGTGTCATGGTGGGTAACTGTAATCCCAGCTACTCAGGAGGCTGAGGCAGGAGAATTTCTTGAATCTGGGAGGCAAGAGACAGAGGTTGCTGTGAGGTGAGATGGCGCCATTGCACTCCAGCCTGGGCAAGAGAGCGAGACTCTTTCTCAAACAAACAAACAACAACAAGAAGATGTGACTTTGCTCCTCCTCCAACTTCCACCATAATTGTGAGGCCTCCCCAGCCATGTGGAACTGTGAGTCTATTAAACCTGTTTTTTATTACAAATTACTCAGTCTCCGGTAGTTAGCAGCGTCGTTATTACCAGCATGAGAATGGGCTAATACAATGTCTCAGGAAAGACAGGGATTCCAGGCCCTGCACGTAGACTCCACTCTCCCAGCCCTGGGCCTGCTCCTCTCCAAAGGCAAACAGATGGCCAAATCTAACTTCATGATGGAGCCAAACGGAATTCACCCATGCACTATGCGAACCAACAGAAAGCCCAAACTACTGACAGCCAACCTAGACGAGACAGGCAGAAATGTCAGGGAAGCCACAGGGACCCCGCACAGACACAAAATGAACCACAGCAAGAAAGACGGCATGCAAACCTCCAACGGTCTCTGAGCTGCATGAAAACTCACCACAATTAAAAGAAGAAAAGCCCCCGAGAATGCTTGATGCCAGGGAGGACAAAAATAAGACAGAAAACCTACCAAACAAACAACTCAAGAGAGTATTTTCAAAAAGAAAGAGTGCAGGGCTATGGAAACAAAAACTCAAAGGAGCATGACTACAGTAAATTAGAAATCACAAAAATTAGAACGGGTCTAACTGAGAACACAACAATTAAAAGCTCAAGAAAATCATGGCAGGCCGGGCGCGGTGGCTCACGCCTATGTAATCCCAGCACTTTGGGAGGCCGAGACGGGCAGATCACCTGAGGTCAGGAGTTGGACACCAGCCTGGCCAACATGGCAAAACACTGTCTCTACTAAAAATACAAAAATTAGCCAGGCGTGGTGGCGCATGCCTATAATCCCAGCTACTCAGGAGGCTGAGGGAGAAGAATCACTTGAACCCAGGAGGCAGAGGTTGCAGTGAGCTGAGATTGCACCACTGCACTCCAGCCTGGGCAACAGAGCGAGACTCTCTTTCAATAAAAACAAACAAACAAACAAAAAAAAATGGCAAACAAGCAGAAAAATGCCAAGCAATTAAAGCAATTAGAGAAAAAGATAACAGATATGAACAAGGAAAATCCAGTATAGGAATTATTACTATCCCTGAAATAAAGGATCCAACCGATAACACAGAAAAAGTAACAAAATACAGGAAAACATTCTTAAAATGAAAATGTCCTTAAACAGAATCTGCAGAGAGAAAGTTTTTCTAGGAAAAACCAAGAATGCCCAACACCAAACACTTCCTGGTGTAGCAACGGAAGCCACTTCTTTAGGAATCTAGTCCAAAAAAAAAAAAAAGTCACCTATGAGATGGAAAAAATAAATCTGTTGGCCTCAAATGTATTCAAAGCAATGTTCAGGGCAGGAAGACAATCAAACAACATCCCCACAGACGGGAAATTGTGACTCAAAAATACAGAGCAGGTCAGGCACAGTGGCTCAGGCCTGTAATCCCAGCACTTTGGGAGGCCGAGGCAGGTGGTTCACCTGAGGTCAGGAGTTCAAGACCAGGCTGGGCAACATGGTAAAACCCCGTCTCTACTAAAAATACAAAAAATTAGCCGGGCATGGCGGCAGGCGCCTGAAATCCCAGCAACTTGGGAGGTTGTGGTAGAAGAATCACTTGAACCTGGGAGGTGGAGGTTGCAGTAAGAAGAAATCACGCCACTGCACACCAGCCTGGGTGACAGGGTGAGACTCCATCTCAAAAAACAAACAAACAAACAAACAAAAAACCCACAGAGGAAAAGAGTTTTCAAGCTGGAGGGAACAAGCTGACATTTTCAAAACACAGCCAATCCTCACTATTCATGAATTTTGTATTGGGGTATGCCTACTTGCTAAAATTTATTTGTAACCCCAAAATCCATGCTTTTCGCACAAAACAGCCAAAGGTTTCAGCCTGCCCGATGCGCGGGTTCCCACGGGAGGTTGATCAAGGTGGTGGTCCGACTTCTTGTCTCAGCTCTCATCTTGTAAACAAGCGTCTGACTGCAGCCCATGGAATGTCATTCTCACATTGCTTGTGCTTTTTGTTGGTGATTTTGCCATTTAAGAGGGGTCCCAGCAAAGGGCTGAAGTGCTGCCTACTTGTTCCTAAGGCAAGAAGGTTGTGATGAGCTTCACAGAGAAAACATGCCACAGAAGCTCCACTGAGGCCTGCCTGAGAGCACTGTTGGCTGTGAGTTCCATGTTAACGAATCAACATTACATAGTAAATATGGCATCTTTAAACAGCAACATACATAAAGTAAGATTCCGTATTGACCTATGGTCAAACATGTGACCAGGGGCTTGTAGGAATCGAACACTGCACTTCCTCTGGGAGCAATGGCCAAGGCGTCACTCATTCAGCATCTGTGGCAACTTTTTAGAACACAAGTACCACCGATAACGAGCATCGACCATCCATTCACCGAGAAAGCACTGCTCTTAGGAACTCTTGCTAAAAAAAACCCACTGAACAGTGAATTCCCTCCAATTAAAAGCAAAATAACAACCAGAAAAGGATCTGGCAAATGAAAAGGGCATTGCAAAGGCAAATGATGGCAGTGACCCCGGCAAGAGAGACAGAGTGGCTCCGGGCCCTGGAGGCACAGTGGATAGTAAGTGGGAGGGACAGTGACAGTGTGAAACAAGTCACTGTCCACACCCAACAAGGCTCAGGAGGTGGGGGAGGGAAAGTGTGCGCATGCGTGCACCCATGCACACATAACTAGCTACTCATTCACCAAACTGATGCCCTTTTCTTCCTGGGCTCAGACCTCCACTGCGTTTCCCAGCCTACTCTGCAGTCAGGTGCAACCTCCTCATGAAACCAGGGAAGGTGATGGATGCACTTTACAAGTTCTGTCTCTTCCTCCCTCATCTTCTGGGCAGATACAGAGGACCCCGTGGAGGATTCCAGAGCTCCAGGGAATGGTCCAGCTATCTAATGGAAAGAGCCTGGGTACCTGAATGTCTGTATGGATCAGAACTTCCCTCCTGTCCATCCTGCCAACCCAGGTGGACTGAGAAGAGAGAAAAAAAATAAAGCATCTATGTGTTAAGTGCCTGACATTTGGAGGCCTTTTATTATAGCAATGAGCTTAGTTTACCCCTAAATGATATAGGAAGAGGGGACAGTGAAAAGGGAAAAAAAACTGTAACAAGAAAGAAAAAAAATTCCAGCCTTCCAGTGTTTCATAATCACTTCTTTTACCTTCACAGATTTAGCTGGAAAAAGTCTCTTGTGACAAAAATAAATAAATAAAAGAAGCATTTCCTTCACCATCTTTTTCTCCTCTTATATTCAAATAAAATAACATTGATGATGCTCATTTCTTAAGAGCGTGTGTGGTTTGAGCCCACGCTTACCAAGGTATTTCTATCCATATGCACTTCCACCCACTGCCTGTAATCCTGCAGAGGGACGTGTCGGAACAGGGCTCTGCCAAGTATTGATGTGATCACCATTGCTAAGTCTGGCATTTGTGCTTTCCTGCATTACTTGAACTTTTCATAACAATCATTTATAGCTTTTATAAGAGGCATTAAATAATATAGGAGAAGGAACTCCAAAAGACCACGCCTATCCTCCTGAACAGCCTTTGTACTACCAGGGAAGCCCCTGGGGCCAGTGGCATGGCCAGATTAGCTCTAGGGCATCAGGCCACCCTGAGCCTCCCCCACAACGGGTGTCTAATCTTTTGGCTTCTCTGGGCCACACTGGAAGAAGAACCGTCTTGCGCTACACATAAAATACACTAACACTAAAGAGAGATAATGAGCTAAAAAGAAAAAAAAAGTTGCATAAAAACCCCTCAGAATGTTTTAAGAGAGTTTATGCATTTGTGTTGAGCCGCATTCAAAGCTGTCCTGGGCTGCATGTGGCCCACGGGCCTTGGGTTGGACAAGTTTGTCCTAGACGGTGAAGCCACTTGGCTGAGTTCATCCCTAGAGGGCACGTGTCAGCACGTTAGTCCCCTCAGCCCAGTTAGCGTCTCTCTCAGAGGGAGCAGGGCTGGGGGTGGGCTGAGCAGAGGGTGCCTGCTGGACCGCAAGCTGCTGGCACTGGGGGAAGAGGAGACACACATTTAGCCCTCGCTGGGGACCAAGCCCTGAGAGGTGCTAACCCCAGGGCATCTCTTAGCTCCTCCACAGCACCAGGAGCTGGGACCCTGGATGGGCACCAAGTGAGGCACCAGCAACACTCAGCCAGTAGGCAGCATGATGCTTCCCCGATCTCCAGCACTTGGGCCCCCCTTCCCCATCGTGGCTGGGGCCGGGAGACTGTACTCATAGAGGTCGGGGTGGATGCAGAGCACTGGGCTTACCCCCTCAAGCACCTGCAGCAGCCTACACCACCAGCCCACCTCTCCCCATTCCTTTAACCCAAAGCTAAAATGAGAAGGGTCCTCCCAGCCCACTGAGGGAGACCCTTCTAGAAAGCACAGATGGAGACTGTGACGAGCCTCACCCAGATGCCCCTCTGAGTCCTAACTCTTGGATGTCTACCATGTCTACTCCACAGCAAATGGGCTTCGTACCAACTGCCCCTACTACTGCCACCCCCACCCACATTCCCCAGGTGGACAGACGGCGTGTGAAATGTTCGCAGGCCAACCCTACTAGGCGCCTGTTTGCAACCATTATGTCTGCTCCACGCTTCCAGCTCTGTCCCACATCTCCGATTTGAGGCCACATGTGGCACAGTCCCCGCCGTGAGCAAGAGGGAACGTGGCTGGGCGACTGGCCCCCAGCTTGCTCTGGTGGATTCAGGCAAAAGATGAAGCCACACCCCTTCCTCTGCACACGAAGCTCCCCTTTACAGACAAGATGAAGCCACACCCCTTCCTCTGCACACGAAGCTCCCCTTTACAGACAAGATGAAGCCACACCCCTTCCTCTGCACACGAAGCTCCCCTTTACAGACAGCCCCAGTTCCCAGGGGCCAACCTCCTCGGGGAAGGCAAATCCAACAAAAGGGACCCCCAGGCATAAGGACAGACATCCAGGACACAGCCAGCGTGGGCCAGGGCAGCCTGAGGGCTCTGGGCGGCACAGGAATGACATTAGGCCCAGGGCTGGAGGGACAGGAGGAGGCGGACAGCAGCCACGCGGGAAGGAGTGCTCAGGGCTGTACCCCCTGGAAGTGGGGGAGCATGGGATGCTGGGCCTCTGGCACAGCAGAGTCCGGCACCAGGAAGAGGCAGGGCCAGGCCTGAGAGCCTCCTGCACTTGGTGCTAGAAGCCAGTTGCGGGTGCACCTGCCGCCCGGGTTTTCTCTATGAGGCTGTGAAACACTCCTCTCCACCTCTGGGACTCTTGCTTCAGGTCTGGCACACAGTAGGTGCCCAGTCAATGTTTGTGGATGGAGTTGGGGACAATGACAGCAACAGCATGATGTGAGGCCAGCGGCAGCAGGGAGGGGAGGCGGGCACGGCAGGGAGCCTGGGGGGACGGGGGCAGAAGTATGGAGCGAGGAAGGAGCACGGTGTGCCCAGAGCAGTCAGGACCGTGGGTCCGGGGAGGACCAGAGCAGGCCTCTGGCGTTCAAGCCACAGGTGACATTGTCCAGATGTGAACCAAAGGGCAGACCACGGGGCTCACCGTCTGCTGCAGGTCATGGATGACCACGCGGATCACCAGCGTGTTGCCCTGGCTCTCCTCCGTCCTGGCACCGCCCGGCTTCTCCGCAGTGGCCCGGATCGTGTCATAGATGGTCTCTTCTTTGGAGCTGTCTGACTCCGACCCCACGGAGTAGTCGGAGAAGCTCTGGGCCATCTCGTCCTCGCTGGATGTTGGGCTGCGCGGCATGGCTGCCTGTGTCTTCGAGGTGGGGAGAAGGAAGACAAAGAACGGGAGATGTGAAAATGAAAGAAAACCCAGGGGCACGGTGGACACTGGCGCTGGAACACACGTGGGCTCGGTTTCACAGTCTGTGTTTGTTGGTGTGACCACCAGCCGAGGGCCCCAGGTATGCACAATGTACAGATCCCAGAGGGCGGACACAAGTCGGCACCGCCTGCTCCTCCCTGGAGCTTGAGCCAGAGGCGGCAGCCAGGACCCAGGAAAACCCTGCAAACTCTGGTACCAGCGCTGTGAAACCCCGGCACTCAAAAGGAGCCTGAGCTAGCCACGGGGATGACCACAGCTTACAAAGATGATGCAGAGGGCCACTGGGGCTGTCTGAGCTACCCAAGGTAAGAAAAAAGGCTGCCTTTTGTTTTCCTTGGAGGACAGAGCTTCAGGAGAGGAAGAAACATGGGCTTCAGGTCAGAATGGCAGCAAGTTCACGCTATAATAACCCTCTCTGCTTCAAACACAGAGCAATGATAGGTACCGTGTAAAAACAGAACAAAAGGCCAGGGCCAGGCCCACAGATGAGAGAATCTCCCAGACCAGGACTGGAGTGGAACCAAGAGTCATGAGCAGACTGCAGCCATCAGACTTGGGGGTCCCCAAGAGGCAGGGGCAGCTGAGAGTGCAGCTTCCTCAAGGTCAAGTGCAATAAAAATTACCCCACAAAGAGTCAGGCCAGGTTGCCAATGGCCACCTTAGACCAAGGCTTCTTGTTTTTTTTTTTTTTTTTGAGATGGAGTTTCACTCTTGTCGCCCAGGCTGGAGTGCAATGGCGTGATCTCGGCTCACCGCAACCTCCGCCTCCCGGGTTCAGACGATTCTCCTGCCTCAGCCTCCCAAGTAGCTGGGATTGCAGGCATGCGCCACTACACCCAGCTAATTTTGTATCTTTAGTAGAGACAGGGTTTCTCCATGTTGGTCAGGCTGGTCTCAAACTCCCAACCTCAGGTGATCCACCCGCCTTGGCCTCCCAAAGTACTGGGATTACAGGTGTGAGCCACCGTGCCTGGCCAGACCAAGGCTCTTAAGAAGGACACAGAACTCTGGGAACAGCCATCCACTATTTGGTGGCTGCATCTATGACATCCCCCACCTCTGCAGGGCAGGAGTACAGAAAGGGTTGGATAAAAGTTGGCTTGACCCAGGGATGGCAGGGACTGGGGGAGGAGGGGCCATGCTGAACCAGCAATTCCACTTCTGGGTGCGTTCTGTGGGGAAGGACGAGGCCACGTGCATATGGAAAGGCATAGAAGATTGTTCCCTGCCAAAGCAGCATGTGGAAATGCATGGTCACCCTGATTGTTTAGGGACCCCTTGATCAAGCTGTGGTCTCTTCATTCCCATGAACTCCACAGCTGTGACAATGAATGAACCCAAGCTACATGTGGATGATCCCTGAAACATAACACTGTGCAAAAGGAAGGCAATTCACGGAAGGATTCAAACCACATACTATCATTTCCAGATAAAGGCTGGAAAGATGCCACACAGTCCTACAGATGGTACATGGGCATTTTCACCGTGCGTAACGGCACAGAAGCAGTCAACTGGAAAGGCACATGCCCAATGCAGGAGAGCAGTTCCCTCTCGGAGGAAGACAGGGTGGGCCGCGCTGCTTGGAGCCATGAACTTCCTGAAAGCAATTCCAGCAACTACAGGACAAGGTCAAACTTGGTACAGTTGGGGACACAGATGTTTGCCGTATTATTCTCTTTGTTAGAAATCATTCACAAGGAGCAAGGAAGGAGGGCAGGAGTGCAGGGGGCAGAAGAGGCCACCCCAAAATATGCTGCCTGGGCATAAGGACAGTCCTGAGCTGAAGACGATGGAGGAAAAGCAGGTGCGAGAACAGCTCGCTGCCTTCCCCCGCCACTGGTGTGCCTCAAAGCAAGACGTAAATTTCAGAAGTTCATCACTAGAGACAGCTTTAGACCCTTGTCAGCCCCGCCCTGGAGGAACCTACAGAGCTGACTTCACCAACAGACTAGCCTTCAGCTGCTGTTTCTTTCCTAAAGATTGGCCGCCCCATAATTTGCCCTCTAGAAACTCACAGTCCTTTCCCTTTGTCTTGTCGCTTCTCTACAAATGTACTGTTCCTGCTCTGAGGCACCAACCCAGCCCAAGCTGTAGGCACTTTTTCAGACACTCTTCACTGACGGGTGCTCTATGTGTTCACAAACCATTTTTCTCTTGCGACTGTCTTATGTCAGCTCAATTTCAGGGCCCCAGGTAGAGAGGAGGGTAGTAGGAAAAGAAATTTCTCCTCTGCAGGGGGAGGGATTAGAGGAAAGGAAGGAGGGGAGGGAGGTGGATAAATGAATGGATGGATGGATAGATGGCTCACTGTGTGGATACGCAAGAGGGAGGAAGGAAGGGAGGAGGGGAGGGAAGGAGGTAGATGGATGGATGGATGAATGGATGGATGGCTAACTGTGCATAGGTGAGAGGGAGGAAAGAAGGGAGGGAAGGAGAAAGGAGGGAGGGAGGGAAGGAAAGAAGGAAGGTGAGAAGGAAAGAAGGAAGGAAAAAAGGGAGGAAGGTAAGAAGGGAGGGAGGGAGAGGAGGGGAGGGGAAGGAGGGAGAGGAGGGGAGGGGAGAGACAGAGAGGGAGAGGGAGAGGAATGGAGAGGAAGGGAGAGGAAGGGAGGGAGGGAGAGGAAAGGAGGGAGGGAGAGGAAAGGAGGGAGGGAGAGGAAAGGAGGGAGGGAGAGGAAGGAAGGGAGGGAGAGGAAGGAAGGGAGGGAGGGAGAAGGGAGGGAAGGGGAAGGAGGGAGAGGGAGGGAGGGAAGGAGAGGGAGGGAGGGAGAGGGAGGGAGGGAAGGAGAGGGAGGGAAGGAGAGGGAGGGAGGGAGAGGGAGGGAGGGAAGGAAGGAGGGAGGGAAGGAGGGAGGGAGAGGGAGGGAGAGGAAGGGAGGGAGGGAGGGAGAAGGAAGAGGGAGGGACAGGGAGGGACAGGGAGGGAGAGGGAGGGACAGGGAGGGAGGGAGGGAGAGGGAGGGACAAGGAGGGAGGGAGAGGGAGGGACAGGGAGGGACAGGGAGGGAGGAAGGGAGGGAAAGGAAGGAAATGATAAGAAGGAAAGCTGAGAAGACTTCCTAATGCAGGACCTAAGTCTGCTGCCAATTATTCACATTAGTGGAATGTCAGGGTAACAATGACATTGATAATCCCAAATCAATAGTTTAATCTTCTATTTAGTCTCTAGCTATAAACCAAAATATATTTACTGTGCACCAATTATACATGAGGGATCCCCCTAGGGTGTGTGTGGCTTCATGTCCAGCGCATGTTCTTTCTTTGTAAGAAAGGCGCCATGCCATGGTCCACAGTTTTCGGAGCACCCTGTGTCCAACCACCTAACACAATCCCTGCATGGATATCCTGGGGACTCTCGGCTGCGTGGAGTGGGTGGGGGCAGGAACTTCTCACCCTGTGTTTAGACACTTCACAAGGCACAGATGACAGCACGAGCCAAGAAAAGGGGGCACCTGTTTCTTACCCTCGAGTTCCTAAAATGAGAATGGGCTTTATAAGAATCCTGAACTTAGGAGTTTTCACACAACATCTGGATTTCAGTCATCTCTAGAAAAATCACAGGCTCCCGCCTCCTGAGCCCACTCCACCCACCTGGCAGCCATGTGGGCACCGAGCCGTGTGGCCCTCTCAACAGGGAAAGGGCGACATGATTCACCCAGCCCCACCTCACTATGTCCTCTGCACCCTGGAAGCCACTGCCCCTCACCATCCAGGTACACTGAGGCTCACCCTGCACTCAGCTCACCCGCCCCATCAGCCCTGGGCCCTGGCAGCAGAATTGTGGACCCTGTGCTAGTGTTTTATAACTGGGGGGCCCTGTGAGTGTTCAGGAACCTCCCGGGGAGGCCACGGGCAGTTCACCAGGAACCAACACTATGTCCAATTAGGAGAAAGCTGATACCCACTGTTGACTCCCAGCGCTCTTCCGGTGTGGGAAGAGCCTGCCGGGTAGCGGGGTGCACTGGAACCATGTCCTCAGCAGGCACTCCGGCCTCACCCCTCAGCTTTGCTGCCCAGAAACCTGACAGCAGCCACTCCTCATCAGATATCAACCTCCACCTGTAGCTGCGATGCCACCCCCATTTCACCCGTTTTTATTCTTCGTCCTCATTCTCCTGGGCCCTGCTGGGTTGGAAAGCAGTGCAGGCATGAGGGTGAAGGGAAAGAGCCCTTCTTAAGTGGAGCCAAAGCTACTCAGAGCTCATGTCACTCATTAATGCAGAAAGAAGCCTAGTGTGGTAGCGAGGCCAGCCTCAGCGTCAACATCTGAAAAACGGAGGGCGGGGGGAGCCCGCAGCTCAGAGCCCTGGCACAGAGCAGACACGGCCCACACTGGTTCTGCCCCAGCTCAGGTCAGATAACGTCTGACTGGCAAGAGCAGGCAGAGACCGTCCAGGCTCCAAGCTGCTTCCAGGGGTGCATGTGTAGGAAGCCCCCCCTCAGTGGACAGTGGGCACCCAGTGAACACACGCTGGGTGGGAGGCCAGGGCTCCCGATCGCAGACGCCCACAAGAGCAGTCAGGGGGGCACGAAGGGGGCGATGCTGGCAGAATGTGGTCCCCAAATCAGCCAGGCAGCAGCATTCCCACTCTGGCCACAGCTGGTAGGTAGGAACGCAGGTCTGGTGTTGCCAGGCCTGCAGATATCTTTTAGATATGTCAGATTTGACAAAAAAAACGTGAAATTTATAAACATTGGAAATTCACTTTGTTTGTTTTTTATTGAGACGGAGTCTCACTCTGTCGCCCAGGCCAGAGTGCAGGGGTGCAATCTCGGCTCACTGCAACCTCCGCCTCCCAGGTTCAAGTCATTCTCCTGCCTCAGCCTCCCAATTAGCTGGGATTACAGATACCTGCCACCATGCCTTGCGAATTTTTTGTATTTTTAGTAGAGACGGGTTTTCACCATGTTGGCCAGGCTGGTCTCAAACTCCTGACCTCAAGTGATCCACCTGCCTCCACCTCCCAAAGTGTTGGGATTACAGGCGTGAGCCACCGCGCCTGGCCAGAAATTCACTGTTTTTAACGGATTACTTTGCAGGCCACATAGTACACATCTACAGCTGGACCTGAGTCCAGGAACAAAACCAACAGCCCACAGCAGGAAGGGCGGCAAGGAGGGGCTCCTGAGGCCACAGCCCCCGCTGCTGCCGGCGGACATCTTCACCCCCTAGGACTCCTGTGTCCCCTTGGTACCGGCTCTGGGGGTGATGGTCACAAACAGGCACATCTGCTCCCAAACCATGGTGCAGAAGGGCTCCAGTGCTGGGTCTGAAGAGGAACCGGGATTTCGTGCAGAAGCAGGTGAGCAGAGAGGAGGAGAAGGCTGGGTCACACCTCCCGGGCTCTTTCCAGAACTATCCTGGGAGCTCATGGCCAGAGATCTGACTGGGAGGGTCTTGACCTTGGTAAGGGTCTTGAGTAACCTGATTAGCAGCTTCCTGGGAACAGCAGACACCTGATCACTGCCTGGGAAAACATTTAATTATTAACTCCCGGGGAGAGCCACCAGGCAAGGCAGAAGGCGCAAGTCCCATCTGCATTTCAGACAAACAACAAAGACACTTTACTGCATGTCCCAAATAATTGCGTGGGACATTCTTATACTAAAAAACTCTCTGCTGTTCATCTGAAATTCAGGCAGAACTGGATGCGCTGCGTTTTATCTGGCAACACCATGGGAGAGCCAGGGGGGCTGGGCTGAGTTCTCTAACCCCGTGAGGACCAGCACGCCGGGAGGCTCCGCAGAGAGAATGAAAGCAAAGCCGAAGACGCAATCTGAAATCCTGGCTTCCCCAGGAAAAGCCAGTGCCAGATCAGAGGAGGGGAAGGTTACTCACCACCCCGGGGCAACCGTTTTCTGTGTAACTAATCTCTCGGGCGGGTCGGGGGCGGGGGAGAGGCCATAAAACCCCAGGTCCATGAACTTCAATGACTCTTAGTGTGTGTTTCTCTCCTTGGCCCTCCTAGAGTAGCTACTAACGAGGAGAAAAGAAAATCATCACAGTCAAAGCAAGTTCAACAAAAACAGCATTTTGCTGCTAACTTGCTCCAAGAAAACCTAAAATCTTCAACTGGCTCATTCGTCCTCCAGTACCTCTGATGAAAAGGTAGACAGACTTTTCCACTAATTATTTCAGCCACTGTGAAAATATGAAAGCTGACCTGGGAGAGAAGATACATAATAAAAACAAACAAAAAACCTCACGGCCAGCGCTGACTTTGTCAAGGTTAGAGTTGCAAAACCTTTGTAAACACCTTTAAAACTGCAAGAGTTCAGCCGGGTGCAGTGGCTCACGCCTGTAATCCCCGCACTTTCAGAGGCCAAGGTGGGTGGATCACCTGAGGTCACTCAGGAGTTTGAGACCAGCCGGTCAACATGGTAAAACCCCATCTCTACTAAAAATACAAAAATTAGCCAGGTGTGGTGGTGGGCGCCTGTAATCCCAGCTACTTGGGAGGCTAAGGCAGGAGAATCGCTTGAACTTGGGAGGCGGAGTTTGTAGTGAGCCGAGATCGTACCACTGCACTCCAGCCTGGGCAACAGAATGAGACTCTGTCTCAAAAAATAAACAACAACAACAAAAAAAGTGCAAGAGTTTCCTCATCTGAACTCTGATTTACTTTTTCACCAAAAGAAAAGAAGGTTTTTATTGATATGGAATCTCTGAGAGACACCCTGTATGTGAATCACATGGAAACCGAGATTTTGTGACTACACATTTCATTTATTTTGTGCATTCCTGTGTGTAAAATGTGCTCGGCCTCAAGGCAGTGAGGACCCCGAGGCTCCCCTGGTGCCGTTTACAGACATTTAAACTCGGGGTCAAACGGCTGCAGGACTGACAGCACTCCATTGGAACCTGTGGAACTAGAACAGAATATTCAAGGAATCCAGGTTCCATCGGATGTTAGAAAATTGCCGTTCTAAGAGCTGACATAGACATAGGGCTGAGAGCAAGTGCGAGGGTGTGGGCTTTGGGGAAGGGTGGGCTGCCAGCCAGTCCAGAGTTGGCCAGATGTGAGGGAAGGGGAGGCCAGCCGGGCAGAAGAGAGAAAGGCACGCTGGCTTCCTTCTGTTCATTTAACCCACTGTTCTCCTCCCTGCACCTGCAAAACACATCAGCTGAGAAGGAGCTAGAACACAACACATGGGGGCCCTGGCCAAGGGGGTGGACTGCTCTGGAAGTTTCTGCAAAAGCAGACCTTCTGACACACTGCCCCAAATACTGGAGGGGTGAACTTACCCCACCCACGCTCCCAGAGGGATGGACCTACCCCAGCCCACGCTCCCAGAGGAGGGATGGACCTACCCCCACCCACGCTCCCAGAGGAGGGATGGACCTACCCCCGCCCACGCTCCCAGAGGGATGGACCTACCCCCGCCCATGCTCCCAGAAGAGGGATGGACCTACCCCAGCCCACGCTCCCAGAGGAGGGATGGACCTACCCCCGCCCACGCTCCCAGAGGAGGGATGGACCTACCCCCGCCCACACTCCCAGAGGGATGGACCTACCCCCGCCCACGCTCCCAGAGGAGGGATGGACCTACCCCCGCCCACGCTCCCAGAAGAGGGATGGACCTACCCCAGCCCACGCTCCCAGAGGAGGGATGGACCTACCCCAGCCCACGCTCCCAGAGAGGTGGACCTACCCCAGCCCACGCTCCCGGAGGAGGGGTGGACCTACCCCAGCCCACGCTCCCGGAGGAGGGGTGGACCTACCCCAGCCCACGCTCCCGGAGGAGGAGTGGACCTACCCCAGCCCAAGCTCCCAGAGGGGTGGACCTACCCCAGCCCAAGCTCCCAGAGGGGTGGACCTACCCCAGCCCACGCTCCCGGAGGAGGAGTGGACCTACCCCAGCCCACGCTCCCAGAGGGGTGGACCTACCCCAGCCCAAGCTCCCAGAGGGGTGGACCTACCCCAGCCCACGCTCCCAGAGAGGTGGACCTACCCCAGCCCACGCTCCCAGAGGGGTGGACCTACCCCCGCCCACGCTCCCAGAAGAGGGATGGACCTACCCCCGCCCACGCTCCCAGAGGAGGGGTGGACCTACCCCTGCCCACGCTCCCAGAGGAGGGATGGACCTGCCCCTCCCATGCCCCCAGCCACACCCTCAACATGGAGACACCACCAGCCCCCAGTAACTGAAGCAGAACCTGGCAGGGAGGTCTGAGGATCCCACCACACCAATGCCGGGATTCAGTCTAGCACCACCTCTTCCAGCAGTCTTGCCTAGAAGCTGTCCCCCAAACCCGCCCTGCCCCATACCCCTCAAAGCTCCCCAGAGAGGTGGCCCGTCCCACCCACCCCAAGTAGAGTGACTATGGCCGTGGCCACACAAAACCACGTGGCAACCCCATGTCAGGGCTGTGCCATCTGCCACGTAGCCCCCAGGCACCAGCATGGCATTAGACACACTGTGAGCTGAACTGTGTCCCCTGCTCAAATCCGTATGTGGAAGTCCGAATCCCCGGGGCCTGGAAAAGTGACAGTATTGGAGACAGGGCCTTTAAAAAGGTACTTAAGGTTCCACAAGGTCTTACAGGTGGGCCCTAATGCAAGGCTGGTGTCTTTTTATCAGAAGAGGGACTCTGGACACACAAGGGGCACCTGGGGGTGCATGCGCACAGAGGGATGATCACAGGAAGACACAGCAAGAAGGCAGCCACGTGCACGCCAGGGAGCGAGACCTCAGGAGGACCCAGCCCTGCCACACCTTGATCTTGGACAAACAGCCTCCAGGACTGTGAGACCATCAATGTCTGTCGTCTAGACTGCCAGTTCTGTGGTGCTCTGTGATGGCAGCCTGAGCTGACTCCTCCAGTCCCCAGGACCCTCCTGATAGGTTTGTGAAACAGATGCATGGAACAAACAGATTTCTGAAAAGAACCTCCATCTATCCAGGTTTCCTGGGATTTCCCTAATCACCATCAAACAAACACTCTGTTACCAGCCCTGCTGGCATCTCTGGATGAACTCAAGAAACGGGATCCTGCCTCTGAGTTTCCGCCCTCCACTGGTGTCACCGTCTCCTGTCCTGAGTTTCTCTCCCCGTTCAGCCAAATCCTTCCCTTTCAGACTCGCTCTACCCCAGGTCAGAACCAACTGCCTATGGTACACAAGCTCCCCTTCCTCTCACCTCAGAGGGCCTGGAGTCCACGCCTAATTCCACATCTAATTCCTTCCTAAGCTGTGCCTCCTGACTCCAGCTCTGAGAACTAATTCCATTACACATACACCCTCCAACCCTCCTCTGGACACATACATTTGTGAAATGTAACTGGATAGAACAAAAACACACAGGTCATTTTGCTGCTGAATTTTTAAGAGGGCTTTATATGGCAGTGTCTCAGAGAAAGGGGTAAACGCAGCATTTCCCAAGTGCACTTGCCCCAGACATTCTTTTCCCCTGGGGCTCATAAACAATCTCCCACAACAGGAAGAGAAGCTATGGTCTGAGTTGCCCATAGTCCCTTCCTTGCTACACTCAAGATCTTAGAAGCAAAAGCCAATCACATACCTACAATGCATGGCCCACTGAGGCCAGCACCCTGCCAAGTATTATCGCCTGAAAGAGGGATAGCATTAGGAGATATACCTAATGTAAATGACGAGTTAATGGGTGCAGCACACCAACATGACACATGTATACATATGTAACAAACCTGCACGTTGTGCACATGTACCCTAGAACTTAAAGTATAATAAATATATATATATATACACACACATATATATAAAGACACTGACAGCAGGAACTCTGCAATGGTTCTCTATCTAAAAGAAATGGGCTCTAGGGAAATAACGGCTACTTCACACCTTCCTCTTAATGCCAAAACCAATATCCCCAAATCAGAAAACAAGCTACTAATAAATCAGATGCCTGAATTAAAATGATACGTCACTTAAGAGCACTCCCTTAGATGAATTGCAATGCCTCACTGGTGTGTTCTATTAAGACATTGGGGTGTCCAGGTCTTGAGAAGGACTGGTGAGATGGTACATTCATTAGGTAAGTCTATTTCTCTTCCATGCCTCAGCATTCATGTGGAAGTGTGCCGTTTTCTTGGTGGCACCAGTAACCACACCACTAATGTGGTCTGCACCGTCTTTCTTTGGCCAGACTCAACACAGCCTCCAACAGTCTCTCAGCTTCTGCTAGAAAAGCCAGAGAGAAGAGTCTGTCTGGCTTTCTAATTGGGCCTCAGTGGGTTTCTGTCCAGGCTGCTGTAAAGAGCACATGATTTATAAAGAAGTCTTCATTTTATGACAGGTTTCCATTTCAGTTTTCTTAGAGCAGAATTCAAGGGGTTCTGGCCAGCTAGCATGAACCCACTCTTAGCCTGTTTGTGATATGCTGGCCTACCCATCTCACAGTTCTGCCGAAACCATTCACCGTGACCAGGAAGGGAGCGACTTGCCCAAGGTAAAAGGCTTCCTGGGAGACAACCTACAGAGAAGGAAACCAATCAAGACAACAGGTCAACAAGCCCCTCCTGGGACACTGCCCCTGTGTGCAGCTCTTAAGTGTGGGTCCAACAAGGCCCTGTGTCCAGCAGGAACAAGAGGCCCAGCCACGGACAGCCTGGGGGGACACAAACCACCCCTAGTCATGACCAAAGTCTTGGAAAACTGGGAATAGAAGAGAATTTCCCAAACTCGAACAGAGCACCTACTCAAATCCTGTAGCAAACATCAAAAATAAGTAAGCGAACAGATAACCGAATGCATTGTTTATGGACTAAAAGCAGGGAAATCATTATTTTCAGATAATATGCTTCTGTGAATAGAAAATCCAAGAAAATCTAGGGACAAATTAAATAATGTGTAACCATAAAACTAGTTAAAAAAAAGTCCAGCAAAATGCCAGATAAGAATATACAAAAGTTAAGTGAATTGTTACATTAGCAATAAACAATTGAAAAACATTCAAAAAACACTATAATACCACCAACAATAACCAAAGTCAACTAAAAAAAAATCTAACACAATATGTATGAGACCTTTGTGGAGAAAAGTAATACTACATAGCATTATCTTTTTGAAATAAAGAAAGAATTGAAGGTAGACCCAAATAAATGAAGAGCTATACAATGATCATGGACATTAGGCTTTAATATCTTCAAGATGAAAATTCTCCACAAAATATAAACTTGATGTAACTTCTAATAAAACCCTGATAGGACTGTTGGTAGAACTTAACACTCTGATCTTAAAGCTCAAAGAAGATGGAGAGCCACATAAAACCAAGATAACTCTGGAGACTAAGAGGAGACTCATTCTACCAGATGCCAAGGCTTACCAGAAAAAGTTATAATATGAAAACAGTATGGTATTAGACAAAGACAAATAGATGGATTTAAAAAGCACAGAACCTTAGGCTGGGCTTGTAAATATCAGACTCCCATATGTGTTGGGGGAAAGAGAAGAATTAATAAACCTATGAGGCTGACACTAGCAGGTATTCACATGGAGAAGATGAGAAATAGAGCCCCATGCCACTCCAGACACACAAACGCATTCCAGATGCACTGACTACTGTCACGTGAAAAGCAACACAACAAATCTCTAGAAGAAAAAGTAAGAGGCAATGCCTTCATGTAAGGTCCCTAAGACGGGATTCTGGCTTCTCAATAAATGCTGCTTTATTGCTGTGTAAGAAGATAGCACAGACTTAGTGGGTTAGAGCAACAGAAATGTGCAGCAATGTACTCTCATCACGCTGAGGTCAGAAGTCCTAAATGAGTTTATGGGGCTAAAGCCAAGGTGTTGTCAGAGCTGGCTCCTTCTCAAGATTCTGGGGAACAATCCACTTCCTTGCCTTTCTCGCATGTTGGTGGTGACCTGTACTCTGACACTCATGGCCCCTTCCTCCAATTTCAAAGTGGGTCACTCCTATCTCAGCTTCCACCTTCACATCACCATCTCCTCTTCTGCAGCCAAATCTCCCTCTTAAAAATAATGACCCTTGTGATGACATTCAGGGCCCACCTGGATAACCCAAGATAATTCCTCCCATCTCAAGATCCTTAACTTCATCACATCTGCAAAGCTCCTTTTGCCATATGAGGTCACACATTCAGAGGTACCAGAGACTAGAACCTGAATATCTTTGGGGGCCATTAATTAGCCAGCCACAAATATGTTCAATTGTTATTTGCTCAATAAAACAAGGCGAGAAAAAAAGTGTTTCTTTCTACAAGGCATCGGGTACAAGGCATGAAGGGACAGACAAATTAGACAATGTAAAAGTTAAGACTTCCATCAGACACAACAGCAAGAAGACACCTCAGGCCGGGCATGGTGGCTCATGCCCGTAATCCCAACACTTTGGGAGGCTGAGGTGGGTGGATCACTTGAAGTCAGGAGTTCGAGACCAGCCTGGCCAACATGGCAAAACCCTGTCTCTACTGAAAATACAAAAAAATTAGCTGGGCATGGTGGTGGCACACCTGTAGTCCTGGCTACTTGGGAGGCTGAGGCAGGAGAATCACATGAACCCAGGAGATGAAAGTTGCAGTGAGCCTAGATCGTGCCACTGCACTCCAGCCTGGGTGGCAGGAAAAAAAAAAAAAAAAAAAGACACCTGAAAGGGACCTTTACAACATAGGACAGAGCGCTGTGGAAAATCTGGGAAGAATTCCTACAGGGCAAAAAAGAAACAATTCCAGATGCAAATGGGTACAGTCCATCGCAGGGGACACCTGAAGGGCTAGTTGGCATGGGAGAACACATCCCAAAGGTACCAGGAAAACAAGCAATGCCAAGGCCCACAGTGAAAATGCAGTCCCAGGATGGGGAAGGGAATGCAAAGTGGGACTGCTCCGGAGGCTCCTGGGGACTCTGTCATCCCCCCTTAAAGCAGCCCTCAAATTCTCACTGCTACGAACTGAACTGTCTCCCTCTAAAATTCATATGCTAAGGCCCTAACCCCCAATGTGATGGTATTTGGAGGTAGGACCTTTAAGAGGTAATTCAGGTTATGAGAATACAAGGGTGGGGTCCTGATCCCATAGGACTAGCATCCCTATAAAGAAAGGAAGAAACATCAGAGAGCCAGCATGCGTGTTCACGTGTGGTCATGCATTCCCATCTCCCTGCAACCAACCATGTGTGGACACAGTCAGAAGGTAACCCTCTGCAAGCCAGGAAGCAGTCCCTCAATGGGAGCTGAATCAGCCAGCTTCTTGATCTCAGATGTCCAGCCTCCAGAAAGGTGAGAAAATAAATTTCTGCTAAGTCATCCTATCTATTCTGTTATAGCCTGAGCTGCCCAAGACACCCACCTTCTACAACATCATGTGTAAAACATAACAGAGTTGATGGGGAAAAAGTTGAGGAGGCCACTCCAACGTATGCCATTTTGTCCCCAGAGCCCTGCAGAAACCAGGAAAATCCCTGCTGGGTTATTTCAGCTCCAGCAATGACACCTTAAATGACAGTCCACGTTGGCAGCCTTCATCCCTGGGCTGCTGAGCCTCCTGAGACATGTCTGTCTCCAAAGAAGATGGCTTCCAATAGAAACCAGTTGCCTCAAAACTGAAAACTAAGTTTGCAGACAGCCTTCTTTAAGAAGTTTACTTTTGTTAACCAGAAATAAAATTCTAAGTCCACCACCAACTGAATGGATCCCCCAGCTGCTCTTTGCCAAAGGCATTCCAAAGTAAAACTGAAAAACTAGTTCAAGGTATGATGGGAAGTGGGGATTGAACATGCCTCATTATATCTGCCTCCCTTTGGAATTCAGGCACAACTGACCAGCATTAACATTAAAACAAGAGATCTCAAGATGGACAAAATGGACTCTTTGTAGCAATAAGATACCAAATTCCAACCTGACTCTAGTATAGCATCACATGATAGACAGCAGGTCCTGAAAGAAAACAACGTATTTTTTTACCAAGATATATTTCTTTGACATATTTTGAAATGGCCCTGAAAAGCTGTCTCTTGTGGGGAAAATTTACACTCTATAGAGAATCCCCTTCCCTTTCCAAGTCTCTTCCTGATCCAGGAGAGATTAACTAAGAGCCTGGCATCTTTTTAGATCTGTTAAGAGACATTTACCCTCTATTCTCCCTGAAGTCTGCTACCTGTAAGCTTCTTCCACATAATAAGAACCTTGGTCTCCAACCCCTTATCTTAACCCAGACATTCCTTTCTATTGATTCCAGGTCTTTACATAATAACAACTCTTTCAACCAATTGCCAATCAGAAAATCTCTGAATCTACCTATGACCTGGAAACCCTCCCCTGACTCCACTTTGTGTTGTCCCACCTTTTTGGACTGAACCAATGTACACCTTACATGTACTCATTGATGTCTGCCTATAACTTCTACCCCCTAAAATGTATAAAATCAAGCTGCAACCCAACTACCTTGGGCACATGTTCTCAGACCTCTGGGACTATAAAATGGGCCTTAGTCACTCACATTTGGCTCAGAATAAACCTCTTTAAATATTTTACAGAGTTGACTATTTTTCATTGGCATTTTCTTAGACACAGGAGGAAATGTCTTCACAGTCTGTCCACAGGCAGGGCAGCATCCTCAAATCTGGTAGACAGTGTGGAGGCTCCCTAAGCCATTGCAACAGCCTCTCCTTACACTGAATGAGACACCCCTGTAGCATTTTCTGCTTTTTGTTCTGGAGCATCACATGATCTCAATGGACACTTGGTGAATTAACCAATGAACTGGAAACAGCTTAAATGCCACTGTCTTATTCTACTTTTTGTTGCTATAACAAGATACCATAGGCTGGGTTATTTATAAAGAAAAGAAGTATATTTCTTACAGCTCTGGATGCTGAGAAACTCAAGAGCATGGTGTGGCATCTGGTGAGGACCTTCTTGCTGCATCATGATGTGGCAAAGGGCATCACATGGTGAGAGGGTGAGATCATGCATGTAGCTCTGGTCTCTCTTCCTCTTCTATTGAAGCCATAAGTCCCATCATGGGGACCCCATGCTGACGACCTTATTTAATCCCAATTACCTCCCAAAGGCCCCACCTCCAATCAACAGATGAATTTGGGGATCAAGCTTCCAACACATGAAATTTGAGGAACATGTTCAAACCATAGCAGCCACCAACAGGAAACTAAGTAAATGATTGTATAGTAATATCAGGTAAAATTATAGAACAGTGAAGACAAATCAAGTAACATACGTTGGCATGTGACAGTGAAATGGGGAAATGTCAATTGCAAAAGAATAGATACATTTATCTAAACACTTTCATACATGAATTAAAAATATAGATGGCAATGGCTATCTTCACCTATCTATAGCCCAACTTCAAAACAGTGATTACTGCTTCAAAACAGGGAAAACTGATGAGAACAAGTGGCAGTTATCTCAAAATAAATAAATATATAGTCTGGGCGTGGTGGCTCACGCCTGTTATCCCAGCACTTTGGGAGGTCAAGACGGGCAGATCACGAGGTCAGGAGATCAAGATCATCCTGACTAACATGGTGAAACCCCGTCTCTACTAAAAATACAAAAAAATTAGCCAGGTGTGGTGGCGGACGCCTGTAGTCCCAGCCACTCGGGAGGCTGAGGCAGGAGAATGGCGTGAACCTGGGAGGTGGAGCTTGCAGTGAGCCGAGATCGCGCCACTGCATTCCAGCCTGGGCAACAGAGTGAGACTCTGTCTAAAAAAAAAAAAAAAAAAAAAAATACATATATATATATATACAGAATAGAAACAAATATGCAAATAGGGCAAAATCTTAAAATGTTTAATACTGATGGTGGGTATAGAGTCATTATTGTGTTTGTCTACTTTTCTGTGTTTATAATGTTTGTTTAATACTGATGGTGGGTATAGAGTCATTATTGTGTTTGTCTACTTTTCTGTGTTTATAATGTTTTTCACTAAAAATAAAAACTTTAGAAATTAGATGACCATGGCACAGGGTCTGCCTGTAATGGTCTTTCCAGTGCAAGCCCTTGATAAATCAAATCTATTCATTTTGGAAGCTGGACAGATGTGCTTGTGGGGGGATCTCAGTGGGTGAGAACACGGCAGGCCGTGCTGCTGCAGGGAGGCAGAGCTGATGCTTCTTGAGGGCTTCCTGCACATCAGCCTACCAGCTAGGCCTACATTTTAGTATCTCTTGTCAGTCCCAGGAGAATGTGATAGGAGGGCATTGTGACTTCCCCTTATCTGATAGATAAGGAGCCTTAGAAGATAAGCTCCTGGTCCATCACAGCCAGAAAGAGAGGCAGCTCACACTCAATCCAAATTCAAGATTCTCCAGACGATTTTCAAAAGATAGTTTGCTTGTGCAAAAAGGAGCTCAGTGGAAACTGCCCCAAAAGATTGCAGTGTGAGCTCTTAGAGGAGTGAAATTCGGATCAATTCACTCCCCATCCTTTCACGCAAATCACACACCCTCTTCAACAGGGAGGCTGGAGGAAGACAGAAGGAAGAATGCAAAATATCTATACATGCGTGCTTTTTATTGTGCACTTCTAAATTAATAGGCTTTATTTTTCTAGAGCAGGTTTAGGTGTATAGGAAACTCAGCTGATAGTACAGAGAGTTCCCACTGATCTAGTTCCTAGTTTGTAGTCTGTCTGCTCTAACAAACCTGTTGCACTTAGGATCTAAAAGGAAATGTAAAATCAAAATACAACCCTCCCAGATGCCAGTGGTCTCCAAATTTTCAGGTACCCTGTGTTTGTTCCTCAGCCTCCCCACAGTTGACTTGGGTCCATCTGGAGAGTTCTGGCTCCTGGGTTGTGAATGCAAGGGAGGGGTGTGGCAGTCAAGACTAGCCACTAAAATCATCCCCAGGTACAAGCCAAGTTCTTAAAATCCCAGTACCTGGCAGTGGAGGGCTGGGGGATTAACTGGCCTTTGAAGATTAAATATCACAGCACATTGCATCTCAGCAGTGTCTGTCTAGGCAGAGAGGCTTTGGCATTAAACAGACCCAGCAACCTAGGCCACTGCAGAGAAGACAGAAGCATGACCGGGTTCTATTCCAGCTCCAGACCCAACACCAGAGCAGCCACAGAATAACCCAGCGGGCCCCAGTGTCCCCAGTGAGGGGCTGACCGCAGGGTGACCCACCTAAGACACCTCCAATTCACAATGGGGCCTCATGACAGCTGCCGCACCTTCTAAACTATGGGTTACCAGAAACTAAGTTAAATTACTGTGTCTAGGAACTGGGAACATCACACAACAAAATCACACAGCTCTGAGACCTCTATGGAGCGATGAAATGTCACTGGTAAACGGAGATGTGCCTGTTACTAAACATATTTAGTGTATAGATGTTCTTGTACACTAAACAGATTTCAAATCAAGGGTAAGAACTCTCGACAGCTTTCTGTGCCATACCCAATTCCATCAAACGCCGGCCTCAGGCATCTATCTGTTGGGGGCCTAGGAGAGACGCCAAGTCCTTGAGTCTGAAGGGCACTTTCCAGTCACCTGCTTGGGGACGGCTATGACTCCACCATGAGTGGGGCTGTGGCTACTCCATCCTGCCATCATCTGTAATGACAGTATTTAAGCTGGAGGTGGGTTCCTTTAATTCCTATTATTCCAATGTTTGTGGGAACCCAGCTGTCCTTTGCAATCCTTAACTTTAATTTTCTTGTCTTCATTTTTTTTTTTTTTGAGATGGAGTCTCACTGTGTTGCCCAGGCTGGAGTGCAGTGGCACGATCTCGGTTCATTGCAACCTCCACCTCCCGGGTTCAAGTGATTCTCTTGTCTCAGCCTCCCAAGAAGCTGGGATTACAGGCATGTGCCACCACACCCAGCTAATTTTGTATTTTTAGTAGAGACGGGGGTCTCACCATGTTGGTCAGGCTGGACTTGAACTCCTGATCTCAAGCCATCCGCCCGCCTTGGCCTCCCAAAGTGCTGAGATTACAGGCATGAGCCACCACTCCCAGCCTTGTCTTGTTTTCTTAAGAAGAAATATTTTTCCCATCTGGGGCATTTTAAACTATTGCGCTAACCTCATGGCGAGAGAATCTCTTGCAGACCTCCCTGGGAGCTGCCCCCAGGTGTGTGTGCGTGTCCTCAGTGTATCCTGCTCCTAGGACGCTATGCTGTGCAGCAGCCCCACAGCCTCAAGGCCCCTACAGCATGAAGAATGAAGCCCGAACACCAAGCGGGAAGGCTGTTGTCGCTTCTCTCTGCGAAGCCTGGTCAAACCCTACAGCGAGATCATTCATCCCAGAAATCTTCCTCCTGGGAACTTCTCAGCCCTTGAGATTTGGATGCCAGGGGTTGCCGGGGGACCTGGTAATCATTCACCTTGAAATACCCCCAAGTGAAACAGGGGCTCAGCCAAGGTTGAGAACTGGCAACATCTTTTACGTGGTGTAGTCATGTAACCTTTTCTCAGGAGCAGAGACACGTCTCATCCTCGGGCCTCCCTCCTGGAACGCTTCCCGGCTGATCTCACAGTCCAGCCCCACCAACTCCTCAGGACCCAGTGTAGACCATGTCCGGGGAGCACCCTCCATGAGCACTCTGTCAGGAAGCCATCTCCTCCATCCTCTGCTGAGCGTGAGTGGAGGACAACTCTCCAACCTCCCGCGTGCTGCACAGACAGACGAATGTGAGTGTCCACACGCCCCCCAGCCTGGACCGACACCAACAAGCACACACTACTGCTCGCCTGGTGTCAGCCCTTCCCTTGAAGGAGGCTCCTGGCAAAAAGGCAGGGATGACAGGACAGACTGGGGGTTCCACAGATCAAAACTACACAGGCCAAGCACCAAAGCAGGTGCCGTCCAGGTACTGGGTCACCTCGCTTCACCCTCTCACGGATGTCCTGGAACAAAAGGTCTGCAACAGATAGTCTGTGGGCTGTGCCACAAAGACGCCAGAGACGGGCAGACAGGACCTCTGAGTGGGAAGAGAATTTGAGCACTGGAAGGATCTAGGTAAGGACAAGCCAAGAAATTAACCGGACAGCTACTTCTTTCCAGACAGCAAGAATGCAGTGAATTCTCATACAGCAATGCAGCACACCCCGGTATTACAAGACATGACTTTTCTTGGTTTACCTTCCAATCCACACGTCTTTTTTTTCTTTTCTTTTTTTTTTGAGATGGAGTTTCGCTCTTGTTGCCCAGGCTGCAGTGCAGTGGCATGATCTCGGCTCATTGCAACCTCCACCTCCCAAGGTTCAAACGATTCTCCTGCCTCAGCCTCCCGAGTAGCTGGGATTACAGGCTCCTGCCACCACACCCGGCTAATTTTTGTATTTTTTAGTAGAGACAGGATTTCACCATGTTGGCCAGGCTGGTTATGAACTCCTGACCTCAAGTGATCTGCCCTCCTCAGCCTCCCAAAGTGCTGGGATTACAGGCGTGAGCCACCACACCGGGCCCACACTTCTTTTTTTTTTTTTTTTAATTGATCATTCTTGGGTGTTTCTCGCAGAGGGGGATTTGGCAGGGTCACAGGACAATAGTGGAGGGAAGGTCAACAGATAAACAAGTGAACAAAGGTCTCTGGTTTTCCTAGGCAGAGGACCCTGCGGCCTTCCGCAGTGTTTGTGTCCCTGGGTACTTGAGATTAGGGAGTGGTGATGACTCTTAAGGAGCATGCTGCCTTCAAGCATCTGTTTAACAAAGCACATCTTGCACTGCCCTTAATCCATTTAACCCTGAGTGGACACAGCACATGTTTCAGATAGCACAGGGTTGGGGGTAAGGTCACAGATCAACAGGATCCCAAGGCAGAAGAATTTTTCTTAGTACAGAACAAAATGAAAAGTCTCCCACGTCTACCTCTTTCTACACAGACACGGCAACCATCCGATTCTCAATCTTTTCCCCACCTTTCCCCCCTTTCTATTCTACAAAACCACCATTGTCATCATGGCCCATTCTCAATGAGCTGTTGGGTACACCTCCCAGACGGGGTGGTGGCCGGGCAGAGGGGCTCACTTCCCAGTAGGGGCGGCCGGGCAGAGGCGCCCCTCACCTCCCGGACAGGGCGGCTGGCCGGGCGGGGGGCTGACCCCCCCCACCTCCCTCCCAGACGGGGCGGCTGGCCGGGCAGAGGGGCTCCTCACTTCCCAGTAGGGGCGGCCGGGCAGAGGCGCCCCTCACCTCCCAGACAGGGCGGCTGGCCGGGCGGGGGGCTGACCCCCCCACCTCCCTCCCGGACGGGGCGGCTGGCCGGGCAGAGGGACTCCTCACTTCCCAGTAGGGGCGGCCGGGAAGAGGCGCCCCTCACTTCCCGGACAGGACAGCTGGCCGGGCGGGGGGCTGACCCCTCCACCTCCCTCCTGGACGGAGCGGCTGGCCGGGCAGAGGGGCTCCTCACTTCCCAGTAGGGGCGGCCGGGCAGAGGCGTCCCTCACCTCCCGGACGGGGCGGCTGGCCGGGCGGGGGGCTGATCCCCCCACCTCCCTCCCGGACGGGGCGGCCGGCCAGGCAGAGGGGCTCCTCAGTTCCCAGTAGGGGCGGCCGGGCAGAGGCGCCCCTCACCTCCCGGACAGGGCGGCTGTCCGGGCGGGGGGCTGACCCCCCTACCTCCCTGCCGGACGAGGTGGCTGCCGGGCAGAGAAGCTCCTCACTTCCCAGACGGGGTGGCTGCTGGGCGGAGGGGCTCCTCACTTCTCAGACGGGGCGGCTGCCAGGCGGAGGGGCTCCTCACTTCTCAGACGGGGCGGTTGCCGGGCGGAGGGGCTCCTCACTTCTCAGACGGGGCGGTTGCCAGGCAGAGGGTCTCCTCACTTCTCAGACGGGGTGGCCGGGCAGAGACGCTCCTCACATCCCGCACGGGGCGGCAGGGCAGAGGTGCTCCCCACATCTCAGACGATGGGCGGCTGGGCAGAGACGCTCCTCACTTCCCAGATGGGATGGCGGCTGGGAAGAGGCACTCCTCACTTCCTAGATGGGATGGCGGCCGGGCAGAGACGCTCCTCACTTTCCAGACTGGGCAGCCAGGCAGAGGGGCTCCTCACATCCCAGACGATGGGCGGCCGGGCAGAGACGCTCCTCACTTCCCAGACGGGGTGGCGGCCGGGCAGAGGCTGCAATCTCGGCACCTTGGGAGGCCAAGGCAGGCTGCTGGGAGGTGAAGGTTGTAGCGAGCCGAGATCACGCCACTGCACTCCAGCCTGGGCACCATTGAGCACGGAGTGAACGAGACTCCGTCTGCAATCCCGGCACTTCAGGATGCCGAGGCTGGCGGATCACTCGCAGTTAGGAGCTGGAGACCAGCCCAGCCAACACAGCGAAACCCTGTCTCCACCAAAAAAATACGAAAACCAGTCAGGCGTGGCGGCGCGCGCCTGCAATCACAGGCAGTCAGCAGGCTGAGGCAGGAGAATCAGGCAGCAGTACCGTCCAGCTTCAGCTCGGCATCAGAGGGAGACCGTGGAGAGAGGGAGAGGGAGACCATGGGGAGAGGGAGAGGGAGAGGGCCCACACTTCTAAAAGTAATCAATATTCACAACAGTGGCAGGTAGCATCTAGGGACCATTTGACAACACTGATAAAAGGTCAACTGAGGCAGAATAAGATGCATAAAGAGTTAGTTTGAGCAAACAGTGATTTATGAAATCAGGAAGTACCAAACTGAAGGTATTCGGTTGGTGCAAAAGTAATTGTGGGTTTTGCCATTTCTTTAAATGGCAAAAACTGCAATTACTTTTGCAGCAACCTAACAGTTTTGGGCTCCACCACAGGGATGGAAGGGGAAAGCTTTATGGGGTGAACACAGACGCAAGGCAAAGGAGACACTTGGTTGGTTACAATGATGTGGTCGCCGTACTGGCTTATCCCATTGGAAAGTCCCTAGTTGAAGTTAATTGACAGCTTCTGATTGACTAAGCTCGTGTTTCATTTTTCTTTAATATAGACATTTATCAGAAATAGCTCAAGTTAGATTTCACTCAGGTGTTGCACATCCAGCAAGGCTGAGGTCACTTATGAAGTCTGACTGGCTTTGCTTAGGATTCTTTAGGCCTGTTTTCCTTTTTAATTTAACAATATAAAACAATTCATGTGACTCCAAAATATGTATGTACATAAGTCTACACAGAATGTGTATAAAACCAAGCTGGGTGCGGTGGCTCACGCCTATAATCCTAGCCACTTTGGGAGGCCGAGGCGGGTGAATCACCCGAGGTCAGGAGTTCAAGATCAGCCTGGCCAACATGGTGAAACCCCATGTCTACTAAAAATATAAAAATTAGCCAGGTGTTGGGGGAGGTGCCTATAATCCCAGCTACTCGGGAGGCTAAGGCAGGAAAACCGCTTGAACCCAGGGTGCAGAGGTTGCAGTGAGCTGAGATCGTACCACTGCAGCAGCTCCACCCTGGGTGAAAGAATAAGACTCCATCTCAAAAAAAAAAAAAAAAAAAGAGAATGTGTGTAAAACTAGATACTGATTTTTGCATATCTCAGCGGTAGAACTGTGATTTGTTTTATATTCATAACAATATTTAGTGAGAGTAAATTTTCAGAAAACTAAATTAAAATGTTTCCATTTTATAGAAATCATTTAGATTAAAATTTTGAGGCCAGGAGTTCAAGGCTGCAGTGCTCTGTGACCCCACCTGTGAATATCCTTTCCAGCCTGGACATAATAGCAAGACCTCATCTTTTTTTAAAAAAAGATACAATATTCATTAATTTTAACTTGTATTTTGCCTTTGAGCAGTTAATTTGGAATATTTTAGCAGATATCATTTTTGGAATCATGAAAAATGTTTAATGCTAAATTTATTTCAATTAATACTTTTATCAAAATACATCCAAATTTTTTTTCTGTATTAGTCCATTTTCATAGACATCCAAATTTTGTATACATTGAATATATTAAATTTCTAATCATTTAGAATATTACTCTCAATGGAACACAGATTGTGCAAAATGCTAGACTAGAACAACGTAGTGGTAATTTTGCTGAACAGACTAGCAGGACAAATATATTTTCTGGCATATATAATAATGAATGACATTTATATTTATCACTTATCCAAATGTCACTATGCATCAATGAGATGCCTAAGTGTGTAACAGAACAATTAAACTCAGCCGTGTCTGGTGTATCACCAGCTTTCAATCTCATGAAATAGTCAATTCCCACATGATTTACATTTTGCCATCATGAAGGGATGTCTGTGAAAGCAGAAGAAACTATGATCTAATGTGCTAGCTGGGTGTGTACCTAACTTTCAAATAGGAAACACGTCATGTGGGCTTCCGCTGGTGCTCCTTGCCCAGACCCCAAATAGTAGGGACCGGCTGGCAAGAGGTGGGCACTGAGGGATGTGTTGCCTGTTCCCGACCTCCAAGGTCACGGCAGAGCCCACGCTCAAAGGGGTCTCCAAAGAGGCAAGGAGCTGGGACGCTCCCAGGTGCCAGGAGGAAGCAGCTATTTCTCCCAGGACAAGGGTCAGACCTTCATGCATATCAAATCACGAGAGCTTTAGGAAATGCGATGGTCCTCGTCCTCCAGGGATTCCTGATGTCGCTGGCAGGGGGTGCATTAGTCAGCTCTGCCGCCATCACAGAATACCACGGCTGCGGCTATGACAGCAGAAATGTGTGTGTGCTCACATTCTGGGGACTGGGCGTCCAAGATCAAGGTGCGGTACAATCAGGCTCCCAGTGAGAGTTCTTCCTGGCTCGTAGACGGCCAACTTCTAGCTGCTCTCAGCACGGCCTCGTCTTTTTGCACACGCGGGGACAGAGTGAGACTTCTGTTTTCTCTTCTTCTAGGTGCACTGTATTGGTCCGGATTCTCCAAGGAGACAGCATCACCAGGAAATGTATACAGACACATGCGGGTGGGCTTGTCAGGGGGCTGACAGAGTCCCCGCGATGACAGAGGCTGAAAAGACCTGCGACGGGCTGTCTGCAGGCTGGAGTCCCTCGAGGCTGAGAGCGAGACTCAATCCAGGTCCTAAGCCTCAGAACCAGAGAAGGTGATGGCGTAAGTCACTCTGAAGCCAAAGGCCAGAGCACCCGAGGGGAAGCGGCTGCCTGGGGATCTGGGGATCATTCAGCTTAAAATGCCCCCAAGTGAAACAGGGACTCAGCCAAAGTTGAAAATTGGTGACATCTTTTACATCTTACTGGCCGCTGGTCAAGTCCTGAAGTCCAAAGGCTTTGGAGTTGTCCAAAGACAAGAGAGGATGAGTGTGTCCAGCCCAGCGGCTCCATGCCCTCGCCCCTTCTCTTCATTGTTCTCTCTGGACCCCCAGCATATTGGATGGGCCCACCCATACCCAGGGCAGATCCCTGCCTCCAGTCCCCTCAGACTTATGTGCTAATCCCCTCCAGAAACCCCACACAGACACGCCCACGATAACACTTTACCGGGTTCCCAGGTGTTCCTTAGTCCAGTCGAAAGGACACCAAAGATCACCCCTCAGGGCACTAATCCCATCGGATTAATCAGATTAATCCCTGTGGCCTCGTTTAACCAGGATCACTGCCTTAGAGGCCCCATTCTCAAAGACAGTTGCGATGGGGGTCACGGCTTCCACGGAGGAATCTTGATGGGACACAATCTAGTCCACACGCCTGGGAAGGCCCAGCTCTGGTCCTGAGACCCTGGGCCTGGGAGGCCTCCTTGGGGCAGCAGCAGTAGGGTGATGGGAATGTCCCCTTGGGCAGTCCCCCATGGCTGCCCAAGGGTTGAACAAGGTGGCAGACTTCATCACTCAGCCCCATCCGTGGCACACTGACCATGTAACCAAAAGGAGCAAACAATTGCTAGGATTTCCAACACAGTGATTCCCACCTGGCACAAGGGAAGCCCTCAAAACATGCCACCGTCCTGCCAGCTCTCTTCCCTGACCTCACACAAGGAGAAGGAGCGTCCAAGAAAGGCGTCAACCTCAAGAATGCAGGGGCCACGGTGGGCCACATGCTTTCTCTTGTTACTTTATTTACTTAAAAGAAACAGCCGCCGGGCACGGTGGCTCACACCTGTAATCCCAGCACTTGCGAGCGAATCACAAGGTCAGGAGTTCGAGACCAGCTTGGCCAATATGGTGACACCCCATCTCTACTAAAAATATAAAAATTAGCTGGGCATGGTGGCGGGCACCTGTTTTCCCACCTACTCTGGAGGCTGAAGCAGGAGAATCGCTTGAACCCGGGAGGCAGAGGTTGCAGTGAGCTGAGATCGCACCACTGCAGTCCAGCCTGGGTGACAGAGTGAGACTCTGTCTCAAAAAAAAAAAAAAAGAAAAAAAGAAAAAAGAAAAGAAAAGAAACACCGTGAGCAGCATCTTCCCGTGTTTCCAATGGCCTCTTGGGAAATGATCCTGAGAGGGGAATAACTCTCAGGGCACATGTACCCCCTAAAGGCACTCCCCCATGAGAGAACAGTCAGACTGCCACCCAGGAAGCCTGCATAGTTAACGCCAGGGCAATGCCTGCCTCCTGCAGGTGCATGGTCTAGCCCAGCACGCCAGGGCAGGCAATGGCAGGTACACACACAGTGACTGAGTCCCATGTGAGAACGTGATCAAAAATGCACGAGCACAGCAAATTCGTGCTCCTTCAAAGACACTCTCGTGGGCTGCATTTCAAAGTGCTCTGGCCTCCGGGGCCATTGGGCTGCTGGAGGCTGAGAAGTGGGCATCCCAGCCAGCACTCAACCCTGTCACTGTGCCCTGTCGTCTCTTAGCAGGGAAAGGCAGAACGCCTTGTTTGATGAAGTGTCTTATAAATCACGCCTTGTTTGATGAAGTGTCTTATAAATCTATTACATTTATTTTTTCAAGCTACTGGTCTTTTGTGACTATAAAATACTGGACTATTGGAGTCAATAACCATAAAAGGAAAATCTGTCTCACCCCTCATGGAGGACAAGATGAAACGGAAGAGGGAAATTGATTCCAGTATAGGTTTCTCCTTCTGGCTGGGATCACTGCTGGAAGGCGTCTGCTGTGACCCTGCCTGCTTTTGGAGCAGATGTAAAGGATGAAGCTCCTGGGTGCCTCCAGGCAGGGTGGCTGCTGGCCTGGCCTCAGGATTGGCACCACTGCATGTGGTCCAGGTGTGAGTTCACCCTGCTGGAAATATCCTGACTGTCCAGCACACAAAGCTAATACTGTTTTGAACCCTCTTCTTTGATGAACCAGGCGAATGTCCCCTTCGGAAACATTCTTTCACATCCACAAGCTAGGAGGACTTCCACTGCAACAATTTTAACTTCTGCCCAAAGAGTCAACTATTCCAAAACATGCTGAAACCTACCCAAGTGCACTGGCGTGAAGAGTGTCCTCTCAAAATTCGTCTTCACCCAAATCTCAGAATGAGATCTTCTTTGAGAATATTTGCAGATGTAATTAGTCAAGATGAGATCATATAAGGAGTGTGGGCCCTAAATCCAATGCCAGGTGACTTTATAAGGAGGGGAAATGATACAGAGGCAAAGACAGGGAAGTGACCAGGTGAAGACTGAGGCAGAGACTGGAGTGATGTGGCCACAAGCCAAGGAACATCCAGGGCTTCAAGAGGGGAGGAAGGACCCTCCTCTAGAGCCTTTGAAGTGAGCACGGCCCTGCCGATGCCTTGATTTCAGACTTCTGACCTCCAGAACTGTGGGAGTAAGTTTCTGTTGCTGTGAGCCACTAGTTTGCTTCCATCTGTTTCAGCAGCCATGAAAGCCCAATACATCGAGGCTTCACACTTATGGAAGTGGCACCATTAAAAACTGCTGTCGATGTATTTCTCTTTGGATGATATGTACGCTTCAAGTCTCATCCTGATATCTTTGCAGAAGGAGGAAACAATCATGGTAGTCATTGCCATTAACAAAGGTGCTTAGAAGCCACTGATTTAACACAGTATCTGTGACTGGAAACAGTCATTAAGAACACAGGACCAGGCACAGTGGTTCACACCTGTAATCCCAGTACTTCGAGAGGCTGAGGCGGGAGGATCATTTGAGTCCAAGAGTTTGAGACCAGCCAGACAACAGGGCAACGTTGTGAGACCTCATTTCTATAAAAAATCAAAAATCAGGCCGGGTGTGGTGGCTCAAGCCTGTAATCCCAGCACTTTGGGAGGCCGAGGCAGGCGGATCACGAGGTCAGGAGTTTGAGACCAGCTTGGCCAACATGGTGAAACCCCGTCTCTACTAAAAATACAAAAATTAGCTGGGTGTGGTGGCTCATGCCTGTTATCCCAGCTACTTGGGAGGCTGAAGCACGAGAATCACCTGAACCCAGGAGGCAGAGGTTGCAGTGAGCCAAGATTGTGCCACTGGACTCCAGCCTGGCGACAGAGCGAGACTCTGTCTCAAAAAAAAAAAAAAAAAAATCAAAAATTAGCTGAGTGTAGTGGCACATGCCTGTGGTTCCAGCTATTGGGAGGCTGAGGCAGGAGAATTGCTTGAGTCTAGGAAGTCAAGGCTGCAGTGAGCTGTGACTGCACCACTGCTCTCAGCTTGGGCAACAGAGTGTGATCCTGTCTCAAAAGAAAAAAAAGAACACAAGCTTTGGTGCGGGGCACACAGGATTAGATTCCAATGCTGGGGCTCCCTCAGGGAGTAGATTGGATACAGTGAACATACCCAGCTTTGTGTTCATGATTTCTTCTGCCTGGAATTCTCTCCTTGTCTCCCCCTCCTCCTCTCCCAGTTTACATGTCATGCTCTCAGATAAGCCTTCCCCGGTTACCTTTCTGCAGCTACAAAACACACACACGGTCGCATATGTGCATTTACCAGAGCAAGGGATTTTGTTAAATCTGTGCCTTATCTATTTTGTGTGTCGCTCCCAGGAGGGCAAGAGACAAAACCCATCGTCTTCGCCAGTGCTTCCTCGGCACCTAGTCCAACTCAGCACAAGTACGAAGAACCAATAAATGAGCAGTGGCAGGTTCCTGGATGGGCATGGGAACAACACAGCTGAGCATGACAGGTCGCCCCAGGAAATGCAAAGCTGATGAAACCTGAGCCACAGAGGTGGTGTCAGTGAGAAACCAAGGCTGCTGCTGGGTGGTCCTGTGGACACCGAAGCAGGAAAGTGAGTCTGTAAAGAGAGCAGGAGGAAGGAAAGAAAAAGAGGGAGAGGAGGGGGAGAAATAGACCAAGGCTGGTGAAAGAGAAGTGGGGACAAAAAAGGCAGAGGGGCAGAAACAGACAGACAGACAGACAGAGGGAGAGGGAGAGGGAGAGAGAGAGAGAGAGAGAGAGAGAGAGAGAGAGAGAGAGAGAGAGAGAGACAGAGACAGAGACATCGCTTCCAGCCAAGATGGAGGAAGGGAAACTGGATTTAGCGTCCTACCTGAAACCACCCAAAATATATCCAAACCACCAAAATATGTAAAAAGAAAAATAACATATATTTTCAAAGTATAGGACAGGATGCACAGGAGAGAGGAAATAATGAGGTGAGCCCTATGATGACTCCCAGCTTTCTGCCTCCTCAGGGTTTCCAGACCATGCTGCAAGCAAGGACCACCCAGGCAAACTCCCAGAGTGGAGGCGATGGGGCTGAGAACACAGGAAGGCCAAGGTAGCTCCAGTTTGTGGGACAAAACCAGGAGGAGAGAGAATGGAACGGAGCCTAGTAGAGATGTGTTCCCTTATTCAGAATATGATGGATGCAAGCATGTAACAAACCACCTTAGGCCGGAGAAAGAACCACCCAAAAGGACTGGCAAAAATAATACATACTAATTACATAGGCCAGGAACAGTGTCTGTTCCCATCTCACCATTCATGGGGCAGTGAACATACAGAAGGGTTTTGCCTCACTTAATGGGAAATAATCAGACATAGGCTGAACACTGCCATCATCCCGCCCAACGAATATTCAAAGCAAGACCCAAAAGGATCAAGCTGTTTCTAAGTAAATTAACTAAATCCCGCCCCCAAAAAGCTCAAGAATATGTACAGAAATCCAAAACACACAGGTCCAACAAGATTAAATTCATATTTTATAATGTTTAGCAATAGAAAATTCAATTAATAAAACAATGAAAAATTATCACACATGCAAAGAAGAAAATATGACCCATAATGAGGAAAATAACCAATCAAAAGTAAGCAAAAATACCAATGTTATAATTAGCAGACAAAGCATTCAAATCATATTAACTGTATTCTGTATGTTCAAAAAGGTAAGTGGCAACATGGAAAAAAATTAAACTTCCAAAGATAAAAACTACAATATCTGAAGTGAAAAATACCCTGAATAGAATTAATGGCAAATTACACATCACACAAAAAGATTTGTGAACTTGAAGTCAGAGCAATAGAAACTGCCTAAAATGAAACACACAAAGAAAATAATAATAACACCAACAAATGATAATAAAAGAAGAGAGTATCAGTGAACCATGAAACAATGTCAAGCAGCCTAATATGTACATAGTTGGAGTTTCTAAAAAAAAAGAGGGGGGAACAGAACAAATATTTCTATTTTTGGCCAAAAGTTATTCAAATTTTATGAAAACTATAAACTCCCAGCTTCATGAAGCTCAATGTAACCTAAGCACAAGAATCATAAAGAAAATTACACCAAGGCACAACATAACAAAATGGCTCAAAACCAAAGATAAAGAAAAAATCTTAAAAGCAGACTAGGGAAGGGAGACATGTTACATCCAGAAAACAAACTTAAGAATGACAGCAGATTTCTTGATGGAAATGATTCAAGTGAGCAGACAGTGGACTGGCATCTTTAAACGAAAAAAGTCAAACTAGAATTCTATAAGCAGTGAATATATCTTTCAGAAATGAAGTAGCCGAAAGAATTCATGACCAGGAGATCTGTCCTACAATAAATGTTAATAGAAATTCTTGAGGCAGAAGAAAATGATACCAGATAAAAATATGAATTACACAAAAGAGTGAAGATGATCAGAAATGGTAACCATGAGGCTAAATATGCAAGTTTTTCTTATTTAAACCCCTTTAAGACAACTGACTAAGCAGGAAAAAAATGTATCATGGGGTTTACAAGACATATAGAAGAAAAATATACAACAATAGCACAAAGGTTGGAGTGGGAAAATGGAAGCATATTATTGTAAAGTTCTTATGCTTACCTGAACTGGTATAATACTACTTGATGATAAAAGTGTAGTAAGATAAAGATTTATGCTATGAACCCTAAGCCAACCATTGAAAGAACAAAACAAAGAGTAATCGCAGATAAACCAATAAAGATAAATGGAATCATAAAATTCTATTAATCTAAAAGAAGACAGAAAAAGAAGAAAAGCAGAATGATGTAACAAAAAGAAAATAAATAGTAAGATGACAGATTTAAATCAAACCATTATCAATTTTTCCATTAAATGTGACCCAACTCTAAGCTTTCTATAAGAAATGCACTTTAAACCAATAAGCCAATTCAAAAATAGGCAAAGAATTTGAATAGACATTTCTCCAAATAAAATATGCAAATCGCAAATAAGCACGTGAAAAAAACATCCAACAGCATTAGGCATTTGGGGAATGCAGATCAAAACAACAATGAGATACCACTTTATATCTACTAAGAGGGCAATAACAATAATGATAATAATAAGTGGAAAATGACACATTTGGTGAGTATGTAGAGAAACTGGAACCCTCATGCACTGCTAGTAGAAATGTAAATGGCGTGGCCACTATGGAAAATAGGATAGCACTTTTCCAGAAGTTTAAATAGAGAGTAACATCTGATCCAGCAATTCCACTCCTAGTTATAAATCCAAAAGAAGAGAGCGTAGGGACTTAAACAGAGCTTTGTACATGAATGTTCACAGCAACAGTATTCACAAGCACCAAAATGTGGAAACAACCCTTTCACCTGTCCATCAACTGATGAATGAATAAATAGAATGTGGTCTATTCATACAGTGGAATAAAACTCAGTCTTAAAAAGGAAGGAAATTCTGACTCATGCTACAACATGCACAAGCTTTGAAAACATTATGCTAAATAAGCCAGACACAGTAGGAGACATCTTATATGATTCTACTTATATGAGGTACCTAGAATAGCCAAATTCGTAAAGCCAGAAAGTAGACTGGTGGTTACCAGAGGCCAGAAAGAGACGGGAGAGGAACTATTGTTTAATGGGCACAGAGATTTTGTGAAAAATGACAAAAGAAAGTTTTGGGTATAGACAGAGTGGTGGTTACACAATGTTGTGAATGTATTTAATACCACTGAGTCGTACACTCCTGAATGGTTAAGATGATAGATATTATGCTATGCACATTTTACAACAATTTAAAAAGTCTTTAAAAAGAACTATGCTTTAAAAATAAAGACAAATACAAATAAAAAGTAACTGGATACAAAAAAGCATACTTAGTATTAATTTGGCCAGGCGCGGTGACTCACACCTGTAATCCCAGCACTTTGGGAGGCTGAGGCAGGTGGATCACTTGAGCCCAGGAGTTCAAGACCAGCCTGGCCAACACGGTGAAACACTGTCTCTACTAAAAATACAAAAATTATTGGGAGTGGTGGTGCACGCCTGTAATCCCAGCTACTCAGCAGGCTGAGGCATGAGAGTCACTTGAATCTGGGAGGCAGGGGTTGCAGTGAGCTGAGGTTGCACCACTGCACTCCAGCCTGGGTGACAGAATGAGACTTCGTCTGAAGTGAATGAATGAATGAATAAAATAAATAAAAGAATAAGTTAATATTAATCAAAAGAAAATTGGAGGATTATATTTTTTTCCAGAAAGCTGGATAAAAGGAAACATCTCAATGCCTTCTGTGAGGCCAATATTACCCCGATACGAAAAAGAAAACACAGACCAACATTCTTCATGAACACAGATGCAAAAAGTCAAAATAAAACAACAAATCAAATCCAACAATATGTAAAAAGGATATTTCATAACCAAGTGTGATTTTGATCAGGAACTGATCAAATTTAACATTTGGTTCAACATTTGAAATTAACTGTTGATTTAACATTTGAAAATCAAAGCATACTAACAAACCATATTAACAAACAAAAGCTAAAAACCCTATGAGTAGCTCAATAGTTGCAGAAAAAGCATTTCATAAAATCTAACACAGATTCAGGATAAAATCCCTCAGCAAAGCAGAACTGGAAGGGAGTCTTCTCAGCCTGAGAAAAGGCATCTCTGAAAAACCCACAGTGTCCACCGTATTTACATGGGAAGACTGAGAACTTCCTCCCTAAGATCCTTGATCTTACAAGGCTGAGGCGTCCACTTTCACACTTCTCCTCAGCAAGACAAGAAAAATACATAAAATGCATCCAGAGTGAGATGGAAGAAATAAAACCATCCTTGTTTGCAGAAGACATGATTGTCCCCATAGAAAATCCATTGGAATCCTTGAAAAAACTACTAGAACAAGTGATTTTTAGCAAGACTGAAGAAGGCAACAGGAATATACAGCAATCAATTATATTTCTATATAATTGCAATGAATGATTGGAAGTTGAAATGTCAAAACAACTCTATTTACAAACGCCAACAGAAAATAAGACATGCTTAGGAGAAAATCTTGGCGAAAGATGTGAAAGATTTACACACTGAAAACAACAAAACACTGCTGCAAGAAACTACAGATGACTCGATAACCGAGGTGCCACCTTGCAATGTGAGTCTCAAAGTCCACCTTCATGCAAACCTCTGCTGGCCAATTAAGGTTACAGGACTTCCAGGCACAGGACATCCCGGGAGCTGACAACCAGTGTTCACGCTGTAACCTGCCTGCCACTTGGGAATGACAAGCATCTTGCTGAATTTCCCGGGGACAAATGTCATTATCTTCACTTTGCACTTGCAGAAAAACATGACTCAGAAGCAAATAGCTCTGGGCATCCTTATTCCAGGTGTACTCACAATTACATCTAACTCCAGATGTGCCGACCAACACCTTGTTATTTATCAGAACAAACCACGGGGCACAGAATATGTGCTTTTCTTTGAATGGAGTCTACCTGCTGGCATTCTTTATCAAGAGGTACAGGATAGAAGGAAAGAGAACAGAGGAAGTGGTTTCCAAAGAAAAATGTGGAGGAGGTGACAAGCTTTGTTAATTTATGGTCTGGGCAGTTAAAACAGCTTTTCCTACCAGGGTAGGAGCAGAGGGAAAGCAAGAAAACACGAAGTTCCTTACCCTGTGCCCATCTAACAGCGCTTTGTACAAGAAGTCGACAGTGAAAGTCTAGGTTGCAAAGAAAAAAAGAAAAAAAACCCCACACACAAAGTTCAGTTTCTAATGAAAATACATACAGGCTTCTAGAAAACATCTACAGATGGCATTTTTTTGGCGGGGGCGGCGGGAATGGCATGTTTGAACAAACCTGTCAATCCACGTAAGCCACACTACACTAGGCCACACACCAATGTGGATCAAATGAATTTCAGCTCAGGAACTTACACTTTTAGGAAGTGCTGAAGCTACAACCCAAGAAGGACGGAATTTTTACCAGCCACCACTCTTACATATACCACTGGAGAGGAAGCAAAAATTCAGGGGCAAGGTCAGACCATCGGACAGTCCCTCCCCTCCACCAACGCCCACGAGGCACAGCCCCGTCCGGCTGTCTAGTGTATTTCTGGCCATAAAGCAACCTTCCACTTCCATGTGGCAAATCAGCCTTACCTCTGCTTGAAATCACACACAAAAAACAGCAGCGAAGGGATTTCATTTTTAATGCATATAAACACAAGGACAAACAGGAAAGGAGAAGCTGGGAAAGAAACCAGAGATGGCGGAAGATCCTTGAGTGCAACTGCTGACGAGGGGAGGTCTGGAGAAGCCGACCAGCTTGCAGCACAGAAGTGCAAGAAGGCCCAGGAACGGAATTGCAGGTTCCTCCCGCTGAGCTGAAGGCAGGAAGCCTGGTTCAAAGTTTGTTAATAAGGTAGCACTTGGATCCCCTCAACACAGCCAGCTCCTCTTTCTCCACTACATCACTCTCATGTGCAAAGAAGCCACTGGGTAACAAGTGGCACATGGCCTTTAAGAATGGCAATGACAGCTGGGCACGGTGACATGTGCCTGCAGACCCAGCTGCTTGGGAGGGAGGGCTAGACAGGAGGATCGCCGGAGCCCAGGAGTTCAGGGCCAATTTGGGCAACATAATGAGGCTCTAAAAGCAAACAAACAAACAAAAAAGGCAATGGTCATATGACAATTCAGGATCTCAGAAGAATGAAGCCAAGGTCAGAATCTCATCTTGACAACCCCAGTGTCAAAGAAAACCAATCGGAGTGGCCACCAGCAAGAGGAAAGGGCAGGTGCTGAAAAGAAGCAGCAGAAGCCTCCAAGCAAGGCGCCCGCTCATGGTGAAGCACTGCAATACCCTACATCCAAGGCAACCGTGACACCGCATGCATAACGGAACCAGGACAACAAAGAGCCGCAGGTGTGGGGACGTGCCCAGGAATCCTCAATCCTGGACGCCGTCAGAGCCACCTGTGGAGCAATAAGATGTTCAGGTTCCCAGCCCCCCCTCCCCCGCCAACCCAGATCTACTGAATCCGAATCTCCAGGGGAACAAGTGGGAAGAAGAATTTGTATTTTAGCAAGAAACCTACGATTCCAAGGGGCCACCTGGATGAAGCATCATGGGTGTGACCAACCTTGCCGGAGGGGCAGCGCCCTGCAGTAACCCTGGCAGGGGGTCCCTCTCTATCCCTGTCTCCCCCTCATAGAGGATGGCTGTGATGACAAGTGTTTTCTCTCCTGAGGAGGAACAGAAATCTGCTTCCCAGCAAGTTCCAGAGGCTAGGGCCTTTTCCTTCCCCAAGGCAGCATCTTCTTTAGGCAAAAAAAAAAAAATCTCTCCAAACATGGTCCTATTCCAGGTTCCCATGCCTGTAAGTAGCACGGCTGTCCATCTGCTGGGAGGAGATTGTTTTCGGGGCTCCTGAGTTTCTACACACAGAGCAGAAACAGTGCCTGTCTTTGTTCAGATGATCTTTTCAAATGTGCTTGTAGATGGAACAGCCTTGAAGATGGATTTGTTTCTTGGGACTACCACGACAAAGTACCACAAACTGGAATTGAAGCAAAAACGGCAGAAATGTATTATCTGACAGCTCTGGAGGCCAGAAGTCCAAGATCATGGTGTGGGCAGGGTTGGTTCCTTCTGAGGCTGTGAGGAGGCATCTGCTCCAGGCCTGTCCCCCAGCTTCAGGTGCATGGCCTCAGGCGTTCCTTGGCTGGTAGGTGACCATCTTCTCCCTGTGTCTTCACACGGTCTTCCCTCCATGTCTGTGTCTGAATTCCTCCTTCTGATAAGGATGCCAGTCATTCTAGATCTGGACCCATCTAACATTTCATTTCAACTTGATCATCTGCAAAGTCCCTATTTCCAAAGAAGGTCTCATTCTCAGGTCGAGGGGTTAGGACTTCAACATATTTTATGGGGAGCGGGGATGCAAGGTAACCCATAATGGAAGATATGGTGTTTCCCTCTGGTACAAACGGCAGACAGGCTCACTGTCTAGCATAAAATATTTCGCTTCCCTAAGCTCAATGTTTCTCTCCCACAGCGTGCCCCACCATGCATGCTGGCATCATCCATGCCTCTCTGCATCACAGTGTGGGAATCAGGGCTCAGTAAACCAGCACGAAAACCCTGAGGCTCTGTCTAGTGCTACTGGTGTGAGTAATAAACTCCTTCATCTCTGACCTGGGAGTCTTGTGTCTTCATGAAACTCTGGTGAGCTCACTTGTTAGCCAGCCAGGAGGGGAAATCTCAAAGCCTTCAAGGCTCTTGACAGTTTCGATGAGGAGGATGGGATACTCCCACAGACAAGGCTTTCTGGAAGGCGAAATAAAGAGGCTCTGCAGGCTGGGCTCCAAGGATATGAGAACCCTCCCTGGATCAGGTAGCAAATGTTCTCGTCCAAGTGATGGAGGGACAAGGGGCAAAGGTGCTGGAGTTTCGAGGCTGAGGATGAGACCCTGGATGGAACAGGCTGCCCGACTCATGCTGTGGGTGAAACTCACTCTCCCCCGGGTGAGCAGAGAGGGGCTCCTATCAGGACAATGAGGTGGTACTACCCGCAGTCCCAGCTGTGAGGCCACAGGGCTGCAGCTGCTGGGCCAAGACTCTGGCATGCTTTAGAACGGTGTCAGTGAGGAGGTGCTTGCTTTTCAATGCAAAGCTCTAAGCAAACAGAAAACAGCAGCCCTTCATCTGGCTGTGCCCTGAGCAACTGCGACACTGCTAGAAATCACTACATCAATGCATGCGGCTCACAGGCACAAGGCCACTCTCCCTCTGCTCCCATGGATCCCTGACACCCCTCTACCCTGACTGCAGCTGCTGTAAGGAGAGAGATGACTGGGGGCAGGTGGCTCCATCCCCAAGAAACCCCAAAGACCACCCAGGCCCACCCAGCATGCTGGGAAACTTCAGGGAGGGGAGGAGCTCCAGCTTTTAGGGCTCTGTTGGAGACAGGTGCCCAAGTCACAACCCCACCCGGTCTCATGGTGGGAGATGGTGCCTGGACCCAGCTGATGAGGCCAAGTTTATTGGGGAGAGGGAAGCTAATGTAACCTTGTAGGGGGAGAGGTTGGACCACGTCAACAAACTGGTTTCGTGGCCTCCACATCCAAAAGTAACATGGGAAGGGGTGTGTTCTACGCTTGTACTTCCCCATTTCACACGGGCCAAGAAGGACGCTCCTGACTGGGGAGCACTAACTAGAGCCCCTGGGCTACAACCCTGACGACTCCATCAAGCTGCCCATCTCTTGAGATTACCGACTGGGCAGAGGGAGACAGCCCCTCCCCGGCGGCACCTGGACTTGCCTGGCACGGTTCCCAGGCACCCACCTGTCACTATGCTCTTTTTGAAACTGAGCATCTGATCCATGGAGGGAGGCCTTGTGATTTTCAGGCTTGATATTCCCATTTTTGGGTGGGCCAGCTCTGACTCAATGGCCCACAAGATAGGAAAGGCCCCACAAGCCTCGCTGGTCAAACAACCATGGTCTATTCCACACTGAGGCCAGGCTGCACACAGAGGCATCCTGGCCCCCACGAAAAGCAATGGCTCTCGCGTCCATCACTTGAAACAATGTCGCTGGCTTCATGGGGCCCTTGATTCAGAGTTTGCCCCTGAATGTCGGGGCTGGGTTCACTGATGGTTCAACAATACTGAAGCCCAATGATACCCACTGGGCTGCAGCAGCTGCTCAACCCGAGGGCTGGCTCTGTAGAACTGCAGGTGCCCACGGCCATGCCACTTAGCGGGCAGGACTCAGGGCCCTTCTCAAACCTGTGGCCAACTCTCCTCCTGATGAACTTGGTTATGTTTTTACTGACCCATGGGCAGCTGCTGGCAGCAACCTCACTGTCTGGTCTGCCACTTGGAACAGTCAGATTAAAGACGTCCTTCTTTGGGGCCACACATTCTGGCAAGTCACGGCGGCTGATTGAACATTCTGGGTCAGCATGTAGATGCCTGAGCTCAGAGTCCATTTGTTCTTTGATGAGACTGAATAAGACCAAGCTGTTGACTGGGCCTGCACTGCCCAGAGGCCACCACTACTACCCAGATGCACCATCATACCAGAGAGCACCCCATCCACCACTGCCTGGGCACAAAGCTAAACACTCTGTTCCTGACGCAGAGGCCATCTCTGCATACCAGACTTGTGACTCCTGCCCACAGCTGTCCCGTCTGTACCCCGTGAGGGCAGGCCCATTGCTCCTGCCTCCTCTCAGCCGATCAACCATCTCAAAATGTGGTGCTCTCCCCACCAGGGGTACCGGTGGGGGCCTCAGCAACACTGAGACCATTATAGGCTACCATGATGCTGTCCCAATACAATCAGCCAGCACTGCCCACACTGTTATGGTTGTTGAAACTCACCTGTGGCATGACTTCAACTTTCCAGACCATCTACACTCAATGATGGTGTACCTTGTATCACAAAAGCCACTTGCCAGCAGGCAGAGCGTTGAGACACTCGAGGGACTGTCTACCCTCCCTACTCTCCACCCTTCCTACCTTCACCTCCTTCTGGTCCTTAGTAGAAAAGTCTGATCACTATATATGGCTAATCCAGGAAGGAATCATCTCCTCTTGGCCACATTCTGAGTAATGGCCAGGAAGAGAAGGATGGGGATTATATAGACCAACTGTGAAAACTCAAGGTTCCACCCTGACCATTCTTGGGCATGAAGCTTCTTTCTTCCCTCTAGCAGCGAGCCCAGGCTGGTCTGGTTGGTGCAGCCTCCAGGTGACTACCCAGCCAAACGGGGACCTGGAGGGTTCAAATCTCATTCCAGTTCAGCCACCTGGATTCTCCTGTTGACTGACATGGTCCTGGGTTGCAAGGACAACACACACTTGGGAGAGTACACTGCTGACCATGTCCTTCCACATGGGACAAAGCAGATACAATGGGTCCTCCAGCTTTATAAAAATGCCTCTTGCACGTGACCCTTCAGAATGAAAGTCTGGGGGCAAGGAGGGGACAATCAAGGAAGAAGGTGAAGTTGCAGCTATTGTGACGAGACACCAATTTGGGGGGTGGGTGGGGAAAGAACAGCAACCCCAGAGCCTGGAGAGGGAGGGGGACATTAACAGTCTTGCCTGTCTCCCATGGCGCATTCCCAACAATGGAAAATACAATGGTACGGTGACACCCCCAAAGGGTGGTACATTTCACTGGCTGCTGGGTCTAGCATTCTCTGCCTTTCTGAGTCATCCATGGCTCATTCACCACGATGGAAAATACACTGGTACAGTGACGCCCCAAAAGTGTGATAAATTTCACTGGCTGCTGGGTCTGGCATTCTCTGAACCCAATTTGATGCCCATTCACCTTACTGTCACTGAGAAACCTGTCAGAAAGCACATGGGAGAACTTCAGTCCTGCACGTCCCAGGCAAAACACAAGTCAACACCTGCTGATGTCTTCCCCAGCCCCAGCCTCACCCCTACTCCTGGAACCACTGGCCAGTCATTCGGTGGAGTGGACAAATGCCGTCTGGCATGGACACATTGAACAGTTTGGACCCGCAGACTGAACTGAATTAATCTAACTGAACCAGGCGCCTTAAGGTCTATCAGTCATCCAGGAGTCCATGTTGGAGACACTGACAACCTCTATCCCCCAACCTATGGAGGTCCCTCTTGCAGGGGCTCCAGCAATTGTAAGCAACCCTTACTTTCCAGGGCACCGTGTGCCCACAGCTCTCTACTTCCTGTGTGGAAGCCAAGTGTCACCTTGCTTCCCTCCTGAGAACACGGACACTCGTACCTTAGAGGGGTCATAAGAGACCTTCGGGTATGTAAGCAGAAGCACTCCCTGCATGTCACATAGCCCTCGATCACTGAGAAGTTCCCTCCAAAGTGGAGCTGCCCTCAGTGACTTGGTTAACTTTTCGGGTTAGTGGCACATTATTTCTGTGAATGCTGCAGACAGCTATCCATAGGAGACATCTAACTAGAAAAGGTTGTAGGAAACGTGTCCCAGGACTTAGGGAAGGTGATCAATGCCACTACCTCGGCCCTCGGCATTCAGCCCAGCCTCACCTCACCATCCAGAAGTGTCACAGATGACAGGATTGCCTTTGACTTCTTCCTTGTGGTTCAAGGCGAAGTCTGTGCAATTGCCGATTCCTCCTGCCGTAGCTGGTTTATTAACACATGCCGCCAAGCGGAAAGGTCAACAGAAACTTACAGAGAAACTAGCTTGGTTTCTAAGGGGACCCTGAAGGCTTGTGGGATTTGCTCAGCTGGCTGGATCCAGGACCCTGGAAGTCACAATTGAGGTTAATACTGCAGTCCTGTTGGCTGCTGTCTTAATTAAAGACTGCATGAGACAAATGGGGTGGATTTGGTCCCAATCTGCCTGTTAATCAGCATGGCCAACAGAATGGCACACTCAGGAAAATTTGCCAGGATGATGTAGACATGAGGGGTAGATATTGCTCAGGAACAGTTCTTCATGGGTTTCTCATGTTTTATTCAGGGACAGTTCTTCACGGGTTTCTCATGTTTTGTTTGGGGACAGTTTTTCATGGGTTTCTCATGTTTTGTTTGGAGACAGTTTTTCATGGGTTTCTCACGTTTTATTCAGGGACAGTTCTTCATGGGTTTCTCGTGTTTTATTCAGGACACTTCATGGGTTTCTCATGTTTTATTCAGGACAGTTCATGGGTTTTTCATGTTTTATTCAGGACAGTTCATGGGTTTCTCATGTTTTATTCAGCACAGTTCATGGGTTTCTCATGTTTTATTCAGCACAGTTCAAGGGTTTCTCATGTTTGCCCAGGAACCGTTCTTCATGGGTTTTCATGTCAGGAATGTACAGACCCAGGCAGAAGCCTCAGTGGGAGGCAGTACTTGGTGGGTTTCTCTTGTTCTGTGTGTTGCGTGGGCAGAGGCACTGACTCTGCCTTTTTCTGGCCCATCCTCTAAGATGTTTGTACTGCGAGCAGCCTTGGAAGTTAGAGACAGTGTCTTCCTCTGGAGCAAAGGGCAAGTGTGCAGAAGTCATCCTTTATCAAGGATTCTATTTCCCTAAACTCAGCGCTTCCCTCCCACAACGCAACGTGCTGTGCATGTGGTGCCGGGTGGCCTTCCCTGCACTGTCCTTGGAAATGCTCTTCCTACTGGTGTTGCTGTGAGGAAGGAACTGACCTTCATCTCTGATCCAGAGGCTTCGTGTCTTCTACTGGTATCACGAAACTGAGGTAGGCTAACCTGGCGGGTCAAAGGTCAGACCCCACACAGTCCTTGCCACCACACATCTGCTCCTCCCATTAGAAACTGAGACATCACCGGAGACGTTTCCCTCTGCCTCTGCCCCGTTTTCCCAGCCACTCCTGAGACCTGGTGATCTTGCCACCTCCATCTCTCTCACATCCTGCTGAGACCTCCCCTTAGTATCCCCTGCTGGTGTCACTCTGGTCATGGACCACTGGAGCTGCCCACTCACCATCCTACCCCCATCTGCCCAGCCCCTTCCAGCATACGCCTGAGAAGGTCAGCCCCAAACGCCCTCAGCAGCCCATGCCCAGGCCTCAGTACACACCATCCCTCAGCAAGTTGTGCGTTCCCAACCAGGACCTGCTGAGGTCTCTCCAGAAACAGAATCCCCTCCCTCTGGGGAGAAGGACTTCGGCGCAAGGGAACAGGAAAACACTGCAAATATTTACAGTGGACGTACGAAAAGGCACAGGAATACTGAGTAATTGAAAGGTGGAAATAAACGAGGCCCCATGAATTACCCTGGCAACCAGGTACAGCCGTGAAGACAATGAAATTCACTGTGCCTATAACCCAAAGTCAAGATGAAACTGAGGTGTGGGCCCAAATGCACCGTGCTGGTGCTAGAGTGCCCTGCTCACTCATCTGTCGCCCACCACACCTCTCCTCATCTGCTGAGGGCCTGCCACGTCCCTGCACTGTGCTGGGTGCTGGCCTCACTGAGATAACTACGACCACCTCCAAATGGAGCTAAGGCCTACGTGGTTTCTCAGGGACCCTGACCTTCTCTCTAGCAGGGGTCACCCCTCACAGAGGCAAGTGATGGGTCAAGGTGGGTGGAAGCAAACCCTGGGGTTCTCTCAATACAGCAGGAGCGGGCCCCAGCTCCACGGCCCCCCACTCCCACCTAGATGGAGTCCCAGGAAGCTGCCCCACCACAGGGCAACAGCCAGGTCACAGCAACCACAGACGGCCAGGGAAGACGGAGCTCCCAGCTCCCAGTGATGAGGCTCTCCGGGTTGGGTTGTGAAATAGTCACATCTGCCATTCTCGGCTGAAATCCCCGACCACTCATTCCCTCTCCCTCCCCTTGTTCCAGGTTCTCATTCCTGAGGCTCCTCCTGGCCACCCCGGCTTCCCGCCATCCACCAGCAGGTGTGTGATTCCCCCAGGGGCTCCCAGACCCCGTTCTGTTCCATTTCCTGGCTCAGCGGTGCTGTTCAGGGCTTATTCCAGTCGCTGGTGCCTCGCTGGTGACCAATCAGTGCCTGTGTAATTGACAAACTCTACCAAACCTCAGAGAGTTTCTCAGTAGAGAGAGTCACCCCAACTTTATTATTTTTTATTCTTTTTCTTTTTGAGATTGAGTCCCACCCTGTTGTCCAGGCTGGAGTGCAGTAACACAATCACGGCTCGCTGCAGCCTCAACCTCCCAGGTTCAAGCAATCCTCCCATCTCAGCTTCCTGAGTAGCTGGGACTACAGGAGCACAACCCCCACACCCAGCTAAGTTTTTTTTATTTTTTGTAGACTCAGGGTTTCTCCATGTTGCCCAGGCTGGTCTCAAACTCCTGGGCTCAAGCAATTCGCCCGCGTTGGCCTCCCAAAGTGCTGGGCGTGAGCCACCGTGCCTGGCCATGGTCCCAACTTTACCATGAGCCCACCAACACTCAGAGAGGACAAGCTCTGTATCTGAGGCCAGCAGGTCTCAGGGACAAACTCCATGTCCAGAGCTCCCCTCCCAAAGCCTGTGCTGCTGCCCTTGGGGGTGAATGAACACGGGAAAGGCCGCAGCTGAGGCCTGGGGAAGCTCTTCTGCCAGCCTGGCTTCAAAGCCCCAGCATCTGGGGGAGGCTTCACCACGACTGTTAGGACAAGACGGGCACAGTAAGGAAGCTGAGCACTCCGAGCACGAGGGCCCAGCCCAAGCGTCCAGTAGCATGGTGAAGAGCACAGCTGACTTGCTCCCAGCAGCCCAGCCCTTATCTGCAAGGAAGCCCCAAGTCATCCACACGTAGGTCGACCAACAGCAGAGACGTCCACCTGCAGGGCCCCAACCCCACGACTGAAAAAGAAACCAGCCAAGCACAGGCACTGCTGCCCAAACTGCCCAGTGGCTACAGCTGCCATTATTCAGTCCTCGCTCTTATCCAAGCTGGCCTTGGACTAGAAGATGGCCTTGCCCCTTTGGAGCAGAGGGGAAATGCTTCTGCAGCTGCAAAGGTGGGCGTTGTTGGCAGCAGCTTCAGAAGGCTTTCGCTTCTTGTGTTCTCCTTCCAAGTAATCAATAACCAGGCCCTAGAGGCAGCGGTGCTAAGTACTTAGCAAGGGGACAGCGTGAGGCTCCATCCAGACCCTTAAGCATCTCGGTACCCGTCTGCCGCACTCCTGAACTAACCCCTGCAATGGGAGAAAGGGACGTCTATACCACTTCTCAGAAGAAGTGTGGCTCACCATTGTCTGGAAAATGAGGCCTTGGAACCAACAGATGGTTGATGGGGAACAAGAGAAAGTGCGTCACCACCCACCAAGGCATGAGGCCTCTGCAGGGAATCGGCCTCTTAAGGCCTCTCCCCTTTCTGACAACGTATGTGCAGAAGTGTGTGACGTCCTGCAGGCCGTGACAGAATGCCAGGACATGGGAACAAGGGCTGCACGCAGGCGTTGAGAGGAGGCTTCTGCAGGTCAGGCAGAGCCGAGTCCCAATCCCACGGCTCCACCCTGGGCTGCGTGGCCTGCACGAACCCATCATTTCTGTCTCGGCCTCACTTTCCCCATCTGGAAGGTGGACGTCCAGCCCCTGCGGTGCTGGAGAAGGCCATTGTGAAGCTTAAATGTGAGGTATCTCTGGTGTGTTTGTGCATACATATGCATGCATGCATCCCTTTCTCCCATGCAATGGGAGAAAGGGACGTCTACGCCACTTCTCAGAGGAATTGGGGCTCACCAAGAAATACCTCACACCAGAGATACCAGGCACAGTGGCTCACGCCTGTAATCCAGGACTTTAGGAGGCTGAGGCAGGAGGATCACTTGAGCTCAAGAGGTCAAGGCTGCAGTAAGCCACGATTGCTCCGGTGCACTCCAGCCTGGGCAACAGAGCAAGACCTTGTCTAAAGAAAAAAGAAAAAAAAAATGCAAAAATGAACGCAGCACACTCAGCTGTATCCCCATCCATGCTATGTCTTTGTTCACAATTTAATACTGATAAACTGTGTGTTATGAGGGAGACAGGACGCTGCATATCACCTCAGATGTCTTCGCCTGGGCTACCGTACAAAGCCCGGCAGACAGGGCAGCTTACACAACAGACATTCATTATCTCACATCCCAGAGGCTGGAGTCCGCACAGGGCTGGGTCCTCCTGAGGCCTCTCTGCTTGGCTTGCAGACACCACCTTCTCACTGTGTCCTCACAGGGTCATCCCTCCACGCATCCCTCATAGGGTCATCCCTCCACGCATCCACAGGGTCATCTGTTTCCTCATCTCCTCCTCTGTTTTTTGTTTTGTTTTGTTTGGAGATGGGGTCTCACTCTGTCTGTCACCCAGACTGGAGTGCAATGGCGTGATCTCAGCTCACTATAACCTCTGCCTCCCAGGTTCAAGGGATTCTCCTGCCTTAGCCTCCCAGTAGCTGTGATTACAGACATGCACCACTACGCCTGGCTACTTTTTGTATTTGTAATAGAGACGGAGTTTCACCATGTTGGCCAGGCTGGTCTCGAACTCCTGGCCTCAGGTGCCTGCCTCAGCCTCCCAAAGTGCTGGGATTACAGGTGTGAGCCACTGTGCCCAGCCCTTAACTTTATTTTTTATTTTTTTTAAGATAGAGTCTCGCTCTGTCGCCCAGGCTGGAGTGCAGTGACGTGATCTCAGTTCACTGTAACCTCCGCCTCCTGTGTTCAAGTGATTCTCCTGCCTCAGCCTCCTGAATAGCTGGGACTACAGGCCCACAATACCATACCTGGATAATTTTTGTATTTTTAGTAGAGATGGGGTTTCACCGTGTCGACCAGGCTGGTCTCAAACTCCTGGCCTCAAGTGATCCATCCACCTCACCCTCCTAAAGTGCTGGGATTACAGGCGTGAGCCACCACACCCGGCCTTCATCTCATCTTCTTATCAGGACACCAGTCCTTTGGATTAGGGTCCATCCATATGACCCCAACTTAACTTGATTACTTGTCTCCAAATACAGTTACATTCTGTGGTAGTGGGGGTTACAGGTTCAACTTAGGAATTCAGGGAGGGGACACAGTGCAGCCCATGACAACTCTCCACTCTGTTCTTCATGACCTGTGGTGACGGGGCTCCTTGAGGACTGTTGGGCTATGACTATGAGAGCCCATTGACCAATACGTCAAACAAAACTGCTACTTTATGTCAGAATCCACATTTGTGATGCTTGTACCTCAGTCACTGCCTGGAACCCTGTTTCCTGAATGGGGCAGGATGACATTGGAAGGTCCCAGGCTGTCCCCACTGTAATTAGAAAGACCAGAACCTGAGCCTTTATGAAGATATTTTAAATGAAAAGAAACACAAGGTCCAGGTGAAAGGAACAACGTGCCCCACCCTGGGTGGAAAAGCCTCGCCTTTCCCAGGAAAATGACCTAATCAATCCAATTTCATACTCTCTGTCTTCAGTCATTACTGGAATATTCACTTACAAATGCAAATTGCAAAGAGATCTATATTCATCAAGGCTTCCTTTTTCCTAGAGAGCTTATCAAGCTATCAGAGGCTATCAGCTCATAAAGGTGATAGGAAAAGGTGACACCCAGAGAATGCAATCATGCCTGCTTAATTGCATCGCAGGCAGGGTGCTTGAGGAAAAGATGAAGCGCCTTGTATAAAATACTGCATCCTTAATGGGGGAACCTTCCTTGTCAAAGGCAAACATCCAATTCAAACAAGAGTTGGTACAGCTTACTCTTCCTCCTTTAAAGAAGTCTGCAAAACCAAACCTGGCTGTCTGGAAAGTATTAGAAAAAGAGAGAAATAAAATCCTTCCTCTCTTTATTGCCATGTTAGATACACAGAGACAAATGGCCTCCAGGCAATGCAGAGACATAACTCTGCTAAAGCCAGATTCCTCCCCGAAATCATACTAATAAATCAACTCAAACCAAAGGCACGGGCCCCAGTGATGGTCACACTCACCAGAACCGGCTGAGAGGGCTTCTGTGGTGGGTCTGGAATCCCAGCCCATGGGTTCTGGGGCCGTCTCATCAGAGCCTTGCAGCAATTCCAAGAGGAGTGTGTGAGTGTGTGTGGGAGTGTGTGTGTGCATGCACACATACATGTATATGTGTGCACAAACACACCAGAGATACCTCATTTCCTGGGCTCCACTACGATCAGCAGAGCTGTTCCATATCCCAGGGCTTGACCTTGCGCTGGACGTGCAAACATCTCATGACCCCATCCAGAGGAAGGGTTGAGGTCTCTGTCATAACATGAGATAACAGGCTGGAAAGAGCCACAATTTCTGAGGTCAAAGGGTACTGGCGTGACTGTTAGGACCAGAGTCCCCATCCCATGTGCCCCTAGCCACTGCCTGCTCCCCGTCCAGAGCTCTCCAGCCTGCTCCGGCCCTGGGCACCTGCACGAGTTGGCCAGGGCTGCTATGGCAAAGTGCACAGACCAGGCACCTGAAACCACAGAGACACGCTGTCCCACGCCCCCGGAGGCCAGGAGGCCCAGGTCCAGACAGGGTGGGTTACCTCTGCAGGCACAGATTGTTCCAGGGCCCTCTCCTTCGCCTGGGCACTGCCATTTTCCCTGTGTCTCTATACAGCTGTCGTCTTCTAAGGACACCAGTCACAATAGATCAGGCCCCACCCTACTGGCCTCATTTAACTTGATTACCTCTTTAAAGACCCTCGCTCCAAATAAGGTCACGTTCTGAGTACTTGGGGTTAGAGCTTCAACCTGTGAATTTGCGGGGACACAGTTCAGCCCACAGCAGTGCTGCTGGCGGGAAGGGCTGAGTCAAGAGCAAGATCGTTCCCATTTTCCATGGAAATCAAGGCAGAGAGAGATCCCCAAGCCTTACTGACACCAAACACATCACCACCCACTCCAGGATGGGGTGGACAGCAGGTATTCGGGTAACCCAGGGAAAGTTTTGTGTTCAAAGTGACCTGAGGCCACATCTGGGGATGCTGGTCTGTAGGTGGCTGTTCTGATGGGACCACAGTTACTCACGGGGACAACTAAGCAGTGGGTGCCCGATGGAGTTGATGTCATGAAGAGACCCCAGCATCAGTGCCGCGTGTGACAGCTGAGACCTGGGGACCTGGGCGTGGGGGCTGCAGGAAGTCGGGGCAGGCTGCCACTGCCTCAGCCTCACTCTCTCTGTGGCCTCAAACCCCAACGCCACTCACCTGCACTTCTTTAAATCACCTCACCTTTGTGTCAACTGAGAATTAAGCCACCAAACAGGATGTTAACAGCTGGATCCAAAGAGCAGGTGCCAATGGGAGGGGGGCAGGTCCAGACAGACACAGAGTACCAGTGACCAAGGAAGTGGATGCTAAGTGACATGCGGGTGTGAAGGGACTGAGGAAATGGCCACATGTCTTCAGAGCCAACCTGCAAGTAATTAAAATGTCTAAAGACCACAAAGAAACGCAAAAGAGAACCAGACCATTAAAGTGAGCTCCAAACTTCCTGGCAAAGTATACTTGACAGAATAATTCAGGCTTCCATAACTTGAGCAGGGACTGGTGGACAGCAGGACCCAGCCCTCTGCAAATCACAGAAGACCTGCTACAGCTGCAGAGAGCAAGGACCATGAGGAAGAAGCAAATCCTGGGTCCCAGCGCTACATCCACCCCAGTCAAAGGTCAACTCCAGCTACTTAGACAGAAGGTCCAGTCTGCTTCCTTCGTGGGTTAATGGTTTACAATCCCAATAAGGCTTAAACCTGAGAACAGACATGAAGAAAGAAACCAAAGCCACCTGACGCGTGTTGTATGTAAAATCCAGAAATAGAGCTCACTTTTTACGTAGGGCACCTATTTATATTTAGTATTAAAAAGTGCCTAACTGGCCAGGTGTGGTGGCTGACGCCTGTAATCCCAGCACTTTGGGAGGCTGAGGCGGGAGGATCACAAGGTCAGGAGATCGAGACCATCCTGGTTAACACAGTGAAACCCTGTCTCTACTAAAAATACAAAAAATTAGCCAGGCGTGGTGGCGGGCGCCTGTAGTCCCAGCTACTCGGGAGGCTAAGGCAGGAGAATGGCGTGAACCCAGGAGGCAGAGCTTGCAGTGAGCCGAGATGGCGCCACTGCACTCCAGCCTGGGTGACAGAGCGAGACTCCGTCTCAAAAAAAAAAAAAGTGCCTAACCAATTAATCTTGTCATCACAGCCAAAATATGCAGGTGAATGATTGATGGAGACATGAAATTTTATACTGAAAGCATAATTTTAAGAAAAGTGAAAACATTTCTTAGATGTTTCAGAAAATTTAGGATTCCCATTTTCAGTATATTGCAATTAATAAGGATTATTTACATACCCGAAACAGAGTTTTTTCATAGAATTTCAGGAATTCAGGTTTGTAAATGAGATCACACTGTAATCAGAGGCCCACTCTTAAAGGATCATAAAATCAACTAGACATAAACAGAGAAATCCTTGCAAAATTAAATTTACAAACTTAAAAAAAGTTTTTGAATGTATCACTCTAATAAATTAAAAGTTTAATGCTAAAATCACACATAACAAAAATACTCTTTTCTGAGGGGAAATCTTCCCTTGAGGAACAAGAAAGGACCTGGTGTTGGTACCTGCCTGCCATAGAGGAGAGTCAGTCATAAAAATAAATGTGATGGGCCGGGTGCAGTGGCTCACACCTGAAATCCCAGCACTTTGGGAGGGTGAGGCAGGAGGATGGCTTGGGCCTAGGAGTTCGGGACCAGCCTGAGCAACATAGCGAGACCCTGTCTCTACAAAAATATTTAAAAATTAGCCAAGCATGGTGGTGTGTGTCTGGGGTCACAGCTACTTGGGAGTCTGAGGCAGGAGGATTCCTTGAGCCCAGGAGTTTGAGTCTGCGGCTGCAGTGAGCCATGATCACACCACTGCACTCCAACCTGGGCAATAGAGCAAGACCCTGTCTCAAAAATAAATTAATATATATGTGAATAAATGGATGGTTCTTAAATTCTAGCTACATGCTTTAATCTACCCAAGGCTCTCAACCCACCTCTGGTTTTTTGTTTTTTTCTTTTTCCCGAGACAGTGTCTTGCTCTGTTACCCAGGCTGGAATGCAGTGGCATGATCTTGGCTCACCGCAACCTCTGCCTCCTGGGCTCAAGCAATTCTCCCGCCTCAGCCTCCCAAGTAGCTCGGATTACAGGCGCATGCCACCACGTCCAGCTAATTTCTGTATTTTTAGTAGAGATGGGGTTTCATCAGGTTGGCCAGTCTGGTCTCAAATTCTGGGCCTCATGATCCACCCATCTCGGCCTCCCAAAGTGCTGGAATTGTAGGCGTGAGCCATTGCACGTGGCCCTGCCTCTGGTTCTTTCTGCTAAAAAGGGAGAGAGACTAGCAAGGTCCTAGAAATGTCAAAGGCTCTCTGGCACAACAAACCAGGGGTCTCCCTGCATGCCCTCCCCCGCATGGCTCACAAAGACCCATCCCTGCCCGATGCAATGGCTCACGCCTACAATTCCAGCACTTTGGGAGGCCGAGGCAGGCAGATCACCTGAGGTCAGGAGTTTGAGACCAGCCTGGCCAACATGGTGAAATCCCATCTCTACTAAAGATACAAAAGTTAGCTGGGCATGGTGGCGGGCGCCTATAATCCCAGCTACTCAGGAGGCTGAGGCATGAGAATTGCTTGAACCTGGGAGGCAGAGGTTGCAGTGAGCTGAGATAGCGCCACCGCACTTCAGCCTTGGTGACAGAGTGAGACTCTGTCTCAAAAAAAAAAAAAAAAAAAAAACCCATCCCTGCTCTCAGCATTTATTGGATGAAGGCCCTCACGTGCCTCGCTCTCTCCCTAAGGGCTTGAGACCTCACATGGAACAAAATCAACATAAATCTCTGCCCTGGGAGACCATCTGTTGTCCTGGGAGTCAAAGCAGAACTGAAGGTAGAAGAACTTAGTTCCGTGACTCAGTGTGACCCAACGTGTTTGTATCCACAAAACCATTTCTTCATTTCCTTCCCCCCAGTGTCCGGCCTGAGCACATGGCTGGGCCCTCCCGGGTGGGGTGGAGGAGGGTGTGGGCAGGTTCCAAGATGCTACCACTCCAAGCATGTGCTACAGCCTGTGCCAACCTCAGCTCACAAACCTGCTCAGGCCTGTTCAAAAACAGATTAATAAATAAGCAAATAAGTGTGATGGCTCTTAAGTTCTAGCTCAGTTCTTTCATCTAGGGTTAGGCCTCCCTGGTGCCAGGCAAGCTGAGGCCGCCAACACCCTGCCCCATGAGGCCATCTTCTTCTCTGTCTCTCCATCTGGGCAAATCCCATCTGCTCTATCAGATGGTGAATCCTGGGGAGATGGACCCCATGGGTCTCAGATTTTAGATTTTGTCTGCATCTTCTGAAGAGAACCTGGCAGGCATTTTATTTATTTATTTATTTTTGAGACAGAGTCTCGCTCTGTCGCCCAGGCTGGAGTGCAGTGGCGCAATCTTGACTCACTGCAAGCTCCGCCTCCCAGGTTCATGCCATTCTCCTGTCTCAGCCTCCCAAGTAGCTGGGACTACACTGGCAGGCATTTTATAAAACACTGTTGATTAACCGAAAGGCCATTTCTGAGCCACATCGCTTACCCATGCTCAGCCCCACGGAAAGGGCATTTAAAGCAAAGAGTCTTAATCACCAACCCCAGCCAGGGAAGAAGGAGTCGGGCACCCTGGTCACAAACTCCAGCGTCAGAGAAGTCCAAGTTCAAACACAGGGGCAGTCACTGCTAAGGATGGTGAAAGCGCAGCAGTTGCCGAAGCTTCACTCTGTGTGCCGTTTCCGGTCAGCTCCACACCCAGCCTTCAAGGACAGCGGCTTGAGTTTGCATTTTTGCCTTGCTTTTAATTAATTTTTTTTTTTAGAGATGGGGTCTCACTATGTTGCCCAGGTTGGTCTCGAATTCTTGTGCTCAAGAGATCCTCTCGCCTCAGCATTCCAAAGTGCTGGGACTGCAGACATGAGCCACTGTACTCAGGCACTTTTGCCTTTGTATGTTATGAATGTTGTGGCTGGTGCTGGGGCCTCCTGCCCAGCATCTGTCCCAACAGGACAGTGACCCCAGTTAGGATCTCCCCCTGTGGGGAGTTTGGAGGGGCCGGCAGCTCTCGGGTTAAACAATCTCGTTCTCCCAGCCAGAGAATGGCTGAGGAAGGCTCATGCCATATGAGGAGAGGTCTCTAGCGGGGCCTCCAAGAAGGGTTTCTGCACCCTTGAGAAACAGCCCCACAGGAAACAGGCCTTCTCTTCCCCAGGACCCTGTCAGGAACATCCCACTACCACATCGTGAGTCCACGAGCTGTGAGGGGTGAGACCACAGCTGACCCCGCAGACGCCGTCCCCTACCAACCCCCATCCATGGCTGACTCCACACCACACTGGGGATGGGCCAAGACCAGACTCCCTTCCACGTCAGTCCCACCGGGGTCCCCTCCCGTCCAGCAGATGTACTGGAGGTTCAAAATCCAGAAGACAGCAGTGAGCCTCTGAGGCAGATGTCTCGTGTCTGTGGGCAAGTGAGGTTGTGAGGCGGCGGGGTCTTCAAAGGCAGAGTTGGTTCTGGATCCTGCACTGGTGGCCGTGGCTCATGGAGGCCTGAGCATCCTGTGGCAGTCTCCTTAGACTGCAGCTTTGAGAGTTGCCTGTGATGCTCGGCCCAGCATCGATGGTCATGACCAGGCCCATTTCCTCGAATTCCATCCCGTTCTGCTCAGTCACCTGCCACCATGCCGCAATGGACACGGGGCGGAGGCGTATTCAATGATGTGGCCCGGAGCCCACAGGTGAGGCACTCCAGGCCAGGGGGCATGAGGGACCCCCCAAGAAGGTCCAGAGACCAGAGACAGTCTCAGCAGTTACCAGTCACTTCCCTTACTCACAGGAACTGTAGGCCAGCGTTCTCAGCTCTGCCACTTGCTGTGTCACTTTGAGAAAGTCACCAGACCTCTCTGAACCTTAGCCCCTCCAACTGTAAAATGGGAGCTTTACTTCCCACCTCACAAGGCAAATCCACAGAAGTCAGCCTCTGCAGATGTGAACAAGCCGCATATTAAAATAGAAGACTCAGCCACAAACTGTGTCACTACCTGTAGGCAGCCAGGGTTTGCTCCAGGCAAATGGGCAGGCAGGAGCCAGACCGAATGAAATGTGACCTGCCGTAGAGGCAATACCTGCAGCTACACGTGACCACTCAGTCAAAATGAAGGTTGCAGTCACGCCCCAGGAAGAGGCACTTCATGGATGGGAGGAAGACACAGCAGCAAGGTTGCCTTGGCTCTCAAAGCCTTCGCTAAAACGTGCACACTCCCCAAGCCGCAGCCCACGCAAAGCAGCTGCAGCCTCGAAGGGAGCATGCAGGGAAGATGTGACAAGCCGGCCACTGCCCCTAGGACCTGAGCCCAGTGGATGCCCTTGAAGCAGCTGGGTCGTCAGGAACCGTGGAAGGAAAGCTGGCCGCACGGACACCGCACCCTGCCATAGGGAATCCTAATCCCCTGCGCTGGAAAGACCGAGGACAACCTTGGCCAGACGTGCAGACCCTGTAGCCGTGAGCTGCTGGGGACAGAGTCGGGGGTATTAAGGATTCAAGGAGACAGCAAAATGCCAGGCAGGAATCCCCTCTGGCAAAGAGAATGAAGCTTCATTTCCAAATAGATTAATCTCTCAAAGGCGGACATGGTTTTGTCTTTTAGGGCATTTGTTTCCTTAGCAATTTTTTAGACAGATAAAATTCACATAACATAGAATTTACCACTTTAAAGTATTTAATGGTTTTTAGCCATGTTGTGTAACCATCACCACTATCTAACGTCAGGACATTCTCAGCACCCCACATGGAAACCCTAAACCCATTAGCAGCCACCTCCCAGCCTCTGGCAACTGCTAGTCTATTTTCTGCCTCTGTGGATTTGACCAATCTGGACAATGCGGATAAATGGAGTCACATCATACGTGGCCTCTGTGTCTGGCTCCTTTCACCACACGTAATGTCCTCAAGGTGTATCTATGCAGTAGTCCTCATCCGTAATCCATTCCTTTTCAGGCCAAGTCACATCCCATCACATGGGTACACCACACTGTTTATTTATTACTCAGCTGACAGACATCTGACTGATTCCAGTTTTGGGCTATTATAAATAACGCTGCCATGAGCATGTATGTAAACATTTTCACTCGTACCTATGATTCCATTTCTCTTGGGGACACACCCAGGAGTGGAACTGCTGGCTCATGTGCTAACTCCACGTTTAACTTCACTCTACATTTGACTTCACTCTACATTTGACTTCACTCTACATTTGACTTCACTCTACATTTAACATAACTCTACATTTAACTTCACTCTACATTTAACTTTTTTTAGGACTTGCCAGGCCGTCTTCCTCAGCGGCAGCCACATGTTAACCAATACCATGGGTATGGCTCAGACAGTAATTCTCTTCCCACTGCTGTCATTTTGTCTTCAAGCCTTTATCTGCATGCTCAGTCAGGAGCTTCACACCATGGTCAGATGTGTTTGTCCTCAGTCACCAGACCACAGAGAGGTATCAAGTCTCAATTAATACACACACACACACACACACACACACACACACACTTCAGATCTTTATTTTAGTGACTGTCATATGGGGAAAACCCTATGTGTAAATAAAGGTATGTGCTCAAAGCTTTGTTCAGTGGTGCATTCAACCAATATTGGGCACCTGCAATGTGGCAGGGCCTGCCACGGGCCCCGAGGATGCATCAGTAAACAACATAAAGCCCCCACACCGACCTCCCCCGAGCCATCAAAGAGACAGACACGACAGTGATGGTTTAAGACAATTAGCAGTGCCCAAAAATTCCTCCCAAGATGGAAAATTAATCTTCCAATTAGGCCATGAGGAGCTCCTGCAGATGACATGCATTCATTTCCCTCAACTGTTCCTTCTCCACAGCAACCACGTGCCCTCCCCCATATTCCAACTTGACAAAGCGGTGGAAATCTGAGGCACTGCAAAGAGAGAGGTCTCGGCCACGAGAAGCACCTCTTGTCTCATGGATATATGGGATCCGTTGTGATCCCGAGGACAAGCACGTCTTTCCACGCCTCAGGAGAGCTGTGCTGCCCACCGCTGCCCGCCCGGAGATTGCGCCGAGCTGGCGTGTGCCACAAAGGGTGATCACCACGCTGTGTCCACTGCACTCCAATGCCATGATGGTCGGAGCTGCTGCTGCTGCTACTCACTTGGCCACAGACGGCGGTCACTGATGGCGGTCACCTGCACAGCAGGGGCTCGTGAGTGAGGGTCCCTATGAGCCGGTTCTCTTTCAAGCCCAGACACCAGTGACCTCAGCTTTAAGATAAATCCAGTGACTATTCCCATTTTACAGATAAGAAAAGCAAGGCTGAGAAGTATAGGTCACAGGTTCACGGCCACAGAGTGGGTACAAAGCAGAGACTTGTCCACGCCCAGCACACAGACTCCGAGGGTAGTGGGGCTGGCTTTGAAGTCCAGAAGGAGCACGTTGTCTCCCACCAGGAGACGGGGGATGAATCTGTGGGAAGGAGGCAGGGATGAGGCACCTACTCCAGTTCCTCCAGTCGCCCTGACCCGAGGAACAAACCTGCCTCCCGGAACCTGCCCAGTGGCTTCTGTCATTGCCAAATTTCAAAGGCACAGCCATGAGCCCTCCAAATGGATTAGGGTCCCCTGTTCTACAGGATACCGACCAATTATTGTTATTTGGACAAGTCCTGGTTTATCTGATTCTCTGATTCTTCACAGCTGTGTGGAGGAGGGGTGTGCCCACATGGCTCACGGGTACACAGTAGGTGCTTAATCACTGTGTGCCAAGTGAATGAATGGCTGCTTGATGATGAGGGTGCAAGGTGCACAAACAACTCCCTGCCTTTAAGGCATCTGCATGGGCCTGGTGGACACACCCTTCTGCCGGGTGGCAGCCCAGATCAGGAACTCACCTCAGAGGCCACTGGTTCCCCAGCCCCATCCCCTCCTCATTCCTCCCCTCAGGGCCTAGACAGGTCATGGAACCACATCTCAGAATGTGCACAGCAGCACAGAGGGCACACAACCAGCCACTCTCTGCAGCTCAGGTCCTTGTACCTTAAGAACAGCCTACCTGGCGGGTGGGCAGGTGACTGAACCCATTTCAGAGATCCATAGACTGAGGTCAGAGAGGTGAGGGTACTCCCAGCCCCTCGGCGAGACAAGGCAGAGCTAGGACCCAGGTCTTCCAACTCCACACTCAACATCATACCCACATCTCAGGCTACCCCTCCTCAGGAGCTGGCTTCCAGGTGGCTCTGCCCAGGTGTCAAAAGGGGTCGATGTTGGCCAGAATGACCCACCGGGAAAGCAGCCAGCACACAGAGTCACTAAAGGTGACCTTTGGGAAGTCTCTGAGTCATAGGCCAGTCAGAGCACACCATGGACAATCCTCTTGTCCATGTGGGATTCCTGACCAGGTCCCACCCAAAGGGCACAGCAAGGCTGTCTCCATCCACCTGGCCGGCTCCACTGCCTGCTGTGCCAAAGTCACCTGCCCTGGTTAAGTCAATGAGCATGCAAGGGGCAACAATGAGCACGGCACTGACCCAGGGTCAAAGCCATGGGAAACTGCCTTGGAAAAAACGGAGCCAGATGCCACCAGGATAGTTGGCACTGGGGCTGGGTGACTTTGACCCTTTTTCTCTGTTTTCCAAATTTTCTGTGGAGCAGCAAAATAAGAAGTAAATTGAGATATGGAAAACACTGTGTGTCCGCAGGACTGTACACACAGGCATGCTCATGGAGCAGGTGGCCCTGTGGGGTTCCAGTGATCTCAGGTACCACCTGCAAGGGTGGGTCAGCTTTTGGAATCAAGGGTCACACCAGCGTAATGACCATCTGTGAGGGGGAGGCGCAGGGTCTAGGGAGATGTGCCCCAATTGTCTGCTGGAGATGGTGAGGAGGCAGCGAACCTTTGCCAAGACCTTAGTGGTCAGCATTTGCCAACAAGTCAATCTCCCACATGCCTAAGAGATAGGTGCTATGATAACCCCTATTTCAACAAGAAAACAATGAGATATAAGAAGTATCTAAATCAGAGAGCTAATAAATGGTCAAACCAAGATTTGATCCTGTGCAGCTTGGACCAGATGCCAGACATTTTAATACTGTAGTGCAATAAAGGGTTAACTCAGCAGGCCTGGGTTGTCCAAACCCCACACACTCCAAAGAAAGACTGGGTCCCCAGGACAATTGCTTGAACTGGGGAGGCAGAGGTTGCAGTGAGCCAAGATGGCACCACTGCACTCCAGGCAACAGACCAAGACTCCATCTCAAAAGAAAAAAAAGAAAAGAAAGAAAGACGGGGTCCTTACCCAGCTCATGGGAGATCCCCTCTGAGCCCTGGGAATATCCTGTGTGGTAAGAGTGCCTGAGTTCACCTGGGGCCTTGAGTGACATCAGATGGCCTGTGCTAACAACACGTGTTACAGTGGGGACCCCAGGCCACATGGTAGCAGCGTGACCTCTCAGGGGCCTGGGGACTAAGGCCAGTCATACCTGTGTGAAGAACCCCCAGGAAAAGCCCTGGCTCCGAGGCTCAGGAGCAGGGTGCAGGGGTCTGGACTCCTTGTGTGCTGTCACACATCTTTGGGGGGAACCATCTACGTGCCGCCCCGGGAGAGAACACGGAAAGCGGGCGCCTGGTCTCTCCTGGACTCTGCCCCACATGCCTTTTGCCTTTGCTGATTCCACCCTTCGCTGTGATGAACCCTGCCTGTCGCTAAAACAGCTTCACTAAGGACTCTGTGAGTCCTTCTCATGAATCAGTGAACCTGGATGGGGGTGGCCTTGGGGAGCCCTGAACACAGCTGTCCTGTTCCGAGGAAAACTGCAGGCCAGGGGTGGGGAAACTGAGGTCTGGCTGGATTTACAAGAACATAAGTTACTTTTATAAAAGTCAAAGATGTAAATCCAAAAAAAACCCATAAACTCCATGGAAATGATCTGGAAGGGGCGTGCTCACATGGTAACTGCGGCACCAGGCCCCCGGCTCAGGGCACGGGCAGAGGGCCCCTGCTGGGCTGATGGTGCGGCTTGGTAGGAGTGTCCCACGGGGAGGTAACAGGACCCAGCGCACCTCCCATCTGCGCTGCCTCTGTAAAGTGAGCCTGTGCCAGGAAGGGACCCCATGGACACGTTCTCGGGTGACAGGCTCCGACGGGAAGAGGCACCACAGGGTGCCGCTTGCTCACCTCCTCTCCCCTGGGTGAAGGCTGCGGCAAGGGACTCCCCAGGCAGGTGCACTTCACCCTGACACCTGGACGCCTGTACCCTGCCAGCCACGCCCTTGCACTTTAGGGGAAGATAGGGTTTCTGAGAACAGGGTCCCCTCGAGGTTTCAGCTGGGGCCACTGTCTCCTTCCAAGACAGCCCCAGTCTAACCCTGACCAGAGACACAGAAAACAAGACCAAGAATGCACTCATTCTGGGACTGCTAAGTGATGAGGGCCACCCTGGAGCCACGCCAGACAAGTCCTGGGAAGGGGGCAGGAGGCAGGGGTTCGGAGCACTCCACCTTCCCAATGGCCCATCCACAGGATGCTGACCACGGCCGGGCAGGGAAGGGACGCCTGGTCCCAGGTAGGAGGGTCCCTCTGCAGATGGAGATGAGGGAGGCAGGGGACAGCTAGCTCGGGTGATGTCAGCCTTGGGTGATGTCAGCCTGGCCTCCCTCCTCCCTCCCTCACCTGCCCTCTCTCCTCTTCCCCATGAAGGCAGCCCCAGCAGGGTGCCCCAGTTAACACCAGAGGCAGGAAGGCCCCAAGTGCCCAGGGAGTCCCAGCCCTGGATTCCGTAGCACCCTTGTGTAATGAGCTACTCAGACCCAAGTTCCCGTGGCCTTTGCAGCCAGAGGCCTGACCACAGAAGTACCCCAGGCCACGGACTCTCAGCACGGGCCCATCCTGTGGGGTAGCCCCTTTTCTCACAGTCACCACCCCGCATCCAGCCCACATTCTTCCTAGCTTTGGGTCATCTGGAAATCTGGTGGTCATGCCTCTCTCTGGTCAGAGGGTACTGACCAGCACCACCCTGACCCTCAATCAGTGGCAAATCCAGCAGTGTCCTGTGGCTCTGCCTCGTGCCCCTGCTGGGCGCTCCTGCGAGAACCTCCACCCTCCAGCTCCTGCCTGTGCCCCTCTTGCTGGGCTCCAGTAGAGGCTGCACAGCCCCTCAGGAGGCAGTGCCAGGAGACCCACGTGCCAGGACGGAGAGTCCCCTTCAGCCTCCTTCCCCAGTCCCTCTAGCTGTTTGTTAGCATTCAACTTTGGGAAGTCCGAGTCGGCCACCCAGAGATTTCCAAGATGTCAGGGAAGCACCACACTTCCAAATTTTACCAGGAGGAAAGTTCCAGAGAGGGGTAGGTCTGCTAATGCTCCCTCCCCAACACCTACCAAGGCACTCCTAATGTGCATCTGGGCATGTTGGGTCAGGCGTGTTATTTATCCACTTGTTGGTGGCAGGGGGGTGGCAGAGTCCACAGGGTCACTGTGGGAAGATGGCCAAGGATGGTCTCTTGGGGCCATGTCAAGAGTCGTTTCTGGATGGCTGCTGAGATCTGGGAGAAAGGAAAGGCCCCTCAGCCCTGTGTCCCCCCAGGGCTGCAGCAGGTGAAACGGGGCTGGGGACCTCTGGGGAGAAAAGCTCCAATCAGGGCTGAGCTCTCATCGGCCCCATCCCCATCCAGAGAGGAGCCAGGTCCAATTTCTCTCCGTGTGCCCCGCGCCAGCCTGCATGGAACCCTCCACGTTTCCTAAAGTGGCTACTCCATGAACACAAGGGGAAAGAATACGCGAACTCACTCTGCAAAGTACACATCTGCCCGTGCTGATGGAAGAAGAAGGATGCTAGTGCAAAGTCTTCTGTTTCTGAATTCCCTCCCATTGCTTCCCTCTCCGGACAGGCACACACACAGAGCGACTCCAGGAAGGGCTGGAACAACGCCTGCACGTGATCAACAGCATCCGCACACCCGGATCTCCTCTGTGCGTTTAGTTAACTATTCCTTAGAGGTTACATCGTGACTGTTAAACAGCTGTTGGAAGCCAACTCTTCCCTCTGAAAACATCCAGGCAGAATTAACACTGGAATGCGGATCTGCAACTGCCACTCAGAGTGTCAGGAAGCACAGGAGCGTAAATATTTAGAGAAAGCCGGGAGCCAGCAGCGCCGCACCCCCGCCAGCCTACATCCACGCAGAGAGATCGCACTATTCTCATATCCACAGTTACAGAACCACAGCAAAATTACAGCGCTCATGTCCCCATACCTCCAAAAAACTAGCTTGCTACCTCAGTAAACAGTTGATAATTTGTAATATAATAAAAACGTCAAGGCTGGGTGCAGTGGCTCATGTCTGTACCCCCAGCATTTTGCAAGGCCGAGGCAGGAGGGTCACTCGAGGCCAGGCATTTGAGACCACCTGGGCAACATAGCAAGACGCGGCAACTACAAAAAATAAAAGTAAAAAAACTAGATGGACATGGTGGCACATACCTGTAGTCCCAGCTACTGAGGAGGTTGAGGTGGGAGGCTTGCTTGAGGCCAGGAGTTTGAAACCATCCTGGGCAACACAGCAAGACCCTGGTCTCTACAAAAAGTCAAAGTAAAAAAAAGATTAGCCAGGCATGGTTGTGCATGCCTGTAGTCCCAGCTCCTCAGGAAGGCGGGGAGTGAGGATTGCTTGAGCCCAGGAGGTTGAGGGTGCAGCAAGCTATGACTGGGCCACTTTACTCCAGCCTGGGTGACAGAGTGAGGCCCTGCCTCAAAATAAAAAAAAGAAAAGAAAAGAAAAAAAAATCATGGAAGGAAAGAAAAAAAAATAGGAACATTTGGATTCAACCAACACTTTAAAATTCCTTTTTTTTTTTTTTTTTTTGAGACAGAGTCTTACTCTATCAACCAGGCTGGAGTGCAATGGCGCAATCTCGGCTCACTACAACCTCTGCCTCCGGGGTTCAAGTGATTCTCTGGCCTCAGCCTCCCGAATAGCTGGGATTATAGGCTTCCGCTACCACACCCAGCTAATTTTTGTATTTTTAGTAGAGACAGGGTTTCACGATGTTGGCCAGGCTGATCTTGAACTCCTGACCTCAGGTGATCCGTGCGCCTTGGCTTCCCAAAGTGCTGGGATTACAGGCGTGAGACATCGTGCCCGGCCCATTTTAAATTTTATTTCTAACAGTCTCAGATAGGCCAAGCCTCCTACATTAGGTTTGTTTGCTTGTTGTGGTGAATTACATTCTCTCTGATTTTTCCCTTCTTCTTTCCAAGAAAAGGGGAAATTAGCAAGTTTCTAATCTATTTTCAGTGCTTTGCTGAGATGCAGGTAAAGTTTAACCAAGAAGCAAAAACAAATCGACAGAGCAGGACAGCACTGACGCCAGGGCCAGCTGCCCCGTGTGACCCCGTCTCTCTCAGCCAGGTCTTCCAGTCCTCGCTTCCAGAATCCAAACAGCTCTAACTAGTCCTCAGTGTGACACCGTCACTGGAGGCTGACCCTGCACCAGGCCTCTCTGGAAGGTGGCACACTCAGGGTCACTCTTGCCTCTCCAGGCTGGAGAGCAAAATGCCGAGAAAAGAATTCCTCTGTGTTCCTGCCTGCTTCCCAGGCAGGCTTACCTAAATTTCAACAAATTCCACTGCAAAAAAAAAAGAAAGATTGGTGTCCGAGAGGTATACTGGGTTTGGCAGTCTGAGGGCTCCCAAGAAAAGCTTTTAAGGGCCTTAAGACACCTAAAACCCACACATGAAGAAAACCACAGCTGCCCTGAACATCCAACTAGTCCAGCGTCCCTGTACTTAAACCCGAGGAGGGGCACAGAAAGCCATGCAGTGGTGTTCCCAGGGGCCCCACTGTGCACCCAGTGTGGCAGGAGGGTGCCCTGGAGGGGCATGAGCTGGAAGTGGGCATTGCTGGTTGAGTGGGATGTGCCAGGGCAGGGAGAAGCTGTCCTGGGAAGGAGGGCAGCCCCAGCAGAAGTGTCAGGGGAGATGGGGAAGTTGGGGGGAGAAGGGACACGCACCAGAGCCCAGTATGTGCAGAAGGCTCCAAGGATGGACTGGGTGAGGCTATGGAACAAGGGGAGAAAGAATCTCAACCCCATAAACCCTAGCCCGATGCTGCTTTCCAAATCTCGGATAGCTCCAGGGGACATTACGTTGCCAGGACAGGGCTGTGCACCCAAGTGTTCCTCCCCACCCTCCCTTCCCGAGTCCTAGGCAGGTGCTGTGGACATTACAGGTGGGTATAAAACAGCCCTGCCTCAAGGGAGCTCCCAGGATAGAGTGGCTGGCATAGCAAGGGAGACCAACGAGCAGTCTCTGGAATACGAAACACTGGCTTGGAATCCTGATTCCAATTCCCCTAGGTGTGATCCTTGGTGAGTTACTGAATCTCCAGCCTCAGTTTCCTTATCTGTCCAAGGCAGGTTGGAGGCTTAACAAGAGAGTCTAGGAAGACTGGACTTTTTATTGAGACAGAAGTGCTCAATAAATCGCATCTAAGGCACGCACACACACACACTCTCTGACTTAGAGCAGAGGTTGCTAAACTCTGGGAGATCACAGGCCAGGAAACAGAAGAAAAAGAAATTTCATGATCCTGTTGAGATGACCAACGTTACATGTCTCCAGGAAAAGGCATCTGCAGAAGTAAGATGCACCGTCAGCCACTGTTCCTCACCAGAGAGGACACTCGGCCCCAATGTCAGGGGAAAGGTCAGAGCAGAATAAAGCCCAGTCCTCTGAGTCTAAGCCACTGTGCTTCAAAAGCAGAACGTCCCTCTCAGGCCCTGGCTCTGCTCATTTCACCACAGATGGAAGGAGCTGGTCAGGAACCAGCCAGGCTGAATCACGAAGCAGGAGGCTCCTCCAGCCCCATCCCCAGGCCAGGATAAATGTCGCTCTGGGTGAGGACTTGAGGAAAACCACAGGGCCTTGCAAGGACTGTCATGATTGTTCTCATCAAGAAATCCCCTTCACAATTTGTAGTGAGTGGGCCACTCCCGACACAGGCCAATCAGACACACCCTCCCACGCCCTGCCTCAAGAAAACCCACGTGCAGGGCTGACCCAGGAGGGAGCTTCGGTTCGCAGGAGCCCAGCCAAGCAGGTGTGGAGGGGGTCAGGCTTCCCTGTCCAGGGACACACCTGGGTGCTCCCCTTTGCATAGGTCGTGCCTCCTCTCAGAATCAGGAACAGCCATGGTGCCCCCTCCCACCAGCACACACATGGTCATACCCAGACCCAGCTCCTCACTCTTGACTCAGTGAACTTCTGGGAGAGCTGCAAAGCCAGGCAGCAGCCATCCCTTGTGGCAGAACACACAGCAGACAGGAACCCTGTGTTGGTGTCAATGTGCTGGGTGCTCCTGCAGGAGACCCTCCATACTGCGTGTCCCTGGACTACCAAACAGCACATCTGCTCTGGAGGTGAGGGTCTTTGTCCCATCCCATCAACAGAGCACCTGCCGTGAGCTGCCTAGAGAGATATACTGGGGGGTCTCTGCCAGACTACATCCCAGGGGCCTGCCTGGCACCCCGTGGGGGCTCTCTGGGACAGCAGGACGTGTCCATTCTTCACAAGACTCATCAGATGCCTGGCGCCCAGTGGGGTATCTCTGGGAGTGGCAATAAACCACCGAGGATTCGACACAGGACGTGGGTTGTGTGCTGAGGCATCCATTCTTCACAAGACTCATCAGATGCTCAAACGAGTCCGTGACCCCAAAATGTGAAGAACAGAAGCTTTCGATCATCTGCAAGGGAACTTCTGAAGGCAGCCTCAGTCCCAAGGGGTCTCCAGGGGCTGCAAAACCATCCCCAGTATTTAGTGGTGCATACCTGGTCTCAGCCCTTGCCACCTGGTCCTCTTCATTGGAAATCCACAGGTATATATATATATATATATATATATATATATATATATATATATTTATTTATTTTTTGAAACAGAGTCTCTCTCTGTCGCCCAGGCTGGAGTGCAATAGTGTGATCTTGGCTCACTGCAAGCTCTGCCTCCCAGGTTCATGCCATTCTCCTGCCTCAGCCTCCCGAGTAGCTGGGACTACAGAAGCCCACCACCACGCCCGGCTAATTTTTTTGTATTTTTAGTAGAGACGGGGTTTCACTGTGTTAGCCAGGATGGTCTCAAATCTCCTGACCTTGCGATCCACCCACCTCGGCCTCCCAAAGTGCTGGGATTACAGGTGTGAGCCACCATGCCCAGCCCAGATACATATTTATATTCATGTAATGTGCTTTTGTTTCTGTTCACACTCATCTCACTTCTTCCCTACTGGCAGACTGTTCCACAAGTGTCAGGAAATCCACTGCAGCTGGAGACCAGATCACTCCATCCACCCACTTCCCCCCACTTGACCTGGGGCTCAGTGGATACCAAGAGACCCAGGCGTCTGCTGAAGGAACTGGGGACAGAGAGCACCATTGTCCTAAATAAAACACACTCCACACCTGGACAGCACTCTCCCTGCTCCAAGAATGAGCCCGGAAGCCTCAGGACTGAAGAGAAAAACATCTTGGGGGCAGTGAAGAGAGTGTGATGCAGCGCCGGCACTCCCCTCATCCTCACGGATTTGGGGAAACATAACAGGTCCAAGACAGACGCATGAGGAGAGGGCAGGGGTGTATTCCAGTTCAGTCCATCTGCACCGCTGACAGGATCCTGCCATTTGACCCCTCAGGGTCCTGTTTCAGGGGGGTCCCCCAGGGCTGCTGCAGCCCTAATTGCTCCCCTTACCAAGTTCACGATGACAGCTCCCTGAGACACCCACAGGCCCCGTGGCTACTCCATATTCCCTGGCACCCAACCCTGGACTCAGTCCAGCACACTGTGTCCTATTGGTCAATTTCCTTTTTTTTTTTTTTTTTTTTTGGAAAAAAACATTGAGATTTTAAAATTTACACATCATCGAATTCACTCATTTAAAGCATGTAACTCAGTGCTCCCAGCCTTTTGGGAGGCCGAGGAGGTCAGATCGCTTGAGCTCAGGTGTTCAAGACCAGCCCAGGCAACATGGAGAAACCCCATCTCTACAAAAACATAAAAATTAGCCAGGCATGGTAGTGTGTGCCTGTAATCCCAGCTACCTGGGGGGCTGAGGCGAGAGAATCACTTCAGCTAGGGAGGTCAAAGCTGCAGTGAGCCACGGTTGTGCCACTGCCCTCCAGCCTGGGCAACAAAGCAAGATCCTGTCTCAAAAAAAAATAAATAAATACAATAAATAAAATGTATAATTCAGTGGGTTTTAGTGAGTTCACAGAGTAGGGTATCTATCACCACAATCCATTTTTGAGCATTTGCAAAAAAAAAAAAAAAAAATTAACCTGTATCCCTTAGCCATCACTCCTCAAGCTCCCCCATCCTCTCCCTCAGTCTCTCCCCAACCACTAATTATTTTCTCTATATATAACTTGGCCACTTTGAGGCATTTCATATAAATGGAATCACATGATGTATGGTGAGTCAATTCTCTTTCATTCTTTTTTTCACTTCTTTTGAGAAAAGCTTTGCAGTTGTCCAGATCTCCTCTGTGCATGGTTCTTTAAGTTGCATGCCTGAATCACTTCAAAATATGAGATGGGAACACACTGGAACGACTCTGGCTTAACGTCCACCTCAAAGCCTATTCACTGTGTTTTCAGCTTTCACTGAGGTCAAAGATATTTGAAACCATTTTGTTTTTTGCAAAACCCCACCTGCAAACACCGTGTCGCATGAAAAAATTCTTCCTAGATGAGAGCACCAAGAAAAGTCTGCTTTCCAAATGAACTGATATTAGACAAAAGAATTCTGTTATTCCATCTTTCTCTTCTTGCCCTGGCTGCCAGGAAGCTCAGAGATTAAAAACCGGATGTTAACTGTACAAATGCTCTCTTATGCTACAGTTGGGTCTTAGAGACTCCTCATGGTTCAAGCAGAGTTTTACCAGCGTGGCATGCAGAAGACTCATTTGGGAAAACAGCTAAAAAGACAGATTCCTACTGAATCTGATATCCTATAGATAAGGTCTTAAAATCTGCAATTTAAATAACATGCCTAAAAATGTTCTCAGACCTGGCTTTAAAGCCAAAGCAAAATGTCACAGCCCTTTTCCTAGGACTTAAAAGACATTCTGGGGAAAACAAGCCTCGTTCCTCCTCTTGTATCATCTTCGTCCTCACCCAGTGAGCATCCATGTGCATCATGTGGCTGTTTCCAGGGGCTGCAGTGAACAGAGCAAACGTGCCCATTCCACGAGAAAGGGCTGTCATTGCTCTAAGATGATGAGACCATCTTTGGCCGAGATGGAAGGATTTATAGAAATGAGCATGCTGAACACAATCCTGTTCCCTGGATGAATAAACTCAATCCAAGTCCTCAAAGGGTTCCAGCAGTTTCCATGAATCCACTTCCTCAACGTCAAACACCAGAGCTTTGCAAAGCTTTAGGACGTTCTTGCCACCAGGAATCCCTGCTCTGGTAGGAGAGGTTTCTTTCCCCATTTCCCTCACTGGGTAACCAGGTCGGAACAGCAGGTGGAGGCACAGGAAGAGGAGCAGGGACCCCAGGCGGAGGCACAGGGAGAGGAGCAGGGACCCCAGGCGGAGGCACAGGGAGAGGAGCAGGGACCCCAGGCGGAGGCACAGGGAGAGGAGCAGGGACCCCAGGGGGAGGCACAGGGAGAGGAGCAGGGACCCCAGGTGGAGGCAAAGGAAGAGGAGCAGGAACCGAAAGACACTGTGCCCATTTCTACAGCGTTGCAGGGTGCAGGACTGCTGCTGCCACCCAGGTAAGTCCAGGGGGCTTAAGGGCTGAGGTTCTTTACAGAGAACAAGCAAAGGTGGAAAAGGAGAATCTTCCCGGGACAGCAGGGACTCCTAGCAGCTGAGGGGCCAGGCACAGGGAGGCTCTCACAACAGAGGCAGATATTTCCCACACGGCCAGCAGCCTGCACAGCTGTGCCTGCCAACAACTGTCTGGTATTTTGTGAGGACGCCAAGATTACCATACTCTTTCGTCCCTCTATTCTGGAAAACACAGTTTGCTCCAACCTTTCACTATCCTAAATAGTGCCAAGTTGGACATCTTTATGATCACAGTTTCACTTTACTCTTCCCTCTGGATAAATCCCCAGGGGCAAGGTTTTTAACTCAAAGTCCATTTTCCTGTAAAACAGAGGTTCAAACACCACACAGAGGAGAGCGCAGACTCTGTCCTCTGTGCTCTGGAATTGTTTTTAATCACTGCACGAGCCATGTGGGGCATTAGACCTAAATAGCATTGTTGAACTCTGAGGGTCTCCTTCTGATGTTCCCCACACTCGGAAACTGACTCCCTGTGGGAAAAGGTGGTGGCCACACCTGAGCACCGGGCTGATCTTCCTTCTACAAACATGTCATCTCCCTCTCTGGCTCTTGCCAGCCTGCCGCCTCCATCCACACAGAGGAACGGCCTTTCTGATAAGCAAACTGGACTAATCATGTCTTCTATTTTCTGTCTTAGGACGTTTTGACATCTAGGGGAGCCTCGCAGACACTGGGAGAGACCGCCCCTTCCAGAGCTGGCTAGTTCCCAAAGACAGTAAGTGGCTTCCTTGGGCCATTTACCATGCACTCGCATGCACAAGCCAACCACCCCTTTTTCAACTCCTGTTCACCCAGCCAATATGAACCACCCCTGCCCTAACGCGCCCCAGGACCAGGTGCCAGGCAAGCAAAGACCTCCCCTACAGCCCCAGGCCTGCTGCAGTGACTCACCTGGCCTGGCCCTGCCTCTCTCACAGAAACCCCCAGAAAGGGTCTGGCCTCAGTTTCCTCCCACCTCCTGCCTCCTGACCAAACCCTGGGGCTTCCCCTGTGGCCCCAGGGCTCATGCCCCCTGCTCTTGGGAAATGTAAGCCATAAAACCTTCTTTTGGGAAATCTTTTTGTCCTCACTCAGCCACCTCCATCAGTTAAAATCCCGCAGCACAAATGAGACAGACGCAGCAAGGAAGACAGTTTCCACGCAGGTGAGGAACCGCGTGCTGGCTCCCCTCTGGACCTCCCAGCAACAAACCAGGGCTCCCCAGGCCCTAGAGGGACACCCTCCCTTCTTTTCCACCCACAGCCGAAACACACACAGCTGGGACTTCTTTCTTCTGTAGCCAAAAGACATCGTGATTTAGCGCCATCAGCTTTGCTTGAGAAAACGACCTTCCCTAACCACACGTTTCCGAAGAAGTGTCATCTCTGCTCAGCCTGCTAGGTTGGGAGACTAAAATGTGAAGATGGGTCTGGCTCAGGGTCCCACTGCTGTCTCAGCAAGTCTGGCCAGAAGCTAACTGGAGTCAGGCCAAGGGGGCATCACTGTCAGACCCTTGGCCCACCCAAGTGCCCACCCACACATCTGTCGCGTGCCACCCCGGGCTGCCCTGTCCTCTGGGGTGGGGTATCGCGCAGTTCTGACTGGGACCCATGCAGCTGTCCTCTCGTGCAATTGCTAAGAAGGTGAAGTGGGGTCACAAAAGGCCATTCTAGACCAGCAGGTGCTCGATGGGAGGCCTGGGGGTGGCCACAGCCTTTCGTTCTGGTCTCCAGGTATTGAAGGCCACCAAGCATCCCGCCTTCCACACATCCTCCTCTCGGCAGGGAGGGAGAACAGAATAGGGCTGCGTGGCGGTTTCCTCCTGGATCCCACATACACAGAGGAGCTGGCTGTGCTGCAGGTACATGGGGCTTTCCCTTCAGCGGACAGCTCCCTCCACCAGCCATTCTCCCACAGCCCACACGCTCACACCATCAGGCAGGCATGCCCCGATGTGCGATGTCCTTCATCAAAACCCCTCGTGATAGTGCAGCTTAATGCCATCCGAGTGCTGGAAAGAACCACAGGCCCCAGCTCTCACCCTGGAGCCGCAGCAGGGCCCACGCTCTCTCTGAGCCTCGGTGTCCACCACAGTCTCAGCAGGGGCAGCACCAAGTAACATCTGGTCCCCCTGCCCCCTGCGTCTGTACTTTTGAGGCCTCCCTGGCTCCCCTCACCCTGTCTGAACACGCCACTCTGTCATCTCAAGGCTTTGTGTCTCCCATGAAGCCTTCAGCAGGTTCTGCCCTGGTCACCCCTGGCTGCCCATCAGCAGGGCTCAGGTCCCAGAGGCACCGAGGGAGCTTCAGATGGTGCCTCCTGCCAAGACAGGCCCCCTGAGCGAACGTGAGGTCAGGCCTGAAAAGAAAGCAAGGAAGGCCTGCTGAGGATGTACCTCCTTTCCCAGGCAGGCACCTGCAGAAGGCCACAGCCCCAACTGTTCCCCGAGGAGGTGTCCCCACATAGCCATCCGTGGCACAGTGGCTCCCACTCAGGGCCCTGCTAATGTCCTCGGACATCCATCTACACCTCTCTCCCTGCACACACTGCAGGCGTGCCAGCTCAGGAGCTCAAACCTCTGCAAACACGATTATTTAGCAAAACCCAGACATGACACCCCAGAAGCGGCACCCCCACTCTGTAGTCAGACCACAACCTTTTTAGGGACAAGGAGTGGAGTCAGGCTCCCGCAGCACCTACCACCACCTTGGGCACATTGCTGATGCTCAAATCAAATCTTTCGAACCACAATGAGACAGCGCCTCCCCCACCCTCCAGGATGAAGATAACCAAGAAGAGAGATGGGAACAGAAGCAGGCAAGGGAGTGGAGCAAGTGGAGCCCTCATCCGACGCTGGAGAGGAGGTCCAACGGCGCAGCCACTCTCTGGAACATGGTTTGTCCCTCCTCCACTGAGGGACACACGACTCCACACGGCCCAGCAGCTCCACTCCTAGGAATCTACCCGAGAGAAACGAAATCGCGTCCACACAAAAGCCTGTACAAGAATGTCCAAGTGTGTAAAAGCCAAAAAGTGGGAACAACCCAAATGTCCAGCATGTGATAAACATAATATTGGATTAAAAAGATGCTGTATCATATGGTGCAGTATCACTCAGCCTTTAAAAGGAAGGAATCACTGAATCATGCTAAACGTGGTCAAGCCTTGAAAACATGATGCTGAGTGAGAAGATGGACACAAAGGTCATGTATTATACGATTCCATTTATATGAACTGTCCCAGATGGGCAAATCCGTAGAGATGAAATGGAGATTTGTGGTCGCCAGGGCCGGAGGTGATTGGTTAGAGGGATTCAGGAGGAGGGAGTGACTTCTAATGGTACAGGTTTTGGGGGGGAATATAAAAAAAGATTACTCTTCACAAATGTTAATATTGATTTGGGTGATGACTGCGCCACTCTGAAAATACAGCCACGTGCTGCTGTCAACATTTCAGTCAAGGAGGGACTGTGTATGCAATGGCGGTCCCATAAGATTGCAATGGAGCTGAAAACTTTTTATCACCAAGTGAGGTCACAGCCCCAGGGACGTCGTAGCTCAATGCATTCCTCACGCGTCTGTGATGCTGCTGGCCTAAACAGACCTCCTGCACTGCCAATCTAATTAAAGTCTAGCACATACAATTTTGTAGGTACATAGTACTCAATAATAAGAAAAAACTATGTTACTGGTTTATGCATTTACTATATTTTTTAGAGTATATGCCTTCTACTTATTAAAAAATAAAGAGGCTGGGTGCAGTGGCTCACGCCTGCAATCCCAGCACTTTGGGAGGCTGAGGTGGGAGGATTAGCTGAGGTCAGGAGTTTGAGACCAGTCTGGCCAACATGGTGAAACCCCGTCTCTACCAAAAATACAAAATTAGCCAGGCATGGTGGTGCATGCCTCTAAGTCCCAGCTACTTGGGAGGCTGAGGCAGAAGAATCGCTTGAACCCGGGGGGTAGAAGATGAAGTGAGTCAAGATCGTGCCATTGCACTCCAGCCTGGGTGACAAGAGCAAAACTCCGTCTCAAAATAAAATAAGAGAGTAAACTAGGGGCCAGGTGCAGTGGCTCATGCCTGTAATCCCAGCACTTCGGGATGCCAAGGCAGGTGGATCACTTGAGGTGAGGAGTTTGAGACCAGCCTGGCCAACATGGAGAAACCCCACCTCTACTAATAAATACAAAAATTAATTGGGCACGGTGGCGCGCCTGTAATCCCAGCTACCTGGGAGGCTGAGGCTGAGAATCACATGATCCCTGGAAGTGGAGGCTGCAGTGAGCCGAGATCATGCCACTGCACTCCAGCCTGGGCAACAGAGCAAGACTCCGTCTCAAAAAAAAAAAAGTAAACTGTAAAACAGCCTCAGGCAGGTCTTCCAGATGTTCTAGAGGAAGGCACTGTAATCACAGGAGATGCCAGCTCCACGCATGTTACTGCCCCTGAAGACCTTCCAGTGGGACGAGATGCAGAGGTGAAAGACAATGGTATTGAATATCCTGACCCCGCGTAGGCCAAGGCTAACGTGTGGATTTGTGTCTTAGTTTTTAACAAAAAAATTAAAAAGTAAAAAAGTCTTTGAATAGAAAAAGGCTTATGGAATAAGGATATATGGAAACAAAATGTTTGTATAGCTGACAATGTGTGTTTTAAGCTAAGTATTACTGCAAAAGAGTCAAGAGGTTTTTTGTTTGTTTTTTGAGACAGAGTCTCGCTCTGTCGCCCAGGCTGGAGTGCAGTGGCGCGTTCTTGGCTCACTGCCAACTCTGCCTCCTGGGTTCACACCATTATCCTGCCTCAGCCTCCTGAGTAGCTGGGACTACAGGCACCCGCCACCACGCCCGGCTAATTTTTTGTATTTTTAGAAGAAAGAGGGTTTCACCGTGTTAGCCAGGATGGTCTCGATCTCCTTACCTTGTGATTCGCCTCCTTACCTTGTGATTAGCCTTCCAAAGTGCTGGCATTACAGGCATGAGCCACCATGCCCGGCCAAGAGGTATTTTTTTAAAAAAATTAAAAGTTTATAAAATAAAAAAGTTACAGTAAGCTAAAGTCAATTTATTATTGAAGAAATTCTTCTAATTTTCTTTTTCTTTTTTTTTTTTTTTTTTTTGAGATGGAGTTTTGCTCTTCTTGCCCACGCTGGAGTGCAATGGTGCAACCTTGCCTCACCGCAACCTGCGCCTCCCAGGTTCAAGCGATTCTCCTGCCTCAGCCTCCAAGTAGCTGGGACTACAGGTATGTGCCACCACGCCCAGCTAATTTTGTATGTTTCGTAGAGACGGGGTTTCTCCTTGTTGGTCAGGCTGGTCTCAAACTCCCGACATCAGGTGATCCACCCGCCTCAGCCTCCCAAAGTGCTGGAATTACAGGTGTGAGCCCCCGGGACCGGGCTGTTCTATTTTTAAATTGAATCTGTGGTGCCCAGGGATGAGCAGCGTGAGGGCAGGGTATGGAACCTTCATCGCTACCTTCTCACCACCCAGCTGTCCACATCAGCACAGAACACCTACACACCCAATCTCCATCAACTCCAAGGTCTCTCGATGGGAAAGACTCACGTGAAAATCCAATGACCCCTGAACCAGACACAAGTTGCAGTGGCAGCATAAACAGCACTGGGCGTAACTAACTGGGAAGGAAGCCCCAGACTTGCTGTCCTGCCACTCAACCCAGCCTCGTTCTTCCAGCACTGCTGGAGACTGTGCCTGAATGCCTCCCTCTTCTGCAGCCCCCAGCAGGAAGGAGTCCCAAGCAGCCTTCTCTGTAGGGCACCCAGAGAGAGTGGCATCTGTGCACCCCACAGGTGGTCAGCATCCTACACAGACATCGCAGAAGAATGTAACGGAGCTTACCCAAGGCTCTGTGGGCAAGCTTCAGACCACGAGGACACCATCACGTGCAATGTCCCACATACCAGCATTTAGAGAAGCCAGATGAGGAGAGAGCATTTCTCAGAATCACATCAGAGAAAAGTGGCATGGTTCTAGGCAATGCGCTGAGATCATTTAGAACAAGGCCCACAAAATTTTCTGTAAAAGTCCAGCTGGTAACTACTCTCAACTTTGCAGAGCATGCAGTCTGTCACAACGATTCAACTCTGCCACACACAACGTGGAAAGAGATGAGCACGGCTGGGTGCCAATAAAACTTTATTCACAAAAGAGAACCCAGATTGTCAGGAAATATCACAAATTACACATCTGACCAGGGATTAGCATCTAGCATATATCAAGAACTCATACAATCCAACAACTCAAAAATAGGCAAAGAACTTGAATAGACATTTTTCTGAAGATATTCAAATAACCAATAAGCTCATAAAAACATGCTCCACATCACTAATCAATAGGAAAATGCAAACCAAAACCACAATGAAATACCACATCAACACCCCCTAGAATGGCTATTTTAAAAAACAAAAACAAAAAAAACAAACAGGCCAGGTGTGATGGCTCACACCTGTAATCCCAGCCCTTTGGGAGGCTGAGGTGGGCAGATCAGCTGAGGTCACCAGTTCAATATTAGCCTGGGCAACATGGTAAAATCCCGTCTCTACTAAACAAATAAAATAAAATAATTAGCCAGGCATGGTGGTGGGTGCCTGTAATCTCAGCTACTCGGGAGGCTGAGGTAGGAGAATCACTTGAGCCCAGGAGGCAGAGGTTACAGTGAGCTGAGATCACACCATTGCACTCCAGCCTGGGCAACAGAGCGAGACTCCATCTCAAAAAATAATTAAATTAAATTAAAAATTTACAAAAACAAAAACAGGCCAGGTGTGGTGGCTCACACCTGTAATTCTAGCACTTGGGGAAGCTGAGGTGGGTCAATTGCTTGAGCTCAGGAGTTCAAGACCAGCCTGGACAACATAGTGAGACCCCCCCACCCATCTCTACAAAAAAATTTAAAAATTAGCCAGGCATGATGGCACATGCCTGTGGTCCCAACTACTCAGGAGGCCGAGATGGAAAGGAGGATTGCTTGGGCCTGGGAGGCCGACGCTGCAGTAAGCCTTACTGTGCCACTGCAATCCAGCCTGGGTGACAGAGTGAGACCCAGTCTCAAAACAGAAACAAACAAACAAACAAACAAACAAAACAAAATACGAGTGTTGGCAAGGATGTGGGAAATTGGAACCTTTGAGCCTTGCTGGTGGGAATGTAAAATAGTATAACCGCTGTGGAAAACAGTACGGCAGTTTCTCCAAAAACTAAACATAAAAAACCATATGAACCTGCCATTCCATTTCTGGGGGTAGGTATATGCCTGAAAGAACGGGTGGATATCTTGAGGAGATATATCCGCACACCTATGTTCACAGAACACTATTCACAACAGCCAAAAGGTTGGAGCAACCCAGTGTCCACCACTGGATGAACGCATAAACAAGGTGTGGTCCATTCACAGAAGGAGTATTTCTTAGGCTTAAAAAGAAATGAAGTTCCAATACATGCTACAATGTGGATGACCCTGGAGGACATTACGTTAAGTGAAAGAAGTCAGGCACAAAATCTCACATGACCCCACTCCCATGAGGTTCCTAGAGTGGGGAAATCCATGGAGACAGAAAGTTGAATAGGGGTTGTCAGGGGCTGGGGAAGAGGAATGGGGAGGGAGGGTTCAATGCGGACAGAGTTTCAGTTTGGAAAGACGAAAAAGTTCTGGAGACGGTTGGTGGCGATGGTTGCACAGCCACATAAATGTGCTTAATGCCACTGAATGGCACACTTTAAAAATCGTGAAGATGGGCCAGGCACGGTGGCTCACGCCTATAATCCCAGCACTTTGGGAGGCTGAGGCAGGTGGATCACTTGAGGTCAGGAGTTCAAGACCAGCCTGGCCAACATGGTGAAACCCTGTCTCTACTAAAAATACAAAAATTAGCCGGGCTTGGTGGCAGGCGCCTGTAGTCCCAGCTACACAGGAGGCTGAGGCAGGAGAATCGCTTGAGCCCGGGAGGCGGAGGTTGCAGTGAGCCGAGATCATGCCACTGCACTCCAGCCTGGGCAACACAGTGAGTGAGACTCCATCTCAAAAAAAAAAAAAAAAGATGAAGATGGTAAATTCTGTATTATGTGTATCTTGCTAAGACTTTAAAAATAAAAACAAAATTTCATTTACAAAAACAAGGAATGAGCAGGATTGGACCCTCACACCACAGTCTGCCAGCTTCTGGTTGGGCACAAGGCAGTGGGTGCCCAGCAGGAGACGGTGGCCGGAGCGCAGGTGCAGAGGACAGGGTCCTCACCCCAGTCCTTCCCTGGCAAATGCCGCTTGATCCCCTGTTTCCCCACCCAGGAGGGTGCTCTGGAGCATATCCTCTTGGGTCATGTCATTAATCATTAGGGGGTGCCTGATTACACCCACAAGTGGAAAATATAATTTGAGACAATAGCAAAGAACACCTCAGGAAAAACCACATCTTCAAATTCATCTAATCTAGTGTCTTCAACAGTCAATGAGAATTGCAACATTGTCAATTAATTCCGTTACTCCTAAGTGGAACCCTTCTGCCACTAATTATGCGATACCCTGGCTGCTCACTAAATTACCCCTCGAGGGCAATTTTCCAGTTTTTTTCTGAGCAGCAAGGGGAGGTGATCGGTAGACAAGGTTAGAAACCCAGGATGTCTGCAGGTGCCTAGGCGCTGGGAGTCTCCACTGTAAAATGACGCTGCAGCCATGGCACGGGGGCGTGAGGTGCCCACAAGACAATGTTCATGATCAATGAATGGGGGTCTGAGGACATTGGGAGAGCCACTGAGGAGTAGGGTCCCTTGGTGGCTCCTGTTAGGGCGGAACTGGGACACCTGAGGAAGCAGGAGAAGCCGCTGGAGGGTGAAGCGCCCAGGTGAGCATGGCCGGGTTGGTGATTCTGGCTCACCCTTCCCTGCACCAGGACCAGCACCGCCTGGGCTTCCCAGATCATCGACATCCCCAAGAGGAAAACCCCACCCACCCCACCCCATCCAGCACCACCATCCTGCCTCCAGCCGAGGGGACTGATCTTCCCAGAAAGCAGCACAGCTCCCCTGTCCCAAGGTCACCAACTGTGTGGGCTGAAAGTGCCCTGGCCAGAAAAACAAAACTAAAACAAATTCACTCCCAGCCTTCGTGAGTTGCCCAGACAAGTTTTTCCTTCTCTCCTTCCCATTAATCGCAGCCGCCAGGGTTGCAGGGTTGCAGGGCTGCTGCTCTGGAAGCAAGCGCTCCCCATCACTTGTGAGCCAACGGCAGCTCCCGAGTGACAAGCAAAGGCTCAACCCAACAGCCTGAGTGTTCCTTTCTTACGAAGCTCCCAGAGGAGCTAAGAAGGGAGTTTCAGGGAGACAGGTCCCAGCTGTGAACCGAGGCCCAGCTGGCCGGACGCAGGCGCCTTCCAAAGGCAGAAGCGCATGCACGCCATGGTTGTTAGCTCTGCCCCAGCCCCGGGAGAGAGAATGAATAAATAGCAAGCCCCAAGTCCAAGCTCCGAGGAAGCCAAAGGCAGCTGACTGCTGACAACATCTTATGGCTCAACCCCGAGCCTGCAGGGACACGTGCTCCTTCCTGGGTGGACAGGGACTAATGTCCTTCCCTCTCTCAGTCTGCTCCTGCTCTAGGATAAAGGGGTGGACCACCTTCTCCAGCAGGGTCACACGTTCTCATATGCATCCTTGTGACACCTTTCGAGGAGGAACTGTGTACTGGGCCAGTGCTTCTGCACAAGGGACAAGTATGCAGCATCGGCCACAGACGAGGGGGACTGTGGAGGATACAGACCCAGCCCTCAGCCAAGACAGCCAGGGAAGGCAGGAGCACCCTCCACGGAGCCGTGTCACCATCCCTCCATCTGGGAGGACACTTGTCCACATCTGGGAGGTGAGTGACAGCAGAGGCTAGAGAGGGAGCTCAGAGATTTGGAGGGACATGCAGGTGCAGAGAAGGGCTTGAACATGGGGAGGGAGAGAGTCCGACTGCATTTCAGACGGGATTGGTGAGCTGTAGAGCTGGAGACAGGAAAACCAGGCAGGTGAGGCCGCCCAACTGCGATGGTGGCCAGGACCAGGGTAGTCCTGCATGGGGCCGTGACTCCGACATTCTGCTCCTGCCTGCCGCGTTTAGGACCCCAGGGTGTGCATTCTCATGGGGTGGTGGAAGGTGAAGCAGAGATAAACGATCAGCACAGCAACAGCCTTCCATATGCGTGGCTTCAGTTACCCTGAACTCAACCAACCATGCGCACATTGGAAATATTTTTTAGTTGCATCTGTACCGAACATGTACAGACATTTTTCTTGTCATTATTCCCTAAACAATACAGTATAGCAAACATTTACATATCATTTACATTGTTTAGGTATCATACACAATCTGGAGATGTTTTAAAGTATATGAGAGAAAGTACTTAGGTTATATGAAAATACTGCACCATATTAAATCAGGGACTTGAGCATCCATGGACTTTTGTATTCATGGGAGGTCCAGGAACCAATCCCCTTTGGATGCCGAGGGATGACTGTACGGCCCTTCCACAGTATTAAGATCTCATGGTGCACACAATTAGGAAAGTATATCTGACGCAGCTTCTTGGGCAGGCCCGTGCAGCTGAGAGGCCCTTCCCTGCACGGGGCACCACCAGGTACACCCCCATCCACGTGAAAATGACGGAGAGGAACTGGAAGCGCCTGCACCACTCATCTGTCTGCAGCCACACTGTCTGGGTCTGGCATGGGCACGTTGGTGAGGATAGCTCAGAAGGATTGAGAAATTGCCCACAGGGCTCTGGACCACACAGATCTGTCTTTATGGTCCCTGGTATACAAGGCCATGCCAGGAGGCAAGGGTCCTATACCAGCAGGAGCCCAGTGTGTGGTCAAGCCAAGCTGGATTCAGCCACTCAATACCCACGTGACCGTGACCAAGTATCTAACTGCTGAGAGCCTGTGTCCTCACTGAAAATGGTGGTAATTCCACTTTCTGCATGGAGCTGGTGGTAGTCAGCGTCAACGTTGATAAGATACTTGGCAGACGGGGCCTTTAAGCACATTACAGGTGAGGTGATACCAGCAAGGCACAGAGGAGGCGCTCAAGAATAGAGCCACTGAGCACCAGCCCACGATCTGCCCTCTTCAGAGCACACAGACCTGGGCTTCACTGCACCCTTCCCTGCACGTGGGCATCACGAGGCGCACCCCCGTTCATGTGAAAATGACGGAGAGGAGCTGGAAGCACCTGCACCACTCATCTGTCTGCAGCCACCCTGACTGGGTCTAGCCTGGGCACACTGGTGAGGACAGCTCAGAGCACGGTCCAGTAGCCAGAGGCATAGTCCCTTTCATATCTCGCAAGGTCACACAAGCGGGCCACCAAGGACAATGCCATCCACCCTCTTCCCACCCAAACACAAGCACAGGGCACACAGGGCCTGACAACAAGAAACTTAAAGTCCCTGGCCACAGTGCAAAGGTGGGGAGGTGGACCAAACCCAGACAGTGGCCACTGGCTTGCAGGTAACAAGGACAGGGGAAAATGTTATAACTCACCAGAGGTGTTGGGAGACTGAGCCTCACAGATGGCCTCTTAGAGCAGGAACTGTCTGTATTCTAGAGGGCCAAAGCAGGGTGCCTGGAGAGATTTCCAGACCTGTGGAGAGATAATGAGACCGGGGCATGGTCAGACACAGACTGTTGAGAGGCACATGTTAAAACTTCATGTAGATTCTGATATTTCTGTGCTAAAAACCAGGGATCGAACTTCTGCTTCCGGGCAATTGGAGTAGACACATTTTTCCCTATTCCTCACACAAAGCACAACTAAAACTCAGGATGCTGTATATAAAACAAACCTAACACTCTGCAAGGTGGAGAGAAGGCAGACCAGCCAGGGACATGGTGTGAGCTCTCTGGGTTTTCTTCTTGCCTCATACATCCCAGACGTGGTGCTGAATAAGCCAGCAACCCAGAAAAGCCAACAGGAGCAGGAACAGTACCACAACAAAAGCATATTCTCTTTAGTCGAAAGACTAGGAAAGCGGCAGCTAACAGGGCAATATATTTAGACAACAGGTCTACTCCAGCCAGACACTGCAGAAAAATCTGTGGCCTCAGCCCCACCCACAGCAGCAAAGGCCGAGTAGGGAGTCTAGATTTCCACCCTGTGTGGCTATAATGAAGCACCAAATCCCTGCCAGCGTGGCATCAAATAGAGCAACGGAAGGAGCTAGCACATTCATCCCCACCAGGCAGTAACAAATCCTCCTTTCACTCCGGCATTAGTATAGGCAGCATGGGGAGCCTGGATTTCTATGGCACCTGTCAGTAATGAGGTGACACCCCTTTCCACCTTCCCTTGTGGAAGTGGCGTCAGGAAAAGTTAGCTTACAAAAAAAGTTTAACTAAGACTAAAAGTCTCATAACATAATACAAATATGTCCAAGTTTCATTAGAAAATCACCCATCAAACCAAGGATCAGGAAGATTTCAAACTGAAAAAAAGAAAATCAATGGATGCCAACATGGAGGTGACAGAGATGTCAGGATGATCTGACAAAGAGTTGAAAGCAACCATGATGAATGCTTCCACGAACAATTAGGAACATGCTAGAAACAGATGAAATAACAGAAAGCCTCACCAGAGCAGTGCCTTTCACCAAAGATATAAAAAAGAATCAAGTGAAAATGATAGAACTGGCCGGGCACGGTGGCTCATGCCTGTAATCCCGGCACTTTGGGAGGCCGAGGTGTGTGGATCACTCAAGGTTAGAAGTTGAGACCAGCGTGGCCAACATGGCAAAACTCCATCTCTACTAAAAATACAAAACTTAGCCGGGTTGGTGGTGGGCACCTGTAATCCCAGCTACTCAGGAGGCTGAGGCAGGAGAATCACCTGGACCCAGGAGGTAGAGGTTGCAGTGAGCTGAGATCATGCCATGCACTCCAGCCTGGGCAACAAGAGTGAAACTCCATCTTACAAAAAAAGAAAAGAAAATGATAGAACTAAAGAATACAGTAACTGTAATAAAAGACTCAGTGGATGGACTCAACAGCAGAATGGAGGGGACAGAGGAAATAATCAGTGAACTGGAAGACAGAACAACAGACATTATCCCAACTGAACAATAGAGTGAAACAGACTGAAAATAAATAAACAGAGTCTCAGGGAGTTATGGGACAATAATAAAATACCTAACTTTAAATGTTTGAAATCCCAGAAGGAGAGAGAAGAGAGGGAGGGTCTGAAAAAGTACTCAAAATGTCCCAAATTTGCTGAGAGATATAAACCTACAGATTCCAGAAGCTGAACGAATCCCAAATAGGATAAACCCAAGAAAATTCACACCAATATACATCAGAATTAAACTTCTGAACACTAAGAAAAAATATTGAAAACATGCAGAGAAACCAATACTTACATTTCTCATCAGAAACTGTGGAGACCAAAAGAAAGTGGCACAGTAATTTTCAAGTGATGAAAGAAAAGTATTCTCAATCCATAATTTTATACCAACAAAAATATCCTGTAAGAATGAAAGGAAAATTAAGATAGTCTCAGATGAAAGGAAACAAAGGAAATTTGCCACTGGCAGACCTATTCTAAAAGAATAGCTAAAAAGAAGCCTTTCTAAATAAAAAAATAATAATAAAAGAAGGAGTTTTGGAACATTAGGAAGGAAAAAAGTATGGTAAGCAAAATGTTTGGCAAATATAATAGGCTTTCCTTCTCAAGTTTTATAGATTATATTTGATGGTTGAAGCAAAAATTACAACATAATCTATGTGGTTCTAAATATATAGAGCAAATATTTAACAAGTATAAATGGAGAAGGGTAAAGAGACAAAGAAGATTGTATATTTCACTCAAACTGGTATTACAATAGATGATAAAATTAAGTATACATGATATAATGCCTAGAGCAACCACTTAAAAAGCTATACAAAGAGATATACTCATAAACACTACAGATGAATCAAAATGGAACCCTAAAAAATGTTTAAAAATGTTCAAATAACCCACAAGAAGGCAGGAAAAATAGAAACATGAAAACCTGAAATAACAAATGTAAGGCCTAATGTATCAATAATTGCATTAAATGTAAATGGTCAAAATATACCAGTTAAAAGACAGAGATTGGCAGAGTAGATTTTAAAAGATACAATTAAATGAGGTCTATAAAAATTTGCTTCAAATATAATGCCATAGGTAGGATGAAAGTAAAAGGATGGAATAAGATACCTTATACAAACAGAAGTCAAAAGAAAGCAGTCATGGCTATGTTAATATTAGATAAAGTAGACTTCAGGGCAAAGAAAATACCACAAAGAGAACATTACATAATGTAAGAGAGGACTCCACCAAGAAGACATAGTTATTCTAAACGTGTACCAAACAACAGAGGAGCAAAATACATGAAGCAAAAATGGATAGAACTGAAGAAAGAAGACATAAATCCACACTTATAACTGAATACAACTTTAACAAACCTTTCTCCACAATTGATAGAATAGGACAGGAAAATCAGCAAGGATACAGAACTCAGTAATATACCCAATCAACAAGATCAAAGTGATAGTTGTAGAACCTTCCTCCACTGTACTACAGCAGAATTCACATTCTTTTCAAGTGTTCATGAAATTTATAGCATATATTAGAAAAGAAGAACAATCTCAAATCAAATTCTAAGTTCCTACCTCAAGAAGCTAGCAAAAGGAGACCCAAACAAACCCAAAGCAAGCAGAAGGAAGAAAATAATAAACATATGAGTGGGAAAAAATGAACAGGAAACAGAAAAACAACAGAGAAAATCAGTGAAACAATAAGCTGACTCTTTGTAAAAGTCAATGCAATTGACAAAACTCTAGCAAGACTGACCAAGAAAAAAAAACAACACAAATTACCAATACCAGGAATTAAATAGGAGACACCATTAAAGACCCTGCAGACATGAAAAAGATACTAAGGGAATACTAAATCAGCTCTACACACATAAATTTGACAATGTAGATGAAATAAAGCAATTATTCAAGAAATACAAACTACTTCACCTTGCCCAATTTGAAAAAGGTAATTTGAATCATTTCCTACAACTATTAAGGGAAGTGAATTCATAATTTTTAAACTCCAGTTTTTTTGAGAAAAAGAAATCTTTAGACCTAAATGAGTTCACTGGAGAATTCTATGAAATGCTTAAAGAATAATTAATACTAATTCTACACAATTTCTTCCAGAAAGTAGAATAGGAGAGAACATTTCTTAATTTATTTTATGGAGCAACTACTACCTTGATACCAAAGCCAGAGAAAATGAGCACAAAAAGAAGATTACAGGCTGGGTATGGTGGCTCATGCCTGTAATCCCACCACTTTGGGAGACCGAGGCGGTTGCATTACCCGAGGTCAGGAGTTCAAGGCCAGCCTGGCCAACATGATGAAACCCTGTCTCTACTAAAAATACAAAAATTAGCTGGGCCTTGTAGTGGGTGCCTGTAATCCCAGCTATTCGGGAGGCTGAGGCAGGAGAATCGTTTAAACCTAAGAGGCGGAGGTTGCAGTGAGCTAAGATTGTGCCATTGCACTCCAGCCTGGGCGACAAGAGTAAGACTCCATCTCAAAAATTAATTAATAATTTTTTAAAAAAGAAGATACCTTATACAAACGTAAATCAAAGGTCTTCATGAATATAGACACAGAAATCTTTAACAAAGGAGTAACAAATAGAGTTCAGCAATATATCAAAAGAATTATATACCATGACTAAATGGCATTTATTCTAGGGATGCCAGGCTGTTTCAATATTTTTTAAAAAAATCAATCAATGTAATCTACTATTATCAACAGAAAAAAAGATCATATCAATCAATGCAGAAAAAGCATTTAACAAAATTCAGCATCTTTCTTTGAGAAAAACTCTCCCCAAAACAAGATGGGAATTTCCCCCACTTGATAAAGAACATCTGCGAAGAAACATGAGCCAAGATTCACCAAATAAAAACAAAATGCTTTCCCCATATGATCAGGACCAAGGCAAAGATGCCTGCTCTCACCATTCTTACTCAACATAGAGCTGGATGTTCTAGCAAGTGTAATATGGCAAAAAAACAAACAAACAAAGATTGGAAAAGAAGGAACAAAATTGTCCCTATTTGCACACAGCATGAAAAATCACAAAGAAACAACCATAAAACCCCAAAACCTCCTGGAAATAATAAATGAGTTGAGCAAGGTCACAAGACACCAGATCAACATATTAAAATCAATTGTATTCTCTAGCAATAATCATGCAGATAGCAAAATTAAAGATACAATATCACTTATACTTGCTCAAAAAATGAAAGAGTTGGCTGGGCGCAGTGGGTCATGCCTGTAATCCCAGCACTTCTGGGAGGCCGAGGTGGGTGGATCACGAGGTCAGTAGATAGAGACCATCCTGGCCAACATGGTGAAACCCCGTCTCTATTACAAATACAAAAATTAGCTGGTGCATGCCTGTAATCCCAGCTACTCAGGAGGCTGAGGCAGGAGAATAGCCTGAACCAGGGAGTTGGAGGTTGCAGTGAGCCAAGACTGCACCACTGCACTCTAGCCTGGCAACAGAGTGAGACTCCATCTCAAAAAAGAAAAAAAAAAAAAAAAAGAAAAAGAAAAGAAAAGAAATAGGTATAAACCTAACAATACATATTCAGGAACTGTATGCTGAAAGCTATGCAACACTGATGAAAACAAATCAAAGATCTAAAAAAATTGAGAGACATACCCTGTTCATGGATTGGAAGACTCAACATAGTCAGAAGGTCAATTTTTCCCAAACTGATGTGCAGGTGATGATGATGAACACAATTCCAGTCAAAATCTCAGCAAAATTTTTTTGTAGATATGGACAAGATTATTCAGCACTTTGAGAGGCCAAGGCAGATGGATCACTTGAGGTTAGGAGCTCGAGACTAGCCTGGCCCAACGTGGTGAAACCCCATCTCTACTAAAAACACAAAAAATTAGCCAGGTGTGGTGACGCACACCTGTAAGCCCAGCTACTTGGGAGGCGGAGGCAGGAGAATCACTTGAACCTGGGAAGCAGAGGTTGCAGTGAGTTGAGATGCCACTGCACTCCAGCCTCCAACCTGGGCAACAGAGCAAGACTCTGCCTTAAAAAAAGCTGAGTGCAGTGACTCACGCCTGTAATCCCAGCACTTTGGAAGGCCAAGGCGGGTGGATCACGAGGTCAGGATATCAAGACCACGGTGAAACCCCATCTCTACTAAAAATACAAAAAATTATCTGGGTGTGGTGGCGGGCACCTGTAGTACTAGCTACTCGGGAGGCTGAGGCAGGAGAATGGCGTGAACCCGGGAGGTGGAGATTGCAGTGAGCCGAGATCGTGCTGCTGCACTCCAGCCTGGGCAACAGAGTGAGACTCTGTCTCAAAAAAAAAAAAAGAAAGTATATGGAAAGGCAAAAGAACTAGGAAAACTAACAGTTTGCAAACAAAAAAAAAAATGGGAGGAAATCAGTATACTCAGCTTCAAGATTTATTATACAGTATAGTAATCAAAGCTGTGTGGTTCTGGTGGAGGGACAGGCACATAGCAATAGAACTCAATACAGAGCCCAGAAAAAACCCACACAAATATGCCCAACTGATTGCTGATGAAGGTGCAAAAGCCACTCAATGGAGGAAGGACTGTCTTTTCAACAAACGATGCTGGAGCAATTGGACATCCATCAGCAAAACAATGAACATCAACCTAAGGGTCATGCCTTATACAAAAATTAATTCAAAATGAATCATGAACTTACATGTAAAATACAAAACTACAACTCTTAGAAAAAATGGGAGAAAATCTTCAGGATCTAGAGACAGGAAATGAGTTCATAGACCCAATGTAAAAAGCACAATCCACATACAAAAATATTGACAAATAGGTTCTCATCCAAATTAAAAACTTTTGCTCTGAAAGACCTGCTGAAAGGAGAAAAACACAAACCATAGAGTGGGAGAAAAATGTCTGCAAACCACATATTTAACAAATAATTCGAAATAATATGTGTCTAGAATAAAGAACTCTCAAAGCTCAACAGTTAAAAAAATGACAATCCACTTAAAAGAGCAAAAGATAGAAAAAGACATTTTTCAAGAGGATATACAGATGGCAATAAGCACATGAAAGATGTTCAACACACCAGCTATTAAAGAAATGCAAATAAAACAAATATGACCATACACCTATCAAAACAGCTAGAATGAAAAATGGTGACACCAATTGCTAGTAAGAAAATAAAGAATCACATTGCCGGTGGAAAACCTGGATCTTACACGTTGCTGGTGGAAATACAAAATGGTACAGACATTACAGAAAACAGTGTAGCAGTTCCTTAAAAACCTAAATATGTAACTCCCATGTGACCCAAAAACCACACTCCTAGGCATTCGTCCCACAGAAATTCAGACTTATGTTTACGGGCCAGGTGCAGTGGCTCACACCTGTAATACCAGCACCTTGGGAGGCCAAGGTAGGTGAATCGCTTTGACCCCAGGTGTTCAAGACCAGCCTGGTCAAGGTAGCGAAATCCAGTCTCTACTAAAAATACATAAATTAGCTGGGCATGGTGGCATGTGCCTGTAGTCTCAGCTACTTGGGAGGCTGAGATGGGAGGATGGCTTGAGCCGGGGAGACAGAGCTTGCAGTGAGCCAAGATCATGCCACTGCACTCCAGCCTGGGTGACAGGGCCAGGTGTCTTCAAGGAAAAAAAAAAAAGACAAAGAAACCTATACACTAATGTTTATAGCAGCTTTATTCATAATAGCCAAAAACTGCAAACCACCCAGATAGCCTTCAGAAGCTCAATGGTTAAACAAACGGATACATCCACACCATGGAACATTACTCAGCAATAAAAAGGGAAGAACTCTTGATACACAAGACCTGGGTGACTCTCTAGAAAGTTGTGCTGACCAAGGAGGGGAAAGCCAATCCCAAAAGGCTACTTACTGTGTGATTCCATTTCTGTATAATTACTGAAACGACAAAATTACAGAGATGGAGAACAGATGAGTGGTTACCAGGGCTTATAGAGCAAGTAGGGGTGGAAGGAAGTGTGTCAGGCCATAAAAGGGCACCATGAGGGGTCCTGGTGTGGACAGCAGCATTTGAATCTCGACCGCGTCAACATCAGCATCCCGGCCAATACTATCGTACTGACCCAGGACGAGACTATGGGGGTAAACTGGGTATATCTCTGAACTATTTCTTACAACTGCAATCATCTTAAAAATATAGTTGGCCCTTAAGCAACACAGGTTTGAACTTCTCAAGTCCTCTTACACGTGGATATTCTCCCACCTCTGCCGCCTCTGAGAAGGCAAGACCAACCCCTTCTCCTCCTCCTCCTCTTTCCCCCCTCCTCTCCTCCTCCTCCTCCTCCTCTTCAGCCCACTCAACATGAAGACAATGCAGATGAAACCTTTACTACGATCCACTTCCACTCAGTGAGGAGTGAATGTATTTTCTCTTCTTTATGATTCTCTTAGTAACATGTTCTTTTCTCTACCTTATTTAAGATAAGGTTATTTGTTTGTATAACATACAAAACATGTGTTAATGGACTGTTTATGTTATCTGTACGATTTCCAGTAAATAGTAGGCTATCAGTAGTTACATTTTGGGGGAGTCACAAGTTATACCTGGACTTTTGACTGTGTGGGAGTTGGAACCCAACCTCTCCATTGTTCAAAGGTTAACTGTAAAAATTTTAAGTCTTTTTAAAAGCACACTGTGGAAAACAAAAGAACAAAACTTTCACACAGCTTCAATGAGAGGCAGCAATTTCACTCCTAGGCATACAACTAAAAATAATAAAACATACATCCACACAAAAACATGTAGGCCAGCCACAGTGACTCACACCTGTAATCCCAGCACTTTGGGGGGCCGAGGTGGGAGGGTGGCTTGAGCCCATAAGTGTGAGGCCAGCCTGCAGGTACAGGAGACCCCATCTCTACCAAAAAAAAAAAGTGTATATGAATGTTCACGGCAGCATACCTCATAACAGCCCAAAAGTGGAGGTAACCCCAACATCCCTAAGCTGAGGAATGCATAAACATCTTGTGGTCCAGCCTTAAAATGGAACGTGATTCAGCCATCAAAAAGAATAAAGGCCTGACCCAGGCTACAACACGGATGAACCTCGGTAACACGATGCTAAGTGAAAGAAGCCAGTCACAAAGGATCCCATTTTGCACGATTCCATTTACGTAAGATGCTCAGAATGGGCAAACTCACCAAGACGGGAGACAGATTAGTCGTTGCCAGGGGCTGGGAAGAGGAGGGAAGATCAGAGTGGGGAGCAATGCTGATGGTTTTGGCGTCTTTATTGGGGGAATAAACATGTTCCTAAATCGACTCCGATGGTTGCACAATCTCCCTAATTTACTAAAAAACACGGCACTGCAGGTTTTCAAAGGGTGAATCACAATGTTATGTAAATTATATCTCAACAAATTCTCTAAGAAATCCGCAACTGGGTTCTAGGAAATTTTAACGGCATCTGTTAAAGGGGGATGCTCCTTCCCCCAGTAGCGAATAACTGAATTACTGAACTATTTAAAATGTTGGCCTGCAGGCCAGACACAGTGGGTCATGCCTGTAATCCCAGCACTTTGGGAGGCTGAGGCGGGAGGATCACTTGAGGTCAGCAGTTAGAGACCAGCCTGACCAACATGCAAAACACCATCTCTACTAAAAGTACAAAAATTAACTGGGCGTGGTGGTGCACGTCTGTAATCCCAGCTTCTCGGGAGGCTGAGGCAGGAAAATTGCTTGAACCCGGGAGGCAGAGGCTGCAGTGAACCAAGATCATGCCACTGTACTCCAGCCTGAGCAACAGAGCAAGACTCGTCTCAAAGATAAATAAATAAATAGAGCCGGGAGTGGTGGCTCATGCCTGTAATCCCAGCACTTTCAGAGGCCGAGGTAGGCGGATCATGAGGTCAGGGATTTGAGACCAGCCTGGCCAACATAGTGAAACTCCCTCTCTACTAAAAAAAAAAAAAAAAAAAAAAAAAAATATCAGCTGGGTGTGGTGGTGCGTGCCTGTAATCCCAGCTACTCAGAAGGCTGAGGCAGGAGAATTGCTTGAACCTGGGAGGCGGAGGCTGCAGTGAGCCAAGACCATGCCATTGCACTCCAGCCTGGGCAACAGAGCAAGACTCATCTCAAAAATAAATAAATAAATAAATAAATAAATAAATAAATAAATAACAACAAAATGTTAGCCTGCAGATGCACCTCTATTTTTGGAGGTGCTCATCACTCTTACAGAGGTGGAAACCATCATTGTGAGGAGTTCTGAAACAGCTCTGGGACCCACAGGAAATGCCCCCCGCCCCAGACTGGTCCTCCACGTGCTGGACTCCGAGTCGGGGGGCCTGTCTGTAGGCAGCCAGACCCAGCCTGCCCGAGCCTCGGTCCCCTTTTCTGGAAGGTGCCACAAAGCAGGGGCCTGGTCTCTGGAGCAGCCCACCTTGCCTGACCCCAGCCCCTTCCATGCCTTCCCCACTGCCCGCATTCGAGCTAAGTCTGCGTCCTCTTCTGTCAAGGAGGGATGAGTGACCACACTCATTCCAGAGTCCCGGGCACTGGAGGAGCATGGCCGGGTGGTCCTGCTGCCCCACAGGCACCCCATGAACGGAGGGAGGAAATGTCACACCCTCCCCCTCTAATATTCGAAACATGTATACAAATGTTCACAACAGCACATTTTACAACAGCCAAAACCCAGAAAGAACAAAACACCCACCCACACACAATGGAGACACGAAACATGAGCTACCGTACAACGGAGTATCTCCAGCCATAAAAAGGAAGGAGGCACTGATCCACGCTACAACACGAATCATCCTCTGTGGGATAAGAAATACACTGGGCTTTGTCCCCAGTTCCCAGCACAGAGATCCTAATACCCTTAGAATTTCCTGAGTAGCAGAAGTGAGTCCCTTTTGACCCCACTGGAGCTTATGCTAATGAGGTGACTTAGGGTGGGGGGCCCCAGTCTCAGACTGGGACTGGTCACCAGGAACACAGGTGTCTAAGAAGGTGGGAACTTCTGGCCCCACTAGCTGAGCTCCGGAAGGTACCGGAGATTAAGCTCTATAAAAACTCTTGCACAGGACGGGCACGGTGGCTCACACCTGTAATCCCAGCACTTTGGGAGGCCGAGGCAGGTGGATCACCTGAGGTCAGGAATTTGAGACCAGCCTGGCCAACATGGTGAAACCCTGTCTCTACTAAAAATACAAAAATTAGCCAGGCATGGTGACATGCACCTGTAATCCCAGCTACTCGGGAGGCTGAGGCAGGAAAATCACTTGAACCCAGGAGGCAGAGGTTGCAGTGAGCCAAGACCATCCAATGCACTCCAGCCTGGGCAACAAGAGTGAAACTCTCTCTCGGGGAAAAAAAAAAAAACGTTAACTTTATGTTACCTGTATTTTACCTCCATAAAGGAACTAAAAAGAACCTCTCATTCTCGACGGCTCACAAGGGTTCAGGATCCACTTCATGGAGCAAGGGGAAAACACTGAAGGCAAAAGGCCACCATGTACAGGCATGCAGCAGGGACAGAAGAGCCTCCGATCTTCAGTTTTTGTCAGAAGCCACCTCCTGAGGTCTATGTGACACAGCCTGTGGGGAGTGGCTGCCGTGACGATGGGCACACACTCTCTCACATGTGTGTGTACACCATCTCCCATCCTGCCGGCTGCCTTTGCTGAAGTCTGTGCCAGAAGCAATGTGACTTTATCAGATGCACCCATTCTCCTGCTGAGAAAACTGAGGCCAGACCAGCAGGTGCTGGCGGCAGAGCCAGGACCAGGAGGAAGCCAGGCTGGCCATTCCGTTCTTCCTGCTCAGCCTCCTCCGCCCCCTCCATGGACACTGTTTGTTTCAAAGGCAGGACCGGACTGAGGGTGATGTTGCTCGGGACCCGTCTCACCATCCATAGAACACTCCTCATTCTCCACATCCCCAGCTCAATGGCCAGAGAAGGCAACGGGGCAGACTGAAATTAGCTTATCAACACACACCATGCAAAATTATTCAGGAACAAAATTTAAAAATGCATTATGCCTCCTGGTTGAACCACAAAATGCTGTGACCAGTAAAAGCATCAAAACCCAACATGAGGGCGGGCGTGGTGGCTCATGCCTGTAATCCCAGCACTTTGGGAGGCTGAGAAGGCTGGCAGATCACTTAAAGTCAGGAGTTCTAGACCAGCCTGGCCAACATGGTGAAACCCCATCTCTACCAAAAATATAAAAATTAGCCATGTGTGGTGGCATGCACCTATAGTCCCTGCTGCTCCAGAGACTGAGGCAGGAGAATTGCCTGAACCTGGGAGGTGGAGGTTGCAGTGAGCCGAGATCACGCTCAGCTTGAGCCTGGTTCCAGTAGGCAACTTACAGAACCATGACCTAAATAAATCAGGGTCAGCAAGAGACCGCCTATGGGCCAATTCTAGCCCAGGCCTGTTTTTATAAGTAAAGTTTTACTGGAATACAGCTGTGTCCATTCCCTCATGTATTGCCTTTGACTGCTTTTTTGGAGACAAACTGTACAGCACATAAGCACAACATTTTTACTCCAGCCTGGTTGATAGAGCGAGACTCTTGTCTCAAAACAAACTTACTTTAGCTTGGGTGACACAGTGAGACTCCATCTCAAAACAAACAAATAAACAAAACCCAATGTGGCACCTATGAGGTCTTTCTGTGCCCAGAGGGCAACACTGCAGGCAGCGGCCGGGAGGGACTTGGCGCAGGTGGGACTGCGCTGCGGGCCTGGGAGGCTGTCACAGTAATGGCTCCAATCAGTCATACCTCCTGGATCTAGCATTTTGGGAAGTCTTCTCCCACAGTGACCCTGGAAATGGTCACCGTTCGCTCTGGCCACATCAATAAACCCGAGGGGACTGCAGCAAATGTGATGCAAGCAAATACTGCAGACCATGGCATCCTGAAGCTCCCCCTCTTGCTGCCCTTGGGAGCCCAGAACCACCAAGTAGCCAGTGGGCAATAAGGACTGAGTCCAGGGACTGAGCCCGGCTGTAGTGGGCAACTTGCAGAACCATGAGCTAAATAAATCAGGGTTGGCAAGCGACTGCCCAGGGGCCAATTCTAGCCCCAGCCTGTTTTTATAAGTAAAGTTTTTATTGGAACACAGCCATGCCCATTCCCTCATGTATTGCCTTTGACCACTGTTTTGGAGAGACACTGCACAGCACGCAAGCACGACATATTTACTATCCAGCCCTGAAATGAACAGGTGTTTTACCCTTTGTCTGGGGTGGTCTGTTATGCAGCAAAGGTTAACTAACACGACCCTCAACTTAACAGTGGCTTATTAGATAGCTGTCGTTATCTCCAACCTAAAGATCACAAAGCCGAGGGCTGCAGCGAAGGATCCAGTCACTTGCCCAGATCACATCGTGGCACTTACAGGGAGGTTCCGGCAAAGCAGGAGTTAATCCTGTTTGTCTAACACCAAAGGCCCCAAGCCCACCACAATGCAGGCTTTATAGGAGGGCCCCTAACTGAATCACTAGCTGTAGAGCCTACCCCATCTCCCCTTCCCAGGCTCCCCACCTCCTCTCTCTCTCTTTGGTAAAAGACGGCAGGATGAGATTTCTGATGAACAAAGGTTCATCCATGTTAGGAAAAGCCACTGAGGGCCACGAAGGCCGAAAAGGATGAACACACACCACTACCCAGGCTGGGGTGTGGTAGAGCAGCCCAGCCACCTGGAGTTCCCATGGGATAAGGGGGCCCCCTCCCAAGGGGCTCTCCCTGTGACACACAGACTCACCTCTGTCCCCAGGCCCTGCATACATGCACACACGGACTGAGGGTGGGACTCAGGGGGCCCCCAATGTTGCCGATGTCCCTTGCAAGAGCTGGGAGGCTGCTGCTGGGCACCCCATCATCCTGAATCCCTGAACCCTACGCACTCATGATGCCCACGTGGGAGGCTCTGCAGAGAACAGGTGGAGACCCCAGCATTCCCTGCTCTGCCTGTAACAGGACCTGTGTGCAAACCTGAGGTCTCAACAGGCCAGTGGGCAGCCCTGACAAGACAGGCACTTTATAGACCCAACAATCCAACACAGATAATGCAAACATCACCACTAATGACAGTAAGAACAGTTGGCGGTACGTGGATGCTTACCATAGTCTCAGCTTTACATAAATTACCTTATTTAATGCTCACAGCTACCTGAGATATGTTAGTACCCTCATTTCAAGGATAAGAAAACCAAGGCCCAGAGAGGCCAACTGGCCTGTCCAAGGTCACACAGCAACACAGCAGAGCTGCTCTGCACCGCAACGTACCACTTACTGAAGCAAGGAAAATGAACCCAACACTCCCCAAAGCCCAAAGATGTCGAGGTAAGAGCGGAGAGGCCAGAGGCCCCTCCTGGCCAGTGCTATGCTCCCTCTGTGGCCCAAATTCTCCAGGCAGATCACCCATCACCACAGCCTAGAGAACAGTGTGCTGAAACACAGTGACACTCAACTCTGCTGGGCAAATGCACTGTCTGTGGCCAGAGCTTGCTCGAGTCAATCAGCAGAAGCGTTGAAGAGCTGGGGCCCTCTGTGTCCTCTCTGTCCCTATGCTGACTGCACCTGCCACAGAGGACTCTCCCCAGAAGAGGAGCTGTCCAGACACACAGTCACAGGGACAGACTTCATTCATGGGAAGATGTAGGGGTGGGTTGCCCCTACACACCTGTGGGTGTTTCTCGTAAGGTGGGACGAGAGATTTGGAAAAGAAAAAGACACAGAGACAAAGTATAGAGAAAGAAATAAGGGGACCCGGGGAACCCAACTCACGGTTTCACAAGCATTTTGTTCACAAATGCTCAGGGGTCTTGAGCAAGGACTGGCTGTCAACAGATGACCGGGAGGGGCCGCCAGGCAGGCCAAGAGGGAGGACTCACTGGAGTGAAGGAGATTAAATGCTCCCATCCCTTTCTGTTCTACTGGTTGTAACACGCAACATGCTACATGGGCTCAAAGCCCCAGCCAATGCACCTCTCTGGAGCTCAGTTTCCCCTTCGGTGAAATGGGCATTAAAATACTCCCAGAGAGCAACTGGTGATTCCATGAGACCATATGCACAAAGCTCCTGGCTCACAGCAGGTACTGAAATGTCCTCCAACAATGTCTGCAGATAATACGTTAATAATGATAATGATGATGACTGACTAAGCTACCTACAAAGATACAGGTCACTCTATGTTATTACTGCACTGTTAATGGTAAAAAAATTTTTTTTTTTGAGACAGGGCCTCACTATGCTGCCCAGGCTGGAGTGCATTGGCACCATCTCAGCTCACAGCAGCCTCGACCTTTCCAGGCTCAGGTGATCCTTCCACATCAGCCTCCCGAGAAGCTGGGACTACAGGCACACACCACCATGCCCAGCTAATACTTGTTTTTTGTTTTGTCTTGTTTTCTAGAGACAGGGTTTTGCTGTATTGCCCAGGCTGGTCTCAAACTGCTCTTAAGCAAGCCACCTACCCACATCGGCCTCCCAGGGTGCTGGGACTACAGGCATGAGCCACCATACCTGGCCAAGAAGTCATTTTTGCCTCTACATGTGGAGTGTCCTGCAGCTGGCTGGATGGTCTGTGACCTCAGAGGCATTTCCTTTCGTTCAGAAAATCACCCAACCCACCCCAGGCCACTAAGCCCACCAGGCACAGGCTACGTCTCGCAGGGCGTCTGCCAGGTGTCTCAGGCAACCACACATCCCCGGGAGCTGGGCAAACACCAGGCAGTGGCCAGAAAGCCGTCTGAATATCCAAGGGTCTCCATGAATGTTCAATAGTAATATGATACTAATTCTAGACTGCTTCTGGTAAGAACCTCGTTCTTCGGGAGAATGAACTCCAGAAGCTATTTAACCAGGCTTGGTCTACAAAGAGCCTGCCACGGGGTACTTGGAGGCTTGTCAGGATAGGGATTCTCGGATCCAGCATAAAACCTGCTGAAAACCCGCTGCGGGACCCAGACACGGTGTATCTTCTCCCGAGGTCCATTGTTCTCCAAGAGGTTTGGACCTGGACTTTCCAGAGCCAGCAGTGCAGAACCCTGATTAATTCTCAATGAGCTCTGGGGTCCTGCCCACACTCGGGTCTCTCTGAGTGACAAGCCGTGACAAGCTGTCCTAGTCCATCTTCTCTCCCTAGCCCCTCTCCTGTTCCTCCAAACAGAGTCTTTGCTGCTAACTCAAAGGAAGCACATCAGCAGGAAGGGGGCTCCCTTCAAGGGTGAGAAGGTGGCGGTGGAGGCGGGGACACTGCAGGCCAGGGGGCCAAGCAAGAAGGGGCAGACCCCAGCCCCTAGAGAATGAAGGTTACAAATCCAGGCTGCCCCATAGCAATATAATTGGAGTCACAAATGTAATTTTAAATTTCCTAGGAGACACATCAAAAAAATAAAATGGGCTGGGCATGGGGGCTCATGCCTGTAAATACCAACACTTTGGGAGGCTGAGGTGGGAGGATCGCTTGAGCTCAGGAGTTTGAGGCCAGCCTGGGCAACACAGGGAGACCCCTCTAAAAAAACAATTAGCCAGGTGTGGTGGTGTGCACCTGTAGTCTGTGTGTCTGTGGTCCCAACTCCTTGGGAGGCTGAGGTGAGAGGATTGCTTGAGCCACGGAGGTCCATTCAGAAAATGGAAAGCTGAGTGGTCGATGAACCGGAACTGGGAGCAGCTTTCTATGAATCAGAGAAAATGCAAGTTAAAAGGAGACACCATTTCCCACGCATTAGACTGGTAAATATCAGGAAATACCAAGTCTTGCTGAGGAGGAGGGGCCCAGGGAGTTCTCACACCATGTGGGTGGGATTGTAACTTGGTACAACCCCTGGGAAAGCAATTTGAGAACACTGGTGAAAGCTAGCTCTGTGCACGGTGAAAGCCCCGGGCTAGGCAACTTCTCCTCTAAGGAGGTACCCGGGGAAGCCCCGCCAGCCCTGCATAGAAGAATGTTCCCTGCAGCACAGTCTGAAAGAACAAGATCCTGAAAACAACCCAAATGTCAACAGGAAGAGAAAGAATAAAATGCGGTTAACCATTCCATAGAATGTATAAACTGAGCTACATGATCAACTCAGGGTGGATTTTTTTAAGTGACTATTAAGGAAACATCAAGGCAAAGCTTCCAGCGAGCGGGAAGTGCCCGGAAGCCCCGCTTCCCCTGCCCCACACAGGCGACCCAAGGCCCCATGGGACAAACAAACACGTACCTTCGCCAGCAACTGCATATGAGATCAGCAAATGACCCATTGCACAATCAGCCTGCGTTTAAGATCATGAGGCAACCGGAAAGCATCTAATCAGTTAATCAGCTACATTTTGCAGGAGACACTCTCCCCCCTGCTACTGTCTCTGGTCCCTGTTTTTCTTGGGATCCAGCTCTAGGCTGGGGCTGAACCCACAAAGATGAGACACCCCCACCAGGTTCCCAGGGAGCAGCACCTTGCCTCACTGGAAGACACCAGACATGGGAAGGAGTCATGTCCCACAATTTCTCCCACACTCAGGGTCACCCCTACTTTCTCCTGAGACCCATGAAGAAAGGTGGGGCCTCCTTCTGTGAGAAAGCAGCCTAGGCTGGAGCGAGTGGGTAAAAGATCTCAGCTTTAGTATCTCAAGACCAGACGGGCCTGGGGCTGGACGCTGCTTTTGAAGGTGTTTTCTAAAAGCAAGGACTCAAGATACTTGCACAACCATGTTCGCAGTAGCATTATTCACAACAGCCAGAGGGTGAAGCCACCCAGGTCCTCAAGGATGGATGAATGTATAAACAAAATGTGGCCCATCCACACAATGGAATATTACTCAGCCACAAAAAGGAAGGAAATTCTGACACACGCTACAACATGGATGAGGCTTGAGAACATTATGCTGAGTGAATTAAGCCAGACTCAAAAAGACAAACACTGCATGATTCCACTTGGATGAGGTCCCTACAGAAGTCAAAGAGACAGAAAACAGACTGGTGGTCGCCAGGGGCTGGGAGAAGGGGGCTGGTTTGCTAGTGTTTAGTGGGGACGTAGTTTCAGTTCTGCAAGCTGAAGAGTTCTACAGATACATGGTGACGATGGCTGCAGAGCACGATGAGCATCCTTAATGCCTCAGAACTACACACCTAAAAATGGTGAAAAGGGTAACTTTTTATGTTATAGGTATTTTGCACAATTTATAAAATGTGCATTGGGAAAAAAAGTGCTCTCAATTTCCACTGAACTCTTCCTGTATCACACACCGCTTCCTTTACCTCCTTTAAGTGTTTGCTCAAGGACCGCTACCTCAATGCAGCTCACCCCGACCATCCTGCTAAAACAGCAGCCCCCCTGGCTCCCAGCCCCCACCAGCAAGCTCTCCTTTCCTCCCACACTACATCACTGCTTATTTATGATCTCCTTTAATTATTGTTTGCTCCCCTGGCGAGGATGTCGACCCTACAAGGGCAGAAATATTTGTCTGTCTGGTTCACTGTTGTATCCCAGAGTCTAGAGCAGCCTAGCAGACACCTGCAGCACATGCCACAAAAGACGGCAGAATACTCATTCTTCTCAAGGGCACGTGGAACATTCTCCAGGAGAGGCCTCATGCCCGGCTATAAAACAGCCTCATTAAACATCAGCAGGACTGAAATTATACAAATAATGTTCTCCAACCACAATAGAATGAAATTCGAAATTTATTTTACAAATGCACAAATATGTGGAAATTAAACAGACATCTAAATAGCCAATGGGTCAGAGAATAAACCACGGGGAAATTGGAAAACACTTTGAAACGAGTGAAAAAGAAGACAAAACACATCAAAACTTATGGAATACAACTAAAGCAGTACTTAAAGGAAATTCAGATCTGTAAATGTCTATGTTAAAAAGAAGAAAAATCTCAAATCAATAACCAAAACCTTCCACCTTGTGAGAGTCAGAAAAAGAACGGGAAACTGAAACTGAGCTAGCAGAAGGAAGGAAATAATAAAGGTTAGGGCTGAAGTTAATGAAATCTAAGCTAGAAAAGCAATAAAGAAAATCAATGAAACTACAAGTTGGTTATTTGAAAAGATCAACGAAATTTACAAACCTGAGCTGAAATGATCAAGAAAAGAAGGGAAGACTCAAATTACCAAACTCAGGAATGAAAGAAGGGACATTATTACCAACTTACAGAATTAAAAGGAGTCAGGCCGGGCGTGGTGGCTGATGCCTGTAATCCCAGAACTTTGGGAGGCTGAGGCGGGCGGATCACGAGGTCAGGAGATCAAGACCATCCTGGCTAGCACGGTGAAACCCCGTCTCTACTAAAAATACAAAAAAATTAGTTGGGCCTGGTGGTGGGCGCCTGTAGTGCCAGCTACTCGGGAGGCTGAGTCAAGAGAATGGTGTAAGCCCGGGAGGCGGAGCTTGCAGTGAGCTGAGATCACGCCACTGCACTCCAGCCTAGGCAACAGAGCAAGACTCTGTCTCAAAAAAATAATAACAATAATAATAATGAGACGGTGCTACAAACAACTACATAGCAACCACATTAGAGAAACTCACATGAAGTGGACACATTTCTGGTGGGACACAAACTAACAAACTTGACTCAAGAAGAAACAGAAAATCTAAAAAGACCTATGACAAGCAGAGATCCAATCAATAATTTTAAAAGTTTTCACAAAGAAAAGCCTAGGCCCAGATGGCTTTATTGGTGAATTCTACCAAACATTTAAAGAAGAATGAAGGCCAATTTTGCATAAACTTTTCAGAAAAAAATGGAAGACAATGCTTCCCAAGTCATCTTATGAGGCCAGTATTACTCTGATACCAAAACCAGACTTCAAAAGAAAACTATAGGCTTCCTTGGGCAGCCAGACACCTACAAAGTCCTCTCCACTCTCCTGTCTACACTTGCAAGCCTGCCTCACTCTATAAATTGGCCAGGCTGCTCTCTCAGAGTCTCCTAAACTGCCTTAGGCTCTGCCAGCCTCCTTGACCCCACAGCCTGGAAGGTGCCTCTGCATGCTCCCACCATCCTAGACCCCACAATCAGAGGGCCTGCCCCTGGGGTCGGAACCAGCTGGTGGCTGTCTGAAGCCCCTGACTAAACTCCACAGACATATCCTGAACGACAAGAAAAGGTACATGCATCATTCAAAGCACCCTTTGGACCACATGGCACAGCCAGCTTTCAAACGGGACCCATGCACTGACAAGGCGGATCACACGCTCCTCCCAGAGGCTCTCAGCGTGCAGCCCCGGGAACCAGCCTATTCGAGAGATCTATGAAGTCAAACCATTCTCATCATAACACTGAGATGGGAGCTGCTTTTTCAAGCTCATCCTCTCCCAAGTGCACAACGGAAGCTACAAAACTTGTGATATTGCAACAAGCTGACTGCAGGAGCAGATACGGGAACCCAGCTGTCTTCCATTAAACCTCACAGCAAAAAGACCACAAAAATGTTAAACAATGCCACTCTTCTCACCAAGTGTTTTTTTGTTGTTGTTGAGATGGACTGTCACTCTGTTGCCCAGGCTAGAGTGCAGTGGGGCAATCTTGGCTCACTGCAACCTCCGCCTGCCGGGTTCAAGTGATCTCTTGTGCCTTAGCCTTCTGAGTAGCTGGGACTACAAGTGTGCCCCACTGTGCCTGGCTAATTTTTGTATTTTTAGTGGAGATGGGGTTTCACCATTTTGGCCAGGCTGGTCTCGAACTCCTGACCTCAAGTGATCCACCCGTCTCGGCCTCCCAAAGTGCTGGGGTTACAGGTGTGAGCCACTGCACTATTTTTTTTCCTCACTCTGTCACCCAGGCTAGAGTACAGTGGCGTGATCACGGCTCACTGCAACATCGACCTCTCAGGCTCAGGTAATCCTCCCACCTCAGCTTCCTGAGTAGCTGGGACCACAGGTGCGTGCCACTACACCTGGCTAATTTTTTATTTTTTGTAGAGATGGGGTCTCATTATATTGCCTAGGCTGGTCTCAAATTCCTGGCCTCAAGCAATCCTCCTGCCTCAGCCTCCCAAAGTGCTGGGATTACAGGCCTGAGCCACCTCGACCGGCCTCACCAAGTGTTTTTCTTATTTTGAAAATAGTTGTTATCCATAAAAACACATTATTTATACCAACATGTCATGAGTTTATTACTATTTTTAAATGCATTAATAATTAGATATTTGTAAATTCTAATAGCGTAAATAACAATAGATTCGTGCTCATACATAAAAAGCTTCTGGGTCCTTCAAAATGCTAAGAGAGCAAAAAAGATTCCTTAAGCTAGAAGTCTGACAACCACTGTGCTACCTCATCTGCTTTACCTGAAAGTGAACAGAAAAATAAACTGGTGTGCCACCCAGGAGGCAATCTGGAGGCCGGGGAAGCGACCGGTGCCTTCTTCTGCACGGTGGAGTGGGCAGCCGCCAGGTGTGGATCCCAGCTGGGCCACACGACCTTCGGCAAGTTCAGCCACTGGAGCTGAATGACCCTCGAGGGAGGGAAAGTCCAGAACCAAGACGAGGGGCAGTAGCGACGCCATCGGGTCAGTATCTTCCCCTGCCAAAGTCCCCTGGTCCATGCTTGGGGCCACTGTAGGACCTTGAAATGCAGACAGGAGCAAGGCGTGGTCCCTTTCCTGGGGGACCTGTCCACCTCGTGAGGAGGGGTCAGACAGGAGCCCGGCTGGCCCAGGGGCAAATGCCTCTAGTTTGCAGGCCCCTGTACGGGAAGAGGGGAGTGGAGCAGATTCTTCAAATCCCAGGGACATTTGTGCGGGGTGGCAGGAAAAACATGGACAGGAACGGCTGAGCCCTATGCTCTCAGGGGTACAAATGAGGCCACAGAAGCATCCCCCTCCACTCCCCAGGAAGCCTGCATTCTCCCCAGGGAAGGAATCCAGGGCAGGATTTTCAGGAAAGACAGGCTTGGAAGCTCATTTCCCACCTCCCAGGAGCCCGGAAGTCTGTGTCAGCTCCAGGTCTGGAAACCCAGGATGCCCTGCACCCCATTCCTTGGGCCCTAAGCCTCCCAGGACCCACCCCAGTGGACCAGGGAGCAGACTGCCAGCTGTCCAGACTCTTGGCCATTCCCCACCCCCACCGAGGACTCTAGGTGCTGACTCTGGATTCTCCTTGAGAAGAGGAGGGGACTGATGAGCCGGAGTGAGGAAGACGTGGGGCAGGACACCCCCAAGTCTGCAGGGAGGCAGCAAAGCCTGGCAGTATGCAGAGCACACACCTGGCATCACATGTCACTGCCTTCACGTAAGTATCATCACTGTCCCCAGGTAAGAATCACCTGCAGGACCTTGAGTACAGGTGTAATCTTGTGAACTAAGATCTCCCTTGCAGGGGGCTTCAAACTGAGGTGCAAGGACCCTTTCCACGTAGACCCAGCTCAGTCTAAAGGGTAGCCAAGTCTTTCCTGAAATTGCTCAGTGGAGAAAGGCCTTGGATCCCCTGCCCACCTCCCCTCCCTAACATCCCTGAGGCTCTTTTACATAAGAAAGGCATAGCTATCCCCCGGAAGCTGGTGAGGGGGTGGTGCAGCTCCAGGTGAAGGGCCCTCCTGATACCAAAACAAAAGGGCTAATGCAACTAGGGCTTCAATTAAAACACCAAAAACACCCACTGCCTTCTCACTCAGAGAGGCAGCTCCAGTAACAGCTCCCCTTTTCCATTTCTAAAAATCTGTAATATATTTATAGTTTTTGACCAACTGCGCCCCAGCAATGACTGTACAGCTTTTTCAATTCAGAAGTAATTTTTTTAAATACTTAGCAACTCCAGGTCATGGGAAATTTTATGAAAGTCAATTTATGTATATTTTTCGTGCAGAGAAGTATGCTAGGTTGATTAATAAAAGACCCATGAGCATAAAAGTCTATTACATTAGGATAAAATTCTTTGGGGAAGTGGCTGTATAAATTCAAGAAAAGAACGATGAAAATGTCCTAAAGCTCACTTACGTATCCGTCAAGAAAAAGTGGCTGTGAGTCACGATGGGTTTATATCACAGTGGGTAAAGAGTCAGGCAACAGTTCCTTTTAAAATATCGATATTTACCTCACAGAGGTACCGTAGCCTTTACAAATATTTAAACCTATAAAGAAAAATTTTAGACGTTGACTTTAAAATGTGTGAGAAGCTTGGTAAATGATGAATGGCACAATCTGAAAGGAGTTTACTGGCAATTGTTTCAGCTTTGCTGGATATTTGAATTTTTCATAAAAAATTGTTGCAGAAAATGTATGAGAGAACAAGCTGTTTTTTTTAAAAAAAACAACACTTTCAGGGACAGACAAAAAAAAAAAAATGGAAGAGGCAGGCCCCAGCCCAGCAGGGCCATGGCAGAGCTGCAGTGCTTATGACCTCTAATGCACGCCTCCTGGGGGGTCTCTGGTGAGGCCTTTCTAAGTCCAGCAACTCAGGGCTGCTCCAGCTGATCTTCCTCTCCCTCTGGGGGAGCTCCCGTGCTGCCTTTCTGCTGCAGCAGAATTTCTGGGACGGGGAGCCAGGAGCCCTTCTGCATTCCACCATTTGGAATCTGCAGCCTCAGATTGGGAGTTTGTGGCCTAATTCCATTCACACGCCCCTCACTGAGCTAACCCCAGAGTCGCTACCATACCCAGCAAGGACAATTTTAAAACACTGTCCCCAGTCGTGCTCTGGTGCAGTGCCGGGTTTGGCAATGACATCTGGCAGCCAATCGGGGAGCCCAGCATGTCCCTGCTGCTGCCAGCAAACTCCTGGCAGCCCCACAGGCTTTTAAGAACTTAATCTCCCAGGGAGCGAGCTGCGTTTCAGCCAGTCCCTCCCTGAAGGCCCATCCCCGGCATATGTGCATCCAGAGAGACCCAGGCTATGGTCCCTAAACCCAGGGCAGGCTCTGGGTAGTGGGCATGGGCCCATTGTCCCCCGCCCTGCAAAGAACAGAAACCCTAGAATGCAGGGAAGGCTTGCATCAGAGGCGACTGTACCCCAAAGCCCAGCATCAGTACTGGCGCCATGGCCAAGGAGACAGCCGTCCATCAGCGGCATCAAACCAGTCCTTGAATCTGCCTTCAACAATGGAAAACGTGGGGCACATCAAGAAGTATGATGAGAAACTGGTTTTCACCTGCTGACCGCAGCGCGATTTCACAGCACGGGAACCAGAAGACTAATTTTCTAACCGCTGCCTGGCGGCTTTCTCCAGCTGGGCAGCGTGCATTTAACCACCGGGCGGTGTGGGGTCAAGGGCTCCCCTACCCACTAGCTGTGTGGGCTAAGGCAAGCGGCTTCACTCCTCTGAGCTTCAAGCTTCTGATCTGTGAAATGGGAATCGTAATGAATCGGAGCTGGCTCATTGGACTTCTGAGATTTACTGAGGGAATAAATAGCAAGAGTGTGGCACTAATGCCAATCAAAAGGAAAATGCTCGGTGAGAGTCTCACTACCTGCGCTGCAGCTCCTGACGTTATTATTGTGACTAGCGGGTGGCTCTGTCCCCACCCTGGGAACAAGGACTGGGTCATTCTGCCAAAGGCCCATGTTCAGTCCCAGGAGGATGCAATCAAACAACCCAGACCTCTTCCAAGGGTTTGTATCCCCCCACCCCACCCCACGCTGGGTTGGGGACCCTTTCTATGCCCTGCAGCACTCGATGCTCACCTCCATCACAAGCCCTGTCACAACACGGACTAACTGGACTGTCCAGTCACGCCTCTTCCTCCCCATTATCCTAGAAGCTCCCGGAGGCAGCCCTTGTGGCCAGTCCAGGCTTGGATGTGGCAGCAGGCCCTCAGATGATTATTCACGCGGAAAGAAACAAATACACCCTAGATATCCTCTGACCATGAGAGAATGACAGGCCTCTCATTTTGGGTGGGAGGTTAGGTGCAGTGGCCAAGTCACAAAGGTCACTTAGCCCTGGGGGGCTGCAGGCTCCAAGCCCTGCACTCAATATGCTTACAGCCTCTCAACAAGTGATTCATTCTCCCGGTGCCCAGGTGAATGGCAAGGGGTGGGGGACTCCAGAGATGGAAAAGACCCGCCTTTGTCTGGAGCGATCCTCCCTTCTCCCCTCTCCTTCCCTTTCTTCCACAAATTCCCCAGTCTATAGAAACGGACAGGGTCAAGAACTTTGCTGGAGGTCATGTGGAGGCAAGAAGATTCTCAAGGGTCCCTCCCTGGGGCTCACAGTCCCAGTTACAGGAGAAGTGGAGGCTCCTGAAGAGGCTGTGCGCGTCCATTTCCACTGGTTTTTCTCAGCCACACCCTCCCTGCTGCCCCAAGGAGGGGCCCTCAGACTCCAGGTACAACAGCCCCAGGTGAAAGCTCCGGCTTGAGTTTACAAAGCAGGAGGCTGGAATTGCAGGCAGGTAAGACCTCAGGTGTCCAGGCCCAGAACTCTTTCAGAGTAGGAGGCACAACCTCAGGCCCTGCAGCAACTCCCAAGCTGAGCCCCACTTTAGAAAAGTCCTCATCGGGACTGACGGGGATCCCAGAACTCTCTCGTCTGCAACTCTGTTACGTATTTGGAAGTAAGGCAAGTATGCTAAAGCACTGCCTTCCTATAAAGAGCCATTTTTAGGAGTGTGTTTCTGTATACTGGTTAATTCCCGGCCCGTTTTTCTCTCCCATCCTTTTCCTCGTCACTAATGAAATATAAAATGCAATGCGGTCTCAGAATCCCTTTACCTTCCTCTGGGCAGCACTCACATCTGATATCACCTGGCTCCCCAAGCCCAGGCCTAGACCAAGACCCCTAGAAGCCAGCATGGCCCTGCATACAACCCTAAGCACCTGAATGAAGAAATGAATGAATGAAAATCTTGAAACTCACCCAAATAGGAATACGGTTTTCTATAGCAGACTGTACTTGGAGACAGTACACAGAAAGATCCCCCCAACAGACCGCCCCCCTCCCCGGGGGTGGGGGGGAATCTAATTTGTTAAAAGCAGCCAAGTGCTGTCAACCGAGCCCTCTGGGATCATCTTTATAGGTGAAATCACCTACTTGTAAAGAGTTACCTTTGATACTTGAATTCCAACCTCCTTCCAAAGGGACCCAAAGAAGCACCAAGCTTTCCACCCAATTCTTCCTTCCAGGAAAACAAGGAATTCCTGGGTGTAATAATGGAATCAGAGGCCTTATATAGACAGTGCTTCCCAGGAGCTGAATCATTCAGGCACTACTGGGACACCCAGATTCCTATCAGGACAAGAGTCTCCCTCAAGCCCCCTCAGAGGACAGTGACATCCGGCATAGAAACCCACAGCTCCCACCTACCAATCCCCCTCTTAGAGCAGACACGACGGCTTTCCCTCAGAATTAACACTGAACCCAGATGGGGGCCGAGCTCGCTCTCCTCACTCCACCCCCACAGGCTCAACCCTATTAGGACCCTCAACCTTGTTTCCAACCCACAAGTAGTTGGAAAACTCCAAAAGCAATCGGCCCGGGGCTGTTCTGGACCTGCTGAACCCTCTGGGGCACCAGGCTCGGTTCCTAGTGCACAGAAGGGCGTCACTAACTATGTGATGCGGACCGCAGGGCACCGGGGTTAAGGCTGAATCTGCCAGGTCCTTTTCCAGGGGCGCAGAACTTCCCTTGTGGCTGGGTCGGCAAAACCGAGGCCCACATCCCAGATAGAGATCAAATCGCCCTCCCCCACCGGGGGACTTCCGAAATTACCTCTCTGGATCTGGAAGCTTAATTAGCTGATTGGCCTCATTAACGTTCGAACTTGAGTTTCAAACGAAAAAGAGGTCACTCAACTATCCAATTTACAACCTCGAATTTCCACCCGAAAACCACTTTATTTTCGGATGGCCTCTGAGGACGCCCAGGCCCCTGCCAGCAGCTGCCAGCCCCCGAGAGCCTTACGTACTTTCGCCTGACCCCCCCACCACCCACCCCTCACCTGCCTGGCTCGAGCGCCTTCTCAGTTCCAGGCGCCCCGAGCCCCTTTAAAAGATCGGCTGCGAAAACCCACGGTCACCTGCACCACCCTTTCTCCCTCTGGGTGCTCCAGCCCCACGGAAAGGCAAGCCTCGCCCACGCGCCCACCCACCTCGAGCAGGGTGTCCGCACGCAGACCCGCCTGGAGGGCGCCGCGCTGCACCCCCACGCCAAGCCCCAGAACCCTGGCGGCGAGGTCCACCCCAGCCCCCGCATCCCCCCGAACCCGGGCGGCGAGGCCCGCTGCGGTGGTCGCACCTGCTGGCTCAGTCCGGCGGCTCCAGCCCAAGTGACGAGTGCGCTGTCGGCGTCTCTGGGAGCGGTCCCCGCGCCTGGCGCCCGGGGCCGGGGCCACCCGGTGGAGGCGCCTGGGCCGCGGGCTGGGCGGGCGGAGCTGCCCGGCCGCCGGGGAGGAGGGATGCCCGGGCGAAAGTTGCCAGGGAAACTTGATCAACTCGAGCGCGCCGGTGCCAGCTTCCTGCATAATTCACGGACGGTGGCGGCCGGGCTGCGCCCGCCGGGTCTCCCTATCCCAGCTGGTGAGCACGGCGGGCCGGGGTCGGGCACCCGGCTGTGGCTCAGCGCGACCCCCGGGACCTGGGCGCCCGACCCGCCACCCCCGGGCCCGCACCAGGCGCGCCGGCCCCGGCCTCTCCGCGACAGCTGCTGCTGCCGCCGCGCGCGCCTGGATGGGAGCTCTGCGTGCAGGGCCAGGGTGACCGCAGCGGGGTCTCGGGGGACCTGGCGGCCACGGTTCGGGTCTCCGCCCCCGCGCGCCACCTGGCGGCCCCGCGCCGGCTCCTCCGCTGGGCTCGCTGGCCCGGGTCCTAGGGCTGGCGGGCGGTGACCCGGGGCAAGGAGACCCCGGGAGAGCGGGGGAGGTCGCGCCACACGCGCTGTTCCAGAGGAAGGGGCAGGACGCGCCAGAGACTACGTGGTCCATGCGCGCAGGAGATAAAGCGGGGGCTCCTTCCTGCGCTCTGCCCCCACGCCGCTTCCAAAGCTTTCGACACCGGCCCCTGCCCGGGAAGAAAGGCATGCAGGGGGAAGGGCTCTCTACGGAAAATCGACCCCCACCTGGACACGCGGCTCACTCCCCCCAGCGCCCACCTCTCCAGCCTCTCTGGGTCCAGGACTGCGCTTACCCGGTAGTTGGTGCTCCCGGAATCGAGATGCCCCCAAAATGCCGTCAGTGAGCAGGATCGGGTGCCCAAGGGCCACCTCCCGTCCTCCCCGGCCCGCGCCCTGCGTCCCCGGCCGCCGCCTCACCTGGCTCGGCGAGTCGGGGGCGGGTCCGAGCCCCCCGGGAGCGCCAGCGTCCGCGCACACCTGGATCGGCCGCGGGAACCCGAGCGGCGCCGCGCCCAGCCCCGCCGGAGCTCAGGAGCCGCCGCCGCGGCTCAGGTGCAGGGGGTGGGGAAGGACCCGGCCCCGCCCGGCGCGGGAGCTGGCTCCGGCGAGGGTGGGGGAGGGGCCCTCTCGCCGCCGAAAGGACGCGTGCGGCCCAGGACCCGCGGGCGACCCGACCTGGACCCCCACCCCCGCCCACGCCGCGGACCTCAGTCCCCCGCCCCGACCCCGCTCCCGCCCGCGGCTGCGGCTCGGGCGTGCGCGTGGGGTCTGTTGTGGCAACCCCGGGAGACCGCGGGGCGCCCTGGCCGCCTCTGCCCCGCCCCGGGCTGCGTGGCTCACGGACCTCCCCCTCCCTGGCCAAAGCCGGCGGACGAGAAAGTCCCTGATTTTTGTAAAGTCCGGTTCGGTCTGCACGGTTATCCCGAACGCAGCTGGCTCCCGCCACAGAGTATTTATAATAATAGGATTTGGAAATAGAGGCTGCCTGCACATCAAAACGTTTGCAGAGCAAACGAAAACTTTGTACCCGGGTGATACGCCGGCGTCTGCTGCCCAGGCCACCAGTTCTGGGGCGCCTTCCGCCCAGGGGTGCACAACGGTATCTCCGCCAGCTGCCCTCCAAGCCAAGAAAAGCCAGGGGGTGGGGTGGGGGGAGCAAAAGCCAACGGCTCGGGTGAATCCCAGAGGCCAAAGGCACCCTCCGGAGACTCCAGGAATCCTGTTATTATCCAGGACTCCGGATTGCTAGGTTTGCGGAAGCCCAAAGGGGCGGGTCCTGAGCTTGGAGCTGTGGCCGCCGTGTGAGCCATCGGCTGATAGATTTTCTCAAGGCCTTAATCATTCACTGGGAGTCTCCCCCAGTACGAGCTGCGTGTTTCTGAGTAAGCTCTTGAGGTCTCTGTGTTCTGAGTTTTCCAGTATTCTGGAAGGTGTGGGTGGGGATCAGAGTCCAAGCTGTGGAGTAGAACTGTCTCCAGAACCCTGGAGCCCGGCATTATGCAAACCCCTAACTGTGCCCCCTACATAGAGTGAGTGTGTGTGTGTGTGTGTGTGTAAGTCAGTCTATCTTACAGGACATGCCTGAGAGGTTTGCATGGGCTGGTGACTTCAACATACCAAAGGCAAAGTTAAATATTTGCTCTAGATACTTTTTTTTTTCAGCTTGCATAATTGTCCCACATTTCAAAGAAGTCTTTAAAAGCACTTAGGTTAAAAAAAAAAAAGTTGTGTTTGGGGCCTGAATATTTCAGGACACACATGGAATAAATATTGTAACTCCTTGAGGGCAGCTGCCTTATGTAAATGTCTTTCTCGTCGCTGCTTCCTTAAGCATACACTTGATAAAATATTTGTTGAATGAATAAAGGAGTCAATCAATCAAAAAATAATAATCCCCAAAACAGGAAGAAGGACGCCCTGACAGGATCCTGCAGGCATCCTTTGTTTGGCATGGAAGCTGGGGTGCCTGGGAGAGGTGTGAGCAGGACAATCGGATGTTCTTTGGGTTGGCCGGTGGCAGATGCAAGACCTGGGTTGCAGGGAGTGGGGGTGGGGGCTCTACCTTTCCATAACAGTCCATCAGTACCCTCCCCACCAAAGAAGGCAAGTCATCTGAATAAAGTGGTGTATTTACCCTGCAAACCCAGCTCAAAGACCTATCCTCAGGATATTTCCCTCCTCTCACCAGATTCCCACCCCTGGAACACCCCTTCCTAGGTTTCTAGAACCACTGCTGCAGATAGACCAGGCAGCTGGTCACAGTTCAATTGTGAACATTTTTCGGCTATCTCCATGCAAGGTTTAAGACCGATGCCATTATGCTATCTCCAAGAAATACTTCCCTAGGGACGCAGGCCTCTGCCAGCCTTCCACCCAAGTGGACACCCCTTGGGCCATCCCCCTCCAGTCTTTCTGATCTGTTAGCCAACAAGAGCGCTGTGTGAGAGCCCCGACATTCGGCATTTTAAGGACAGCATCCTGCTTACGCCCCAGTTTCTTTGTGTCTGTTTAGAGATATCCAGTTCAGCCTTGTGCTCCGATGAAGCAACATCCTTCAAGTCTGTAAAAATCTCTTATGATCCCAAAACAAAGAAAATCAAGGTTACAGGTGATGGATACACTAATTTCCCTAATTTGATCATTACACATTGCATACGTGTATCAACATCTCACACTGGACCCATAAATACGTACAATTATGTGTCAACTAAAAGTATTGACAGCCAAAAAAAAAGGCTCTTATGAAAAGGTTCAGGGTCAGATAATGCTGCCACAGTGCCTTTATTCACATCTTAACGCTCTGAGCGGGCATCTCAGGTTGAGGGGAACACCTACCCCCCGCCGCTCATTTGAAGTAGGACCTCTTTTGGCATTCTAATTTCTGGGGGGCCCATAGCCACACACACCACCAAGTGCCTTGTTTTAGGTTCAGTTTAGGAAAAGAAGACATGACCCTCCTGGCTTCCTGGTTTCAGAACCCTCCGGTTTTGTTTCTGGAAGCTGCCTTCCAGGATTCACCAGGTTTTGCAGAAAGGAGTAAGCTTTTCCATCTGGTCATCTTGTCTTTTTTTCTTGTCCAACCTGAACCATGAAACCATCAGCCACATCTGTGGAGTACACGCTGTGTGGTCCTGAGCACGCTAGGACTTTCTGGGAAGAGTAACTGTTTTATAGAGAACTGGAAACTGGGACACCATACCATCAGGGATGTGAGATATAGCCACCTTTTTGGTCCTGGGGAAAACATTATAAATATTTTGTGGCTTAGATTAACCCAGATGCTCACTGCCTTCAGCAGCAGTCCCTTTCTCCCAGAGAAGCTCCTGGGTTTGGGGCTTAATGTATTAATAGTTGGAGGCCAGCACATCTTCAGAGAATGATTCTTAGACAGCCCGAGTGGGAGTGGCCTAACCCAAGGCAACCCTGTTATTTAACAGGTGGGAAGCTGAGGTCCAAGGAGGGGAGGAGACTCACTCAAGGGCGTGAGGTCAGAACCACACAGGCAGGTGTGCACAGGTGAAGCCAGGTAAAGGCAAGCACACACAGGTGAAGCCAGTTAAAGGCAGGTATGCCCAAGTAAAGGTAGGTGCTCTGGCCAGCAAGTCTGCCACATCCCCTCATCCCTGCCAGATTCTCCCGTGCTTTTGCCATTTTTTTCCTACTTGTTTTCCACTACAGCAAGAGGTCCACTTCCGTCCTGTTCCCGCCCATGTCAAATACTGGAAAATTCACTCATTTCTCCACAATTTTGTGACAACTTCTAATTCAATCACATAAACCTGATGCTGTAAGGATTCCCAGATTTTACATGTCCTCTCACTCCTGTGCAGAAGTGCCTCTCACGTCTCGCCTCTAGCTTACTGTGGATTTTTATTCCTCTCCATTAATTTTCCATGAGCTTATGTGGATGGATTTGCTGAGAAAAGCCTCCTGGGACTTTGAACGTAAGCATCTTGGCTGCCACCTGGGAGATTGGAGGGAGAGTTTGTTTCTCCTGGAATCTGAGCTGATGAGAGGGGATGGTCTGAAGCTTTTCCTGCTGCACTGGAGCGGGAGGATGTGGGGAGCAGCAGGCAGGAGGGAAAGCTGCGGGACAGGGTCTGCCAGGCTTCCCAGCCAGGCCATGAGCTCTTCCCTTGAGGCCCACGTCCGGAACAAGGGTGTCATCCACCTTCTCCCAGGCCTCCCTTGGGGGTGCAGGGCATCCTGTAGGATGGAGGAGTTCATTCCCCGAGGGGCCACTTCCAGTCCTTGTGGAAGCAGAGCTGGGAGGCTGGGAGAGGTTGCTGCTCTGCCTCCCTCCAGCAGGTGAACAGTCCTGCTGGGGCACATTCTCTGGCTTCTAGGAAGGGCCTTTGGAGCCTCCGTTGCTTACAGCAGGGTCCGGGACAAAATACCTTTATTTGGAGATGGCCTCCTTCTGCATCTCCCTTCCGCTGCTCCCTCACTCCTGCTCCCTGGAGTCAACTCTCAAATGGAGGAGCCTGCATCCAAGTCCTTGTTTCAGGGAAAGCATTGAGGGGAAACCCAAAATAATACAGTGCCCCCCCAACCCTTATTACAGGGGATACTTCGAAGACCCCCCAGTGGATGCCCGAAACTGCAGATAGTACTGACCCCGGTATATTACTATTTTTCTATCTCACGATCCGGCCGGGCAGGTAGTGTAGGCTGCATGGAGACACTGGACAAAGGGATGGTTCACATCCAGGGAGGGATGGGGCCGGATGCCCTGAGATTTCATCACACTGCTCAGAACAGCACACAGCTTAAAACTTATTAATTGTTTATTGATGAGATTTTCCATTTAATATTTCCATGCCTTGGTTGACCTGGGGTAACTGAGACCACAGAGAGTAAAACTATGGATAGGGGGCACTACTATATTAAAAACTGTCTTGTGGGCCAGGCACGGTGGCTCATGCCTATAATCCTAGCACTTTGGGAGGCCGAGGCGAGCGGATCACCTGTGGTCAGGAGTTTGAGACCAGCCTGGCCAACATGGCAAAACCCCATCTCTACTAAAAATACAAAAAATTAGCCAGGCATGGTGGCGGGTGCCTGTAATCCCAGCTACTCTGGAGGCTGAGGCACGAGAATCCCTTGAACCTGGGGGGCAGAGGTTGCAGTGAGCTGAGATCGCGTCACTGCACTCCAGCCTGAGTGACACAGGAAGACTCTGTCTCAAAACAAACAGATAAACAAAACAAAACAAAACAAAACAAACAGGAAAAAAACCTGTCTTGTGTCATGGGTCAGGACGCCTGAAGTCACCAGCAGACCATGTGAGTTGAGGCTCCTGTGAAGGAACCTCAAGGCGGGAGAGGGTTCAGCTCATCCAAATCAATATCAGCAACTTGATGCTATTATTGGGAAATGAAACATATTGCCCAGGCACGGTGGCTCATGCCTGTAATCCCAGCACTTTGGGAGGCCAAGGCGGGTGGATCACTTGAGGTCAGGAGTTACAGACCAGCCTGGCCAACACAGTGAAATGCCGTCTGTACTAAAAATACAAAAATCACCCGGGCATGGTGGTGCATGCCTGTAATCCCAGCTGCTCGGGAGGCTGAAGCATGAGAATCGCTTGAACCTGGGGAGGTGGAGGTTGCAGTGAGTTGAGATCATGCCACTGCACTCCAGCCTGGGCAACAGAGGGTAGATTGTCTCAAAAAGAAAGGAAGAAAGAGAGAGAGAGAGAAGGAGAGAAGGGAAGGGAAAGGACAGGAAGGGGAGGGAAGAGGAGGGGAGGGGAGGGGAGGGCAGGGCAATCAGAAGATCCCATTATAACCAACTCAAAGACCCTTGGGGTTTTTGGCCAAGCAACGAAATAAGCAAAACTGTTTTTTTGTTTGTTTGTTTTTTGTTTTTGAGATGGAGTCTTGCTCTGTCGCCCATGCTGGAGTGCAGTGGCACAATCTTGGCTCACTGCAAACTCCGCCTCCTGGGTTCACACCATTCTCCTGCCTCAACCTCCGGAGTAGCTGGGACTACAGGTGCCCGCCACCACGCCCGGCTAATTTTTTTGTATTTTTAGTAGAGATGGGGTTTCACCACGTTAGCCTGGATGGTCTCGATCTCCTGAGCTCGTGATCCGCCCGCCTCAGCCTCCCAAAGTGCTGGGATTACAGGTGTGAGCCACCGCACCCGGCCATAAGCAAAACTTTTAAAATGATCAACAGGCAGAATACATCAAGGCTTTACAAAAACAGCACGCTGTGACTAAGCAAGGTTTGTCCAAGTGATGCTGGAATATTTCAATATTAGCAAACCTATTAGGAAATATGTTTGATCAAATAAAATTTCTTGGTTAAAAAAAAGAAACTGCTTGAGAATATTTTAGTATTATTCAATTTTGTATATCAAACCAGCACTGTGTCCAATATGAAAGGCTGAATTTCCCTCATTCAATTCAGGAACCAGAACTGTGACACTGCTAACATTACCAGAACTTAACATTTCTCTAAAATGCTAGCCAATGCAATCGAATAAGAAAATTAAACAAGAAAAATAAGCATTGGAAAAGAGGAGGCAAATTTACCATTTCAGGAGGTGCTATGATTTTCTTGATTAAAAACCTAAGGAAATAAACTGAAACTGAAAGTTCATGGAGGAGTTTAGTAAGACTGTTCGAAAGCACTAGCTTTTCTTCACACAAACAACACATCGGAAATACAAAGAAAAATAAAACCATAACTCCTGGTATCAACAAGACAAAAGGAAAAATATGCCAAGACAAATATAATAACAATATTCCTAGGCCTATAAGAAAAAACAAACTAAAAACCTTCTTGAGGAAAAGAAAAAAAAAGTAGAATGAACAAAAAACAAGCATAAGATTGTGATTAAGAAGAGGGACTGTTAAGACAAACTGCCTGGTTTCAAATCCCAGTTCTACCACCTATGAATTGGTTGGATGTAGGCAAGTTCCCTATCCTCTCTTTTTCTCCACTTTCTTTTCTTTTTTTTTTTTTTTTTTTTTTTTTTAGACGGAGTCTCACTCTGTTGCCCAGGCTGGAGTGCAGTGGCACCATCTTGGCTCACTGCAAACTCTGCTTCCTGGGTTCATGTGATTCTTCTGCCTCAGCCTCCCAAGTAGCTGGGATTACAGGCGTGCACCACCACACCCAGCTAATTTTGTATTTTTAGTAGAGATGGGGTTTCTCCATGTTGGCCAGGCTGGTCCCAAACTCCTGACCTCATGATCTGCCCACCTTGGCTTCTCAAAGTGCTGGGATTATAGGCATGAGCCACCACGCCTGGCCTTTTTCTCCATTTTCATACCTCAAACGGAAGTGGAAGCAGCACCATCTTGCTGAGAAAGTTAAATGGACAAACTTATGTAATCTACTCAGAACCACACACCTTGCAAGAAGTAATTTTTTTTTTTTTTGAGACAGAGCCTAGCTCTATCACCCAGGCTAGAGTGCAGTGGCGTGATATCGGCTCACTGCAACCTCCGCCTCCCAGGTTCAACTGATTCTCCTGCCTCAGTCTTCCAAGTAGCTGGAATTACAGGCACCCACCACCACATCCAGCTAATTTTTGTGTTTTTAGGAGAGATGGGGTTTCACCATGTTGGCCAGTCTGGCCTCCAACTCCTGACCTCAAGTGATCCACCCACCTCAGCCTCTCAAAGTGCTGGGATTACAGGCATGAGCCACTGCACCTGGCCAAGAAGTAATTCTTACTGACGTAAGTGCTGCTGACCTTGCTGTTCTTGAATAGGGAGACGCTACTGCAAGGCGGCAACTCTTCCTCAATAGATCATAAAATCCAACATAGTCCTAAACACAATCATGGCAGGATTTTTTTTTAACTTGACATGCAGTTTATCTGACTGGTAAAATATTTATGTCTAGAAAATATAAAAGAATAAATTAAAAAGATAAAGACAAGTCCATGTATAAAGTGGGTGAAAGACTTGAACAAGGACCTCAAAAAAGAACCTATCAAGATGGCCTGTGAGCGTATGAAAAGGTCCCCAATTTTATTTGTCATCAGAGAAACATGCAAAATAAACTGACAGCGAAATACCTCTGACACCTGATTGGCTAAAATGACAATGGGAGACCATGCCATGGGGCCATGGACACGCGCATGTACTGCTGTTGGTAGTGTGAATTGGCACAGCTGCCTGAAAATATGTTGGCAGTGTCTACTATGACCCAGCAGGTCTGCTTGGAGGGAGACACTCCAGAGGAATGAGTGTATATGTGCATCAAAAGATGCACAGCAGGCCGGGCACAGTGGCTCGCGCCTGTAATCCCAGGACTTTGGGAGGCTGAGACAAGTAGGTCACCTGAGGTTGGGAGTTCGAGACCAGCCTGACCAACATGGAGAAACCCTGTCTCTACTAAAAATACAAAATTAGCCAGGCATGTTGGCACATGCCTGTAATCCCAACTACTCAAGAGGCTGAGACAGGAGAATGGCTTGAACCCGGGAGGCGGAGGGTGCGGTGAGCCGAGATTGCGCCGTTGCACTCCAGCCTAGGCAACAAGAGCGAAACTCCACCTCAAAAAAAAAAAAAAAAAAAAAAGGATGCATAGCAGCCAGGCATGGTGGTCACACCTGTAATCCCAAAAATTTTCAAGACTAAGATGGGAGGATCATTTGAGGTCAGGAATTTGAGACCAGTCTAGGCAACACAGCAAGACCCTGCCTCTTAAAAAAATACAAAAATCAGCCGTGCATGGTGGCAAGTGCTTGTAGTCCCTGCTACTCAGAGGGGCCTGAGGCAGGAGGATCACTTCAACCTGGGTGGTTAGAGGCTGCGGTGAGCCACGATCGCGCCACTGCCCTCCAGCCTGGGAGACAGCAAAACCCTGTCTCAAAAATAAATAAATAAATAAAGAGACGTAGCATTCATTCTGTGGCAAAACCAGAAACCATCTGTTATGGACTGATTATTGGTGTCTCCCCAAAATTCGTATGTTGAAATCCTACCCCCTAATTTGGTGGCATTAGGAGGTGGGGTCTTTGTTAGGTCATTAGGATTCATTGAGGTCTTAAGAGTGGAGCACCTGAGAATGGGATTCATGCCCTTAAAAGAGTCCCGAGAGAGCTCCTTTCTCTCTGTCATCTGTGGGGAACACAGAGAGAAGACGCCATCTCTGAACCAGGAAGTGGGCCCTCACCAGATGCAGAATCCGCCAGCACCTTGAGCTTGGACTTCTCAGCCTCTAGAACTGTAAGAAGAAAACTTTTGTTGTTTAAGCCACCCAGTCTATGGTATTTAGTCCATCGCACCCTGGACGGACTAAAACATCACCCAAAACTCCATCAACAGTGAAATGAAAGAATAAATGAATGAAATACTGATCAGCAATAAAGATGAAGGAACTGTTGCTACATGCAAAAGTGGGAATTAATCTCACTGTTACCATTTTAAGTGAAAGAAGCTTTACACTTTGTATAGGAAGGTACTGTAAAATCACATTTGTAGAAGGTTGAGTAATAGGCAAACGTAATCTGTAGTGTTGGCAGCTGGGACTTGGGGAGAACATGAGGAAAAGCTCTAGATGCTGAGTGCTCTGTTTCCTGATCTGGGTCTGCTCACATGGATGTGTTCAGTTTGTGAAAATCCATCAAGTCATGCACTTATGATTTATGCATTTTTTATAGATATGCTAGACTTTGATAAAAGTTGACTTTAGAATAGCAAGGAAAACAGGCCCGGCACAATGGCTCACGCCTGTAATCCCAGCACTTTGGGAGGCCGAAGTGGGTGGATCACGAGGTCAGGAGATCGAGACCATCCTGGCTAACACAGTGAAACCTGGTCTGTACTAAAAATACAAAAAATTAGCTGGGCGTAGTGGCGGGCACCTGTAATCCCAGCTACTCGGGAGGCTGAGGCAGGAGAATGGTGTGAACCCGGGAGGCGGAGCTTGCAGTGAGCCGAGATTGCACCACTGCACTCCAGCCTGGGCGACAGAGCCAGACTCTGTCTCAATAAAAAAAAAAAAAAAAAAAAAAAAAGAGAATAGCAAGGAAAACCTTCAAAGAGAGCAGCAAAGGAGACCGGCCCTACTCAAGCTTAAATATACCAAGAAGCTGTGATAATTACCAAGTGTGTAACAGGCACAGAAATAGACTGATAGAGCAAGTGACCCATCGGAAATAAAACCAGGTTACTCATTGCCTGCATTCTGTGCTCCAGCCATGATGATCTTCTTTCAAGTTTTCACAATGCCAGGCTCTCTCTTTCCTCTGTTTTCCCATTCCCACCATGCCTCTTTGACTGTCTATCAACTGTCACTCAACTTTTACAGCAAAGCTGAAATACGATCTGTGTGCCAGTGCCATGTGCTTCAGAGCATCTTGTCAACCAGTACATCTTAACTCTCTCAGGCCAGGTGTGGTGGCTTACACCTGTAATCCCAGCACTTTAGGAGGCCAAGGCTGAAGGATTGCTCCAGCCTAGGAGTTCAAGACCAGGCTGGGCAATGTGGAGAGACCCCCTCTCTACAAAAATAATAATAATAATAATAATACAAACACAATTAGCCAGACATGGTGGCACACACCTATAGACCCAGCTAGTGGGAGGCTGAGATGACAGAATCAGCTAAGCCCAGAAGTGGAGGCTGCAGTGAGCCGTGGTTGTGCCACTGAAGTCCAGCTTGGGCAACGGGAGTGAGACCCTGTCTCAAAACAATGAAACAACAAAACCTGTTAACTCGCTCCTGCTCACCTGGATCTGCAGCACTTACACGGAGCCTGGCTCTTGGTACGTGCTCAGTATGCTTTTAGCAAAGGAAGGCGGGGGGGAAGGAGGGAGGGAAACTGGGAGGAAATTTAGCGATCATAAATATGCTTTTAAAAATGTATAGAAAGAAGGACTATTCAATATATGGTGTCGTAGTACAAGCCTAGCAATTTTTGAAAAATATAGCTAAATCTCTAGCCAACTTCTCGTAGCAAAATAAATTTCAGATGAATTGAAGATTTAACCAGCCAGATATGGTGGCTTGTTCCTATAGTCTCAGCTAATTGGGAGGCTGAGACAGGAGGATGGCTTGGGACCAGGAATTTGAGACCAGTCTGGTTAACATAGTAAGACCCTGTCTCTAAAACATAAAATTAAAAAAAAAAAATTAACCAGGCATGGTGGCACGTGCCTATGAGTCCCAGCTACTTGGCAGGTTGAGGCGGGAGGATCACTTGAGCCCAGGGGTTCGAGGCTGCAGTGAGCTGTGATTGTGACACTGCACTCCAGCCTGGGCCACAGAGTGAGACTTCATTTCTGAAAGAAAAAAAAAGAAGGTTTGACAGTTCCTTAGAAAATTAAGCATATCCTTAATATATACAACCTATGTATTTACCCAAAAGAAATGAAAAGTCTGTGTTCACACTAAAACTTGTCTGAATGTTTATAGCAGATTTATTCATAATTGCCAAACCAAAACATAGAAACAACCCAGATGAATATCCTTCAGTGAACACTGCTCAGCAATAAAAAGGAACATCTCTGGACACATGCAACAAGGTGGCTGAATTTCAAATACGTTGTGCCATGAGAAATAAGGCAGCATCAGGAAGAAGGCTGCTTACTGAGTGATCTCACTGATAAAATATTCTGGAAAACGCAAAGCCCTCGGCATGGAGAAGAGATCAGTGGTTGCTAGGGTTTGGGTTGGAGAGAAGCTGCAGAGAAGCAGCAGGAGGGAATTTTGGGGGCGATGGAACTGCTTTTTATCTGGATAGTGTGGTGATGACATGGCTGTGCATTAATATATTTATTTATTGATAATTCAAGATGATGAAATAAAATCAAAACTGTTTATTTCCTTTTCTGCAAACAGAGGAGCAAAGACAGATGCACCCCAGTGTCTTCCAGGACGTGAGAACAGGGGAGCCCGCAGGACTGGGTGACGTGTAAGAAGTAGCAAGCGGCCAGGCGCAGTGGCTTACATCTGTAATCCCAGCACTTTGGAAGGCTGAGGCAGGCAGATCTCTTGAAGCCAGGAGTTCGAGACCAGCCTGGCCAACATAATGAAACCCCGTCTCTACTAAAAATACAGAAATTACCTGGGCATGGTGGCAGGTGCCTGTAATCCCAGCTACTTGGGAGGCTGTGTCAGGAGAATAGTTTGAACGTGGGAGGTGGAGGTCGCAGTGAGCTGAGATTGTGCCATTGCACTCCAGCCTGGGTGACAAGAGTGAAACTCCATCTCACAAAAAACAAAAAACAAACAAAAAAAAAAACGTTGCAAGCAAGGTGACTGCAGCATGGCCACAGGTGTCAAAGGGAAAAGTGTAGGAATCCAGGAAACTCAATTCTAAGTTATTCTAAGGACATAATCACATCGTCGCCAAGGTATTTGTGCCTGAAGGAGATCACCTGTACGTAGGTTGATAACCTCCCCAGTCTGGAAAGTATTAATAGCTGTGATGGTTGATTTTGGCTGTCCACTTGACTGGGTGAAGGGATGACCATATGGCCGGTAAAGCATTCTCTCTGGGTGTGGCCTGTGAGAGTGTTTCCAGAAGATATTGGCATTTGAATCCGTGGACTAAGAAGATCCACCCTCACTCAACGTGAGCAGGTGCCATCCAATCAGCTGGGGGCCCGGATAGAACAGAAAGGCAAAGGAAGGGCACATTTGCCGTCTCTTCTGGATCTGGGACACCTGTCTTCTCCTGGCCTTGGGTATCAGAGCTCCAGGTTCTCAGGCCTTTGGCCTCAAACTGAGAGCAACACTATTGCCCCCCTGGTTCTGAGGCCTTTGGCTTGGGGTGAGCCATGCTATCGACTTCCCTGGTTCTCCCGCTTGCACAGGAGGTCCTGAGACTTCTCAGCCTCCATCATAGTCTAATCCAATTCCCATAACGAAGCCCCTCTCTGGCTCTCATGCTTGCTCACTCTCTCGTTCTCTCTCTTTCTCCCTCTGTGTGTGTGTGTGTGTGTGTGAGTGTGTGTAAATGTACACTGTTGGTGCTGTCTCTCTGGAGAACCCTGCTCACTAATACAGCACCCAAAAGCCTGTCAACAGTGCTATGAATGAACAAATCATGCCATCCTCATGGCAACAGAGTGAATGCACTATTACTACACAACATGTGGATGGATCTCAAAAATGGATTAATCTCACAAATATAAGTGCTCAGCACAAATAAAATGCAACACGGGAAAACAATGGAATACTATGCAGCTGACGCAAATGGGGACGTAGATCTCAATTTACAGACACAAAAAAGAGGACCCCGATCCCTCACTGAGTGGCAGAAGTGCAGTATAGGACATCGCACACAGTCCTGTTCATGAAAAAGCACGCACAGCATCGCACACAGTCCTGTTCATGAAAAAACACGCACAGCATCGCACACAGTCCTGTTCATGAAAAAGTACGCACAGCATCGCACACAGTCCTGTTTATGAAAAAGCATACACGGTTGTACTTTCCATGCATGTGCATGCAGGTGGGGAGCTGTGCTGCCAGACATTGTCCACCCAAATATTACCATGATGTGAACAGTCTTAAAGCTGCCAGAGATGAGCACAATGCATTGGGGTTTAGAAATATTTTTGCTGTTGCAGGAATGCTATTGCCAAACACAGTTGGATGTGCCTGGCACAGTAAACATTTGTTTGATCAACCAAGGGCCATTTCCAAAACGGTGGGGTTTCCGTCAGTGGCCTCCGAGTGGCTGACTCCCCACCGCCCGGCATGCGCACACCTTCCCCTTACACACCTTCAGAAGCATCCTGGGTCTCCACGTGTCTCACGCCTACTTTGAGCACCCTTCTGTGGGCCCCCCGAAACACTGGGGTCAGCCCAGCTCTGTCCCTGACCTTCTCCCTTCTCGCAGTTCCCAGTTTTCATAGGTGGCCTTGTCCACAGCCACGTCTGCTCTGCAGCGCAGCCTCTGCTAAGTGCCCCACTTGGACGTCCACGTCTGGTCACCTCACTAGGACTCCAGTCTCAGCACATCTGAAAGAGAGCTCAACATTCCACAGTGCTTGTTTCCCTCCACGCTCCCTGCTGGGGGCAGGGGTGGCAGTACTGTCACCTTAGTGCCCTAAGCGAGGACCCCGGAGGTATCCTGGACCCCTGTTGCTCCGCCACCAGCTCTCACATCTCCGAGCCCTTCAGAATCAGCCTCCTCCACCTGCCTTGGGTCCCGCTTGTCTCTCCACCTATCCTGCTGGGGCCTGCCGTCATCCATCTGTTGCTGATTTTGAATCTCCTTCAGCCCCTACGCCTGCCTCATTCACCAGCCCTGGAGCTCTTGGCCTGGCCTCAAACTGCACCTGGCTTTCACTCCTGTCTGGCTTCCATCCCTTCCGCGTCAGATCCAAACCCCTCCTCTGGGTAAACGGCCCCTTGGAGGTGCCGACCTTCTCACCCTGCTCCTTCCTCATCCCCTCTTAAGACTGGCTCGCACATCCACTCCCTTCAGAGAACTTCCCAGTTCTCCTGGCTCCACTGTTGCCCCGCCCAGGTAGGGCCAGTTCCCCGAGATCCTGCCCTCAGCTGCGCTTGCTCCTCCTCGCGGGGAGGGGCTGTATTTTACCTGCCTTGTTGTTTCCTGAGCCCAGCAACCCTCCACATTTGCAGAGTGGAGCCGGTAAAGGTTGGGACTCAGGCCCGGTTTCCAAACCAGTTCCATGTAAGAAATGTGGCAGAGCTGCTCCTGGGGCGAGTTACATGCCGGCCTCTGGGCTCAGAATCCAGCACAGAAAGGAGGTGCGGGCTGACTGCTTTCTAGACAAAAACCAGGCCCTGCCAGATGCTGCACCGCGTGCATCTGGCCAAATGCACTCTGCTACGATGCGCTCTGTGAAAATCCTCTTAAGGGGCACAGTGATTGAATTTATCCCCAAGGTCCAAAGTTTATTTTCGTTAGAAGAATCAACTTTGCTCAGGCGCGGTGGCTCACGCCTGTAATCCCAGCATTTTGGGAGGCGGAGGCAGGCGGATCACTTGAGGTCAAGAGTCAGAGGCCAGCCTGGCCAACATGGTGAAACCTCATCTCTACTAAAAATACAAAAATTAGCCGGGCATGGTGGTGTGCGCCTATAATCCCAGCTACTCAGGAGGCTGATGCACGAGAATGGCTTGAACCCATCTCTGATCTCTACTAAAAATACAAAAATTAGCCGGGCATGGTGGTGTGCGCCTATAATCCCAGCTACTCAGGAGGCTGATGCACGAGAATGGCTTGAACCCAGGAGGCAGATGGGTGACAGAAGAAGACTGTCTCAAAAAGAAAAAGAAAAAAAAAATCAACTTCTATGCGTTCACTTCTCTGAAGGCAATGTGGGACGTTTTTTAAGTAAATGATCGATAAAGCAATGAACAGGGTCTACTGGTGCTGTCTGGGAAGGATATGGAGCCACTTGGTCAGTTTCCCACTTTTAAAAAGGCCTCCCTTTGCCCTTCCCCAGGTCACAGTTAAGGAAATTAATTCTAAATGGAATAGGCAATATAAAAGTCAAAAGAAAATGGCAAATGGTAAATTACTTGACTTTTTTTTGACAAGAGACCCAAGGCCTTCTCCCCTGGACAGCCTCCCCTAAGCATCTCATTCCTTATAGGAATCTACCCTGAGGCCAAATGCAAAGTGTACCAAGGGGATCATTTTGTTGGAGACGATTACATTCATTTCTTTGGAGTGCAGGATGCAGAGTACATAACTACAGGGTTTAGATAGGGTTTGCTCTATTATAACAAAACAGGATGCTGCCTCTACTCAGTCCATCCCTCCCTCTCTGGCTGGGTTTGGGGGATCTGAGGCAGGAGGCCATTCCCAGGCTATGCAGGCTGGAGCCAGCAGGGATCCCCGGAACCCCAGGTCCCACTCCCTCATCCTCTAAGCTTCGCCACAGCCTCCACTCTTCCCCCCAGAAACTGTCTCTCTTGGGGTCCCATAACCACCCACCCCACCACCCAGGGCAGGCCCCTGGCCTAGAGGCCGGCTCTAATAGATAAACTAGAGCTAGTGCAGCTCGCAGGATCGAGCACCAGAGCTAGTGCAGCTCGCAGGATTGGGCAGTCGGGCAGAGTGGGAACCCCCAGCTTGGCAGCTGTGCAGTCCTCACTCCCAGCATCTCCCAGCCTTGAGTCGTTTGCAAATCACCATCAGTTCTTCCCCATCTGCCTGGTCCCTGCAGTCACCTGGTGGTCCCCCTACTGCCCTGTTGTTCCCTGGGTGGTCTGGGCTCCTCTCAGAATGAGCTCATGCACCTCGGGGAGCTGTGCCCTGGGAAGGCCCCCCTGCACAGCTCCCTCAGCCCCTGGCTCTTCCTCTGTCAACTTCCTCTACTAAAGTGAGGTGGGAGCCAGCCGTCGGCTGTTTCTATGGCAGTGGAAGTTCAGAGGCTGGCGGGGGCTGCATGAGAGGGCACAGCCGCCTCACCAGGCGTGTCCTTCATCGTCCCACCACAGCGTCCCAAGCTCCACCAAACGTCCCTGGAGAGAGTGCAGACGTTGGAAACAATCCAGGGCTGCAACTAGGATGCTGGAGAGTCAGGCTTTCCCATGTTCATTCTCACTGCACTATTATTGTAATTCCATTACTGTTGATTGATTATTAACTAATACTTACATTCTTCATTGTTATTATGAAAATAACAGCATAATAGGTTAACCGATGTTTGTCAAGACAGACTCTAAAAATAAAAAGAGCAACCTCCCCCCTGTCAGTCCATGCCCCTCTCTCCATGCCCAGTTCTATCCCAGCTGCCTCTGCAAGGTGGGAGTGGGTCCAAGCCCAGGCTTTGGGAGGAGGAGGAGAAGGGAGGAGGAGGAGGGAGGAGAAGGAGGGAGGAGGAGGGAGGAGGAGGAGTCTGAGCCAGGCTTCCTAGATTCCAGAATCTCTCTGATTTGTGTTCCGCACAACATCAGTGGATGCGAATTGTGCCCCTGTGACTTTTTGGACTTTAAAACCACCCCACCCTCACACTCTCCGCAGAACAAACAGAACATCGTGCTGTCCTTGTGTTTGTGGCAAGACAGGCCAGCGGAAGAATTCATTTCACACTTTGGAACACTGAGAATGGGAACAGCCTCATGGAGAGGCTGGCTGGGGGTCGGGGGTGGGTAGAGGAGAGCTGGGAGCTGGCCCTGACTGCGTGGGGACATGGCACATGGAGCCCTGGAGCCCTGGTCCCCTCTCTGCCAAGTGTACCATCTCTATGATGCTAAGGGGCTTACCTGGACATGCTGAGTCCCAGATTCCTTGTTAAATAGGGACAGCAGGCTGGGCACGGTGGCTCACGCCTGTAATTCCAGCACTTTGGGAGGCCAAGGGGGGCAGATCAGTTGAGGTCAAAAGTTCGAGACCGGCCTGGCTAACATGGGGAAACCCTGTCTCTACTAAAAATACAAAAATTAGCCAGGCGTGGCGGTGCATGCCTGTAATCCCAGCTACTTGGGAGGCTGAGGCAGGAGAATCACTTGAGCCCGGGAGGTAGAGGCTGCAGTGAGCCAAGATTGTGCCACTGCAATCCAGCCTGGGCAACAAAGTGAGACTCTGTCCCAAAAAAAACAAAAACTAAAACAAAAAAAATCCTAGGGACAACAATAGCGTGTCTTCATTGGGTCTTATGAAATGAGGGTAAATGAAATCTCACATAGAGTGAGGCTTGGCACAGAGCCTGCCACATAATAGATCCTCAGCAAATGTCAGCTATTGCTGTTATCACAACTGGTTGAGAGAATTGCAGGTATTGCATCTGGAAATAGAAGGCTGGAGGTGGCATTAGGGTTGCCATCAAGATCACTGAGAACAATGGCCTGTGAAGGTTGGATTAGACTTTGCACAGCTCCTGTTGGGACAAAAGTAACATCAATGGAACTTTAAAGTGATGATTCGGGTTCAATACAAAGAACTGGCCGTGCCACAAGTTCAGTGGCCCGAGCTGCATTACATTCGGGGTGCACTTTCAGATTCAAGAATTTTGATGGCTTGTAAGGAGGGGTTAAGGCGTTTAAGACTCATTTTAAAAGAATTTCAGAAATCTGAGAACAAGAGTAAAAACTCCTGCATTTCCTACAATGCCTCTACAGCATGAAACTGCTGTCTGCACTGCCGTATATCCTCTCCCAGTTGCTGTGGCCACTCTCGGGTGCCTGCTGGATGGCCCCTCTGTCCACACCCTTTGTACACACAGCAAGCTGCACCTGCTCTCCTGCACATGGCAAGGCCTGTTTCAACCAAAATTCTTTCTTGAAGACAGAACCTTTACTATGCCCACCGTTGTAGCAACAGTTCATCTTACTACGTGCTGGACAAAAGATCAAAAGTTGGAGGCAGTTCCTCTATGGAGGTGTTTCCTACCCTGTGGGCCACCTGGGCACACCCCTTAGGTGCCCCCAGTCCGGCTCCCGCAGGAACACCCTGGGTTGTCTCACCGGGAGAACCATGTGGCTGGTGGGAAGGGTTCAGGCCAAGGTGAAACATGACCGGTGACCGGCGTGGAGGCTGCAGTGGGGATCCCTGTGTTGGCTGCAGGGCTGAATGAAAGAACAAGAGAGGTTTCGGCTGAACTCTTGGAAAATACAGAGAGCCTCCTAACCCTCCTTAGTTAGGAGTGATTAACACTCTTATTAAAGAAACCTTTGTGTTCTAGGCCCTGGCATTAACAGTTAATTGGCCCAATAATAATTAGGAATGTACATTACAGAGAATTATAACCAGGGCCTTTCACAGAGTGGTTTGCCCCGGCTCCTCTCCATGTGTTTCCCGAGAGCCTTTTAATGCAAGGGATGTACGGACTGGCAGACCCAGAGATGCCCGTCCTTTGCTGTTGCAAAGAACTCAAAGAGAACAAGAATGGGGCCTCCATAAAGGTGGGATAAAGATGCAGAGACAATTTGGAATAAGCAACTGATAATTTTAATAACAGCTAAATATAGATTACTTGCATATCTGAACTTTTTTATTGTTGGTTTTATTTTATTTTATTTTTGAGATGGAGTTTCGCTCTTGTTTCCCAGGCTGGAGTGCAATGGTGCGATCTCAGCTCACTGCAACCTCCGCCTCCCGGGTTCAAGTGATTCTCCTGCCTCAGCCTCCTGAGTAACTGGGATTATAGGCATGCGCCACCATGCCTGGCTAATTTTGTATTTTTAGTAGAGACGGGATTTCACCATGTTGGTCAGGCTGGTCTCCAACTCCTGACCTCAGGTGATCCACCTGCCTCGGCCTCCCAAAGTGCTGAGATTACAGGCATGAGCCACCATGCCTGGCCTGGTTTTATTTTTAATTCTATAATGAGAGCTTAGATTGCTTCATAGGCTTCTGTGGGTATGAGTTTCATTGTCACATTTTTTTTTTTTTTAAGAGGGAGTTTCACTCTGTTGCCCAGGCTGGAGTGCAGCGGTGTGATCTGCAACTTCTGCCTCCCGGGTTCAAGCAAGTCTCCTGCCTCAGCCTCCCGAGTAGCTGGGGTTACAGGCACACGCCACCAAACCTGACTAATTTTTGTACTTTCAGTAGAGATAGGATTTCGCTATGTTGGCCAGGCTGGTCATGAACTCCTGACCTCAAGCAATCCGCCCACCTTGGCCTCCCGAAGTGCTGAGATTACAGGCGTGAGCCACCGTTCCCAGCCACGTGTGTTCTTAAAAATAGCAAATTAACCTGAAGGCGGGGGTAGAAAATGAAAGCAACTAGGTAGATCTGGCCTTTTGTGGGGCTTCAGAATCTTCTTACCAAGTGTCAGGGAGAATAGGTACTCCCTCTCTTGAGTTGGGTCCTGTTGTGTGACACAGAAGAGGCCATGTGTGCATCTCACCGTGGCAACATGAGGTCAGGACTGAAGAAATTTCCACTCGGAACTCTGACTTGCTTCTGAAGGCTTTGTTCCAGCACCTGGCAGCCTTATTCTCTGTGTCTTGGGATTAATAACTACTAAAATTTCTGTAAAACAGTCTGCAAAGCAAATTGTGGTAAAGTGCTGATGATAATTAGGCAAGGAAGGCTGGGAGCTGATTAAATCACAGTGGCTTGATAGATAGGGCCTGGGTGCCCGTTAAAGCTCTGGGCACTGTTAGCCAAACTCTAATGCTCGTCTGAGGATGTGAGTTCGAAACCTGTTAACTGCACAGAGGGACTTGTCTGCAGGGTCAGATGGCCTGGGGGCTGCTGTTGGCCCAGTTGGGGATAGCAGGGTCCTTGGGGATTCTGCTGTGATTTTCACAGTAGAGACCCCATCCCCAACCCACACCAGCAAAGGAGCCTGCCTGGGCTCTCAAAGGGGAGCTAGGTCAGTTGTAGATCAAAGGGAAGAACGTTGCAGGCTAACTGGAGAGCAAACCCTCAGAAGAGGAGAGGGGAGCAGTGCTGCAGGCAGCCAGAGGAGACCTGTGTCAGCCAGTATGGGCTGAGTTATTTTGTGGTAACAAACATCCCCCACTCCAGGTGGCTTAGCACAACAACATGATTTCTCACGTCATTTATTTTTCACTGTGGGAAGCTGACCCTCCAGAGCAACTGTCCTCCATGAACCTCCAAAATTGTCACCACAAAGGAAGAGTGGGCGATGGGGATCACCCACCAGCTCTTAAATGCTCCCTCCTGGAAGTGGCACACCCCCTGACATTCACACCCCATCAGCCAAGGAAAGCAACCAGCCAGGCCTAACTCAAGGAGGCAGGAAAAGGTCGTAGTCCTTCTGTGTTCAGGAAGGGAAGGAGAAGTAGAGCTAGGACTGATCGGCCTCAGCAGTGTTTACCACAAGGCCATGTTTTATGTAGAAACGCAGGGTCAGCTTTCCTGGGGTTGGGGCCTTCACCAATGGCTCCTGTCATTGGAGGGATTATACCCATGCAGGTAATGCCCCCTCCCTAAGAGCACACAGCCCGCCTCCCTCCTATATCAAGAAGAAGGAGGATATTAAAGCCACACACACACATACACACACACACACACACACACACACACACACTTCTCAAATACTAGTGTTGGACTCTATAGTGTTGAAATGCTTGGGCTTCAAGTCAAACAACTGAATTTGAGTCCTGACTGTCACCCACTAGGGTGTGACTTTGGACAAGTAACTTAATCTTCTAAGCCTCTGTTTTCTCATTTTTGAAATGGGAATCATAATGATAAACATCTCATCAGATTATGGTGAGAATTAAATAAGATAATTTAAGTGAAATCCTCATAAAAGGTGCTCTGAATGGTGAGATATTTGCAGCTATCACCATTGTCATTATTCGTGATATAAATTACATTCTACTCACTAACATTCACAGCAATTCAAGCCCAAAAAACAAAATGGAGCAAGATCTGAAGAATTACTGTAGCAGCCACAAAATACTAGTTCCAGCTTGGTTTCTAAAGCCCTCATTACTTATTCAGCAGAATCCCAACTTCTCTTTTTATTTCTTTTCATGCAGTGCACTGGATTGCATTATTGTTCAGCAAATATCGACTCTACTCCCCCACCCCACCCTGCCATTCCACCATGGGTGAAGTTTACTCATTCGCCCCATTGATGTTGCCTTGGCCAATGATATGACTTGCTTTGGCCAATAGAACCTGGATGGGACTGAGCACCCTGACCTGGTGGTAAGGAATGCAGTGCAGGTGCCCACCAGTCCTCACTTACTCCTGATCTCCACTCTGAGCAGAACAGACCCCAGAGATGGCTGCCCCTTCATCCTCAGTCTCAGAAGGAGAGACTGTTAGAAATGCTTGTTCCCTGGTGCCACAAAGAAATAGCACTTGAACATAAATTTAGTTCTCTCAGTAAGGCAATTTTTACTTTCTGCAGAAAGGGTGCTCATCACAGATGGAACAATGGCAAGAGCACACCTGAACAAAGGAGAGAAGCAATTTTTATCCCTTATGCAGTTTGTGCCTGCTACTGTGTCCTGTCTCCATTGGCTAGAGCTGGACCACACAATCTAAACTAAAACCCGACTGGCTAATAATTTTAAAACTTTTCTAAATAGGTAAAAGCAATGGAAAACAGAGGAAAAGAGGAAGTTGCTTATAAAAGGACTTAGAAAAGTAATAACATTCCCAAATAAGGAAGGGGCATGGGCTGCGAGCTGGGACAGGCCTGTGAGCAAGTCTAGCACAAATATTTTGGTGAAAGTACAAGGACATAGAATGTACTACGTGCCTGTGAGCATGTCTAACAGCTACATAGGATAGGGCTTAACAAAGAGTTATTAGCATAAAGCAAGGAGGCTTGAAGGAAGTTAGTCTTTAAAAGAAACTTATTTGTTAACACTTATGATTTATTCTTTAATAAGAAGGGCAAATTTGAAGAGGAACTTTTACTTCTACAGAGACCCACGGAGGTGTCTTCTTGGCAGCGCTTCTGACCACAGCCTAGATCCCAGCCCAGTGAAGCCCGCTGAGTCTCGTAAGAAACACGTGCTTGTGATCAGAAGACGTTAAGGTTTTGGGGTTGTTTGTTACCACAGCAAAAGCTGACTAATACCCTTAGAATAGGAAAAGGACTTTCCTTGATCACAGATTGTCTGCCAAATACATTCAGCTTCAGCATTAAAGAAGAGATAGGCACACGCCATTTTATTTAGCTTCACTTTATTGCATTTTTTGCAAATTGGAGGTTTGTGGCAACCATGTATCAAGCAAGTGAATCAGTGGCATCTTTCCAACAATATGAGCTTGATTCGTGTTTTTTTGTCACGTTTTGATAAATATTGCCATATTTCAAACCTTTCTGTTACGAATAGTTCTGTGATGGTGGTCTGTGATCGGAAATCTTTGCTGTTACTGTTGTAGTTGTTTTAGAGCACCATCAACCGATTGATAAATGCTGAGTGTGTTCCGACCAATCCACCAACTGGCCATTCCCCTCTCTCCCTCTCCTCAGGCCTCCCCATTCCCTGAGACACAGCAGTATTGAAATTAGGCCAATTAATGACCCTACAATGGCCTCTAGGTGTCAAGTGAAAGGAAGAGTCACATGCCTCCCTCTTTAAATCAAAAGCTAGAAATATGCGGTGTTTGGTTTTTTGTTCTTGCGATAGTTTGCTGAGAATGATGGTTTCCAGTTTCATCTATGTCCCTACAAAGGACATGAACTCATCATTTTTTATGGCTGCATAGTATTCCATGGTGTATATGTACCACATTTTCTTAATCCAGTCTATCATTGTTGGACATTCAGGTTGGTTCCAAGTCTTTGCTATTGTGAATAGTGCTGCTATAAAAATCACTCACAGGTGGGAATTGAACAATGAGAACACAGGGACACAGCAAGGGGAACATCACACACTGGGGACTGTTGTGGGGTGGGGGGAGGGGGGAGGGATAGCATTAGGAGATACACCTAATGCTAAATGACGAGTTAATGGGTGCAGCACACCAACATGGCACAGGTGTACATATGTAACAAACCTGCATGTTGTGCACACGTACCCTAAAACTTAAAGTATAATAATAATAAAAGAAAAAAAAAGCTAGAAACAATTAAGCTTAGTGAGGAAGGCAGGTTGAGAGGGGCTGAAAGCTAGGCCTCTTGTGCTAAACAGTGAGCCAAGCTGTGAATACAAAGGAAAAGATCTTGAAGGAAATTAGAGTGCTACTCCAGTAAAAACACGAAGGAGAAGAAGTAAAAACAGACTTATTGCTGATACGGAGAAAGTCTGAATGGTCTGCGTAGATCAAACCAGTCACAACAGCCCCGTAAGCCAAAGCCTGACCCAGAGCAAGGCCCTAACTCTATGAAAATTGAGAGAGGTGAGGAGGCTGCAGAAAAAAAAAAAAAAAGTTGGAAACTGGAAGCGGTTGGTTGATGAGATTTAAGGAAAGAAGCCATTTCCATAACATAAAAGTGCAAGGTGAAGCAGCAAGTGCTGATGGAGAAGGTGTGGTAAGTTCTCTAGAAGATCTAGCTGAGTTCATCGATGAAGGTGGCTACACTAAACAGATGTTCAATGTAGACAAAACAGGCTTCTCTTGGAAAAACACGCCATCTAGGACTTTCACAGCTAGAAGAGAAGCCAGTACCTGCTTCAAAACTTCAAAGAACAGGCTGAATCCCTTGTGAGGGGCGAATGCAGCTGGTGACTTTGAGTTGAAGCCAGTGCTCATTTGCCATTCTGAAAATCCCAGGGCCCTTAAGAATGATGCTAAATCTACTCTGCCTGTGCTCTACAAATGGAACAGCAAAGCCTGGATGACAGCACATCTTTTAATGTTTACAGCGTGATTTACTGGGCTTTTTTGGGTTTTTTTTGAGACAGAGTCTCTGTCACCCAGATTGCAGTGCAGTGGTGCAATCATAGCTCACTGTAGCCTCAACCTCCCAAGCTCAGGTGATCCTTCCACCTCAGCCTCCCCAGTATCTGGGAATACAGGTGTATACCACCACGCCCAGCTAATTTTTGTAATTTTTGTAGAGGGGGGTTTTGCCATGTTGCCCAGCTGGTCTTGAACTTCTGAGCCCAAGTGATCTGCCCACCTCAGCCTCCCAAAGTGCTGGGATCACAGGCATGAGCCCGTGCTCAACCTACTAAACATTTTAAGTTCACTATTGAGATCTGCTGTTCAGGAAAAAAGATTCTTTTCAAAATATTACTGTTCATCGACAATGCAACTGGTCATCCAAGAGCTCCGATGGAGATATGGAGATGTACAAGGAGATTAATGTTGTTTACATGCCTGCTAACATGACATCCACTTGCAGCCTATGGATCAAAGAAGAAGAGTCATTTGTACTTTCAAGTCTTGTTTTTTTTTTTTTTTTTTTTTTTTTTTGAGACAGAGTCTTGCTCTTTGCCAAGCTGGAGTACAGTGGCACAATCTCGGCTCACTGCAACTTCCACCTCCTGGGTTCAAGCTATTCCCCTGCCTCAGCCTTCTGGGTAGCTGGGACTACAGGTGTGCACCACCACGCCCGGCTAATTTTTTGTATTTTAGTAGAGATGGGGTTTCACCATGTTATCCAGGATGGTCTCGATCTCCTGACCTCGTGATTCACCTGCCTCAGCCTGCCAAAGTGCTGAGATTACAGGCGTGAGCCACCATGCCTGGCTTCAAGTCTTGTTTTTTAAGAAATACACCTTGCAAAGCTATTGCTGCCAGAGATAGTGATTTCTATGATGGATCTGAGCAAAGTCAATTGAAAACCCTCTGGAAAGAATTCACCATTCTAAATGCCAGTAAAAAATTTATGATTCATGGGAGGAAGTCAAAATAATCAACAAAGTATCAACAACAGGAGTTGGGAAGACGTTGATTCCAACCCTCATGGATGACTTTGAGGGGTTCGAGCCTTCGGTGGAGGAAGCAACTGCAAATGTGGCGGAAATAGCAAGAGAACTGGAATTAGAATTAGAAGTGGAGCCTGAAGATGGGACTGAATTGCTGCAATCTCATGAGAAAACTTGAACAGATGAGGAGCTGCTTCTTATGGACGGACAAAGAAAGTGGTTTCTTGGATGGAATCTACCCCTGGTGAAGATGCTGTGAACATTGTTGAAATGACAACAAAGGATTGAGAATATTCCATAAACATAGTTGCTTAAGCAGTGACAGGGTTTGAGAGGATTTACTCCAATTTTGAAAGTTTTACTGTGGGTAAAATGCTATCAAACAGCATCATCAACTACAGAAAAATCATTCATGAAAAGAAGAATCAATTGATGCAGTAAAATTCATTGTTGGCCGGGTGTGGTGGCTCATGCCTGTAATCCCAGCACTTTGGGAGGCTTAGGCCGGAGGATCACAAGGTCAAGAGATCGAGACCATCTGGCCAACATGGTGAAACCCCGTCTCTACTATAAATACAAAAATTAGCCGGGCGTGGTAACATGCTAGTACCAGCTACTGGGGAGGCTGAGGCAGGAGAATCGTTTGAACCTGGGGGGTGGAGATTGCAGTGAGCCAAGATCATGCCGCTGCACTCCAGCCTGGCGACAGAGCAAGACTCCATCTCAAAAACAAAAAACAAAAAACAAACAAACAAAAATCACTGTTGTCTTATTTCAAGAAATTGTCACAGCCACTCCAGCCTTCAGCAACCACCACCCTAATCAGTCAGCAACCATCAACATCGAGACAAGATCCTCCACCAGCAAAAAATTCCAACTGGGTGAAGGCTCAGATGATCGTTAGCTTTTTTTTTTTTAAAGCAATAAAGAATTTTTAGTTAAGGTATGTACATTTTTTAAGACATACTGCTATTGCACACTTAATAGACTCTATTATGGTGTAAATAAAAATTTTCTTTTTTTGAGACAGTCTCACTGTGTCACCAAGGCTGGGGTGCAGTGCCGTGATCTCAGCTCATTGCAACCTCCATCTCCTGGGTTCAAGTGATTCTCCTGCCTCAGCCTCCCAAGTAGCTGGATGCTCATCACCACGCCTGGCTAATTTTTGTATTTTTAGTAGAGACGGAGTTTCACCAAGTTGGCCAGGCTGGTCTCAAACTCTTGACCTCAAGTGATCCTCCTGCCTCTGCCTCTCAAAGTGCTGGGATTGCAGGCATGAGCCACCATGCCCAGCTGTAAATATAACTTTTACATGCAACAGGGCACCGAAAAATTTGTGTGATTTGCATTATTGCAATACTTGCTTTATTGTGGTGGGCCAGAAGCAAACCCAAAACATCTCCATGGTAGGCCTGTGTGTTGCTAATGCAGAAAGATGTCTCCAATAGGTTGTAGATTGAAAAGTGATTAGTTGGAAAAGATTTTTGCTAATGTATATTTATTCATAATGATGTGCATGCATACATACATGTGTACACACACAAACAAAACTCACCTGCAAAAATATATTTAAAAAAGTTAACACTATTTGCCTCTTAGTACTGGGCATTATGGGTGATTATCCACAAATACTGTTTTGAATTCTTTTAAAACTATGACATTATTCCACAGATGATAAAAGAACCCCAAACATCAGAAGTCAGATGCCCAATGGAAAAAAGTCCTTCTCCCATTCTAACCCCATTCTCACTCTTTGGGGACAATAGTTTCTTCGTATGGCTCTAGAAATGTTCTCTCTATAGCCATATTTTCTTTTCTTTTCTTTGTTTTTTTTTTTTTTTTTTTTTTGAGACAGAGTCTCACTGTGTTCCCCAGGCTGGAGTGCAGTGGCATGATCTTGGCTCACTACAACTTCCTCCTCTCAGGTTCAATTGATTCTCCTGCCTCAGCCTCCCTAGTAGCTGAGATTACAGGTGCCCGCCACCACGCCCAGCTAATTTTTGTATTTTTAGTAGAGATGGGGTTTTAACATGTCGGCCAGGCTGGTCTCAAACTCTTTACCTCAAGAGATCTGCCCATCTTGGCCTCCCAAAGTGCTGGGATTATAGGTGTGAGCCACCGTGTCTGGCCTGTATTTTCAAGTAATTCCAATTCACCAACTAACCATGGAAGTAAGGTTTATCAAATCTCTGAGTAAAAAAAAACATGATGATCTAAAATAATATTCTAACCAGGACAAATTCTTCATGTATTATGCAGGGCTAATCTGTTTCTCATTAAAATTATGGATTAAAATTTAATCCTCACACTTTTAGAAACAAGAAAATACAGTCTTTGTACTCTATTTGTTTACCTAGTTGAAAGGTGTATATTTAGCTTTGAAAGAGAAATCTTAATGCAAGAATTCAGGATTATATATGATGTCATGGGATCACTTTTTAAATCTTTATGAAAGGATTTTAAAGAAAGGAAAAAATTTCATCAAGATTCTGGGTCAGTTTTCCAGAACTCCCAGACCTACCCTGCAGATTCAGAATTCTTCCACGTTAGCAGAATTGGCAGTGAAGATCTGAAGCCATGTGAATGGAGAGCAAATAAATTAGCATGGTAGCTTTTCTGGAAGTTTACGGTGGGTTCATTTCTACGATGTAAATATGTTATTCGCAGGTACAGCCAGGGGGAAAAAGTTAAATAGAATTTGACTCTGCAGCAATCCACATAGGAAGCAGTCCTGTGAAAACAGATGGGAAAGAGGAAGCTTCCCAAAAAGACATACTTTTTTTCTAGCGAAGGGTCTCTCCTGGTTTAAAAGATGTAAGGTATCGAAACTGATTACTATTTCTGTGGAATGTGACCCATCCTGGGGCCAAGGGAAGCCCTGGGTTCCCAGGAATGAGATTTTAGCATCCAGGATGTGAAAGGTGAGAAGTGTGGAGTGAGGTGTGGGGGTCTGGCTGGGCAGCCACATCCTGGCTGAGGTCTGCGAGGGCCCCTATGGAGTGAGTGGAGTCTCTGAACCCTCCCATCATGCCTCCTTTTCCTGGCCTTTTCTAAATGACTCAAAATTTCTCTCTGGCCTCCATTTTACTAGGGAATTCCACCCACCCTGGTCTGCCTTTTCCTCCTCCCCGCTGTCTCCGGATCTGAGAAGCCAGTGAGCGAGAACCTACAGAACTGACCCAGGAGTCAGAAGCTATGAGCCACTTTGGAAAACAGCGTGGCCATTTCCTGAAAAGGTAAACACACCCCTGCCCTCCGATCCAGCCCCTCCACTGCTAGGTACTTACCTGGGAGGAATGAAAGTTCGTGTTCACAAAAGGTCTCAGGCATGAATGTCTGTAACAGCTTTGCTTGTCACAGCCCCAAACTGGAAACAACCTTAAAATCCATCAACAGGCGGATGGTGAAGCCAAGCACAGAGCGTCCACACCACAGGAGGCAACTCAGAGCCCCACAGGAGTCGCTATGGACACACGCACCGTCTGGGGCAGCCTCAAAATTATGTGGCTTAGTGAAGCCCAGACCCCTCCAAGGTACCTGCTGTGCGATTCCAGATATATAAAAGCCTAGAAAATGTAAGCCAAGGCCAGGTGCGGTGGCTCACACCTGTAATCCTAGCACTTTGGGAGGCTGAGATGGGTGGATCATCTGAGGTCAGGAGTTCAAGACCAGCCTGACCAACATGGAGAAACCCTGGCTCTACTAAACATGCAAAATAAGCCGGGTGTGGTGGCGGGTGCCTGTAGTCCCAGCTACTCAGGAGGCTGAGGCAGGAGGATTGCTTGAACCCGGGAGGTGGAGGTTGCAGTGAGCTGAGATCACACCACTGCACTACAGGCTGGGTGACAAGAGCGAAACTCTGTCTCAAAAAAAAGAAAGAAAGAAAGAAAGAAAGAAAAGAAAATGTAAGCTGAATCCTCAGTGACAGGAAACAGATGGGCTGTTGCCTGGGGAAAGTGGGAACACAAAGGAGCGTGAAGGAATTGGGGATGAGGGGTCCTTCATCACTCGATGGTGGTGGTGGCTTCATTGGTGGACACAAGGGGTCCTCAATCAGGGATTATTTTGCCCCTCACAGACTAATTAGACCCCTGGCATCTAGTGTATAGAGGCCAGGGATGAGGCTAAACATCCTGCAGTCCACAAGACACCCCCCGCCCCCCAAAAACAATTAGCCCCAAATGCCAGTGGGGCTGAGGCTGAAAAACCTGGGTGTATACATGCTTCACAACTTACATAATTGCACACTATTTATGTATGTATGTACATATGTATTTATTTTGAGACAGAGTCTTGCTCTGTTACCAAGGTTGGAGTGTAGTGGTGCAATCTCGGCTCACTGCAACTTCCGGCCCCTGGGTTCAAGGGATCCTCTGTCTCAGCCTCCCAAGTAGCTGGGACCACAGTCATGTGCCCCCATGCCCAGCTAATTTTGTATTTTCAGTAGAGACAGGGTTTTGCCATGTTGGCCAGGCTGGTCTCGAACTCCTGACCTCAGGTGATCCACCCGCCTCGGCCTCCCAAAGTGCTGGGATTACAGACGTGAGCCACTGCGACTGGCCCAGCATTGCACGCTTAAAATACGGGCAGTTTACTGTACGTCAATTATACATCAATAAAATTGTAAAATCCGTGAAATCTCAGCCCTGCCATTTGCTGGTTGCGTGACGTTGGGTAACTCACATCCCCTCTCTTGGCCTGTTTCCACTGTGAAAATATGAAGGAGTGGGTAATAACATTTCTTTCCTAGAGCTGTTGAGCATTCAGTGAGATCCCGAGGTGTGAGCCAAATACTAGGTATGTAAGAATATGCAATGATGTCTAGACGCACTTCTGTTTCCCTCTGTTGCCGTTGGAACTGACTTCAGCTGTCAGGTGAGCCGCTTGGCAACACCATCCATGGAAAAGACATTTAGACTGAACGCAAGTCCTTAGAGACAGCAGAGGACTGAGTAGAAATGGCCGCTGGATTTTAGGTAACAGTGCCAGGCCCATGGGGCAGGGGAAGGAACACTGGACAGAAGCTGGAAGTCACTTTGCCTGTGGGTAACAGGGACCTTGGAGTGACCTTGAAGCCTGGCTTTCAGCCTGACCCCAACAGGAAATATGACTCTGACATGATTTATTTAAAAATACAAAATATTCATACATCATTATTATTATTTTGCCAAGGTTATCATTCACTGGGTTTCAGCCACAAAAACACTCAGGAAAATTGAAGAGACTCGAAGTTCTTAAATGAAAGCCCACCTCTTCCAGGCCACCCTCGAGTTTGGGCTTGGTGCCTGGTGAGGCCATTTTGAGGATTATGAGTGGTGCACATTTTTGCAATTTAGCTGGAGACCCAGTAATCATGGCATCATCCTCCCTGGGCCCCGTCCCCGTCCCCCCTCTTCATTCAATTGCACCTTGAGGAAGATAAATAGGAGAGCAGCTTAGGAAACAGGAATGAGAGTCCTCAATCACCTCTTTGTTCACTCCGACCACTGGGCGGGACAGAGAGAGTGACTCTGGCAGCAGGAACACACCACCTTTGTCTCACGCGTGGCTCCGGGGCCTTTTGGAATCCAGTGGCTGAGGAAGGTGGGTTCTTCCCCACTTGATCAGCCTGGAGCATCTCCAGGCACCCTTGTGTCTTAGGGTTAGCTAAGAGACAGCTGGGGCATAGCTAGGGCATAGCTGGGGCACAGCCAGGGCATTGCCAGGGCACAGCAGGAAACGTACATGCAGCTTCTGGTCTCATTCATTTAATGGCTTTTTCCCAAATGATGGCAGCAGCGCCAGAGAGCAGGTGGAGAAGACAGCAGGGGTGGGGGTGGATTCCAGGGAAGTCTGGGATGCCCCAGACTGTGGTCCTCAGGAATGAAGGGCTGTTTGGGGCCTCACTTCTGACCATGCCTCGTACCCACCCCGCGAGGACACTTCTCTGCTGCAGAGGGAACCCCATGGGCCTCGGGTTGTCAGGGAAGGCTGTCAGCTTGGCCCCACCTCTGGGGCTCCTCCTCGAGCTTGGGACACTCCATGGTTTGTGCTCTATGCTCCAGGGGAACCACATTCGCCCTGGGGCATCCTGTCTTTGCTGATGGCGTTCCCTCTGCTGACAGTGCTGCTCCCATTCTCCGGGCAATTCCAACCCTGGAGAGTCCTCAGGGTTCTTCCAGGACAGTGTTCCACCAAGTGATGCCTCCCCATTCCTGAGGCTGGATGACAAACTCATCCCCCGGGCTCCACATATCTCCCGTTTCCTCCCACCACGGCATTGACTTTGGGTGCTGGCCTCGTCTGACAGGGGTCTCCCCACAATTAGATTGTGCCTTCATCATTTTTGAATCCCCAGTACCAGGCTCAGTGCCCAGCACAACTGATGTGTGTTGAATAAACGTGCTCCACAGAGGGTGAACTATGTGGCTTTCCTAAGTGATTTTTCTTTTTCCTTTTTTTTTGAGATGGAGTTTTGCTTTTGTCACCCAGGCTGTAGTGCAATGGTGTAATCTCGGCACACTGCAACCTCCACTTCCTGGGTTCAAGCAATTCTCCTGCCTCAGCCTCCAGAGTAGCTGAGATTACAGATGTGTGCCACCACACCCGGCTAATTTTTGTATTTTTAATAGAGACGGGGTTTCACCATGTTGGCCAGGCTGGTCTTGAACTTCTAACCTCAGGTGATCCGCCCACCTTGGCCTCCCAAAGTGCTAGGATTATAGGCATGAGCCCCCACGCCTGGCCCCTAAGTGATTTTTCTATATCAAACACCAAGAAGAAACAGGGGCAGCGGAATGGAAGGCTCGGCTGCTTTCGGACAGGGGAGAGGTCAGCTTCTCAGAGCCTTCTTGACCTTCAGCCTCTGAGGCTCGTATCGGGAGGAGGGGCCCCGCTGACGCTGTTGAGTGCCAGCTGCCTGGGTTCAGAACAGGCCAGGCTGGTTGGGTTGGTTGTGTGTGGGAGAATCAGGAAGAGGGAGCTTGTTCATAATCCAGCTCGTTTACCCAACAAACAATAAAACAGAAGGCAGGATTGTTCGGAGATGCCGGATGGCAGCCATGAGAAAGACCCCACTGGTCTGAGAGGTCTGTGCAGGAATGCACGGAGCCTGGGAAACACAGAGAGGTATGGGGCCTGAGGGTGAGGACGCAGGACAGGTTAGGGACGGGTGGCGCTGGGTGCTGGCTCTGGCAGAGAGCAAGCCAACTGGGGGCATTTCTTTCCAGCCCCGTGGCTGATGGTCTCGCCGTGCGTGATGGTGAATTTTATGTGTCGCCTTGATGGGACCTTGGGGGTGCTCAGACATTTGGTCAAGCCTCTGTGTTTGCGAGGATGTTTCTGGATGGGACTAGCATTCAAATCTGCAGACCGAGGCAAGCAGAGTGTCCTCCCCGCAGAAGGTGGGCCTCACCTCATCCATCAGGGGCCTGAATAGAATAAAAAGTTGAAGAGGAGAGAATTATTTGCCTCTGCCTGTCTTCAAGGTGGAACCATAGGTCTTCTCCTGCCTTTGGACTTAGACTCAGCAGAAAGAGCACCTCCCCTGGCCAATGCTTTTGGCAGGATTCCAGAATGTGCACTCCTGGAGCCCTGGACCACGGCTGGCTTGGTTCCAGCCCATCTGTGACCATCTCTCCTAGGATGCTGGGATGTTCTGTGGGGCCAAGCTAGGGCTACTTGCCTACTTCTGCTGCAAGGGAGGGGTCAGCCCCATGGGAACCATAAGTGTGGGGATTGGGGCAGCCTGATTCTCTAGGAAGAACTGCTGCCCTCTTTCTAGGAAAAAGGAGAAGGGATTTCAGGCAGCCCAAGCTAACAGAGGCCTGCTGTGCACTTGTGTGTTCTGAGCACTGGCTAGGAAGTGCAGGGCTTCCAAGAAGACCTAAAATTCATGAGAACCAAGACAAGGCAGTGAAGGTGTGATCCTGATAAAAGGTGACCAAGACAAGGCAGTGAACGTGTCATCCTGATAAAAGGTGACTGCAGGGGCTGCCCAGGGCAGGGAGGGCTCAGCCTGGAGTGGGTCCATCCCGTCCTTGAGTCATTCTGTCCTTCCCCTCATCTGACAGGTGCCTGGCTCTTTGTTCTTCCTTCATCGTGGGGGACAAGGGTGCAGGGGACGACGTGTTCATTTTCCTCTCCTATGCTCAGCTCACGGCCCCCGCCCTCCACTCCCCGCCTCACACTGATCACTTTCCCATTCAGCAGGTTCGATGCACGCACAGGATGCACGCGCCTCCTTGCAGAACACCGTGTGGGGCTTCCAGTGAGCGCTTCATATTGTAAATGCCACTGTGCCCCGGATCCCACTGTTTCACTCAACACTGTTCTTGATTGTTGTCATCAAGTTTAAAAAAAAAATTATGGTAAAATACATATAAGCTAAAACTGACCTTTTTTTTTTTTTTTTTTTTGAGATGGAGTCTTGCTCTGTCCCCCAGGCTGGAGTGCAGTGGCACAATCTCAGCTCACTGCAGCCTCCGCCTCCTGGGTTCAAATGATCCTCCTGCCTCAGCCTCCCAAGTAGCTGGGATTACAGGCACCCACCACCACACCAGGCTAATTTTTGTATTTTTAGTAGAGACGGGGTTTCACCATGTTGATCAGGCTGGTCTCGAACTCCTGACCTCAAGTGATTTGCCCGCCTCAGCCTCCCAGAGTGCTGGGATTACAGGTGTGAGCTACTGCACCCAGCCCATTTTAACCATTTCTAAGTGTATTGTTCACTGGCATTAAGTTCATTCAAACTGTTGTGCAGCTGCCACCATCATCCATCTCCAGAACTTGTCATTTTTCCAAACTGAAACTCTGTTCCCATTAAACCCCAACTCTATGTTTCCTCCTCCCCCAGCCCCTGGCAACCACCATGCTACTTTCTGTCTCTATGGGTTTGACCATTCTAGGGACCTCATTTAACCTGAGCCCTACAGCCTTCACCTTTCTGTGGCTGATTTATTTCACTTGGCGTGACATCCTCAAAGTTCATCCATGTTGTCACCTGTGTCAGAATCTCCTTATTTCCAAGGCTGAGTGATATTCCGTTGTGTGGATGGACCACACTCTGTTTATTCATTCACCTGTCAATGGATGTTTGGTCCATTTCTACCTTTCGGCTAGTGTGAAAAAAAGCAGCTGAGAACATGAGTGTACAAATACCTCTTTGAAACCCTGCATTTAGTTCTTTTGGAGACAGACCCAGAAGTGGTATTGCTGGATGACATGCTAATTCCATGTTTAATTTTTGGAGAAACAGCCATCCCATTTTCCACAGGGGCCGCACCGTTTTACATCCCCACCCACAGTGTGCAAGGGTTCCAGTTTCTCCATGGCCTCGCTGACACTTGTTATTCTCCACCTCGTTGACAGTAGCCATCCTGAGGAGTGTGAGGTGGTGCTGTGTGTTATTCTCCACCTCATTGACAGTAGCCATCCTGAGGAGTGTGAGGTGGTGCTGTGTGTTATTCTCCACCTCATTGACAGTAGCCATCCTGAGGAGTGTGAGGTGGTGCTGTGTGTTATTCTCCACCTCGTTGACAGTAGCCATCCTGAGGAGTGTGAGGTGGTGCTGTGTGTTACTTTTACTTGTCTCCATGCAGCTAAGGGCACGCCAGTGCACGCCTAATGCAGGCGGGGTGACACCTGCACAGTTCCATCTGCTGCTTCACGACGTGTTGCTAACTCAGTCGCCGACCACTGGACTCTGGGCTGCTCCATTCCTAACTTCCACAGTGTTGATGGATACCGATGCAAGCCCTTCTGGGGAAGACACAGTGAGAGCCTCTCTCAGCCATGCATTCCTCAGCCTGACTGCAAGGTCGCAGCCCCCTACAAAGCCCAGTCTGAGTGCTTCCCAGGCTGCCATGTGCCAGGTCTCCCTCCCACGGCTGTCCTGGAAGGCTCTGCTTTGCACCAACTTGCCAGCACTTGGCATTAGTCAACCCTCTAGCTTTTACCAATCTGATGGGTGTAAAGGGAATTCCTGCGTTTTACTTTGCATTTCTCTGATTCCTGTGGGTTTGAGCAGCTCTTCATTGAATTGTGTGTCATTTGCACTTTCCCTTCTGGGAATTGTCTGTTGGGGTTGGCTTTCTGTCAACTTAAACAGGAGCAAACTTGGTTACTTTTAATTAAAAGCAGGCTCGTGGCAGCAGGGGAGTTTTACATGCATAGGAAGGTCAGGTCCAGCCCTGCCCATCTTCGTGCATACTCTCTCTTTGGTCACTGCTGTGCGGCATGGTGAGCTTGGCACCTGGCCTTCAGAATGCAGCCACAGAAGGGAGTTCATGGGCTAGGCATTCTGCTAAGGGACACAGCTGTCTCTGGCTCCTGCATCCAATTACTGGACTCTCTGCTTCATTGCTCTGGTGGAGCTGCCAGCCTGAGTCTCCACATGTTCTTTCAACACTCCCTTGGTGGCCAGCCCAGTGTGCTTTTAATCATTGACAAGCAAGAGGATGCCACAGAGAAGGATGTTGGCTGCTGTTCAGGCATTTGGGGACTGGCAGGGAGGGCTGCTGTCCACGACGGAGGATGCCACAAGTGGATTCAAGACTGAGTTTTTTGTTTTTCTATCCATCAACTCAAGCATTTGTTATTTTGTTTGTGTTACACATAGTCCAATTATACTCTTTTAGCTATTTTTAAATGTACAATAAATTTTTATTGATTCTAGTCACCCTGTTGTGCTATCAAATGCTAGATCTTATTCATTCTAATTATATTTTTGTACCCATTAGCCATCCCCTTTCTCTCCTTCCCACCCCCCAACTACCCTTTGCAGCATCTGGTAACCATCATTCTACTCTCTATCTCCATGAGTTCAATTGTTTTCGTTTTTAGCTCCCACAAATAACTGAGAACATTTGAAGTTTGTCTTTCTGTGCCTGGCTAATTTCGCTTAACATAATGACCTCCAGTTCCATCCATGCTGTTGCAAATGGCAGGATCTCATTATTTTTATGACTGAATAGTACTCCACTGTGTAAACGCACTGCATTTTCTTTATCCGTTCCTCTGTCAATGGACACTTAGGTTGCTCCCAAATCTTGGCTTTTGTGAACAGTGTTGCAATAAACATGGCAGTACAAATATCTTTTCGATATACTAATATCCATTCTTTGGGGTATATACCTAGTAATGGGAATGCTGGATCATATAGCAGCTCTATTTTTAGTTTTTTGAGACACCACCAAACTGTTCTTCACAGTGGCTGTACTAATTTACTTTTCCACCAATAGTGTACGAGAGTTCCCTAATCTTCACATCCTCACCAGCATTCGTTATTGCCTGTCTTTTGGATAAAAATCATTTTAATTGGAGTGAGATGATATCTCATTGTGGTTTTGATTTGCATTTCTCTGATGATCAGTGATGTTGAACATCTTTTCATATGCCTGTTTGCCATTTGTATGTCTTTTTTTTTTTTGAGAAATGTCTATTCCAATCTTTTGTCTATTTTTTAATCAGACTATTGGATTTTTTCCTGTTGAGCTGTTTGAGCTCCTTATATATTCTGATTATTAATCCCTTGTCAGATGGGTAGTTTGCAAATATTTTCTCCCACTCTGTGGGGTGGCTCTTTACTTTGTTGATTGTTTCCTTTGCTGTGCAGAAGCTTTTTAACTTGATGTGATCCCATTTGTCCATTTTTGCTTTGGTTGCCTGTGCTTGTAGGATATTACTCAGGAAATCTTTGCCCAGTCCAATGTCCTGGAGCATTTCCCCAATGTTTTCTTTTAGTAATTTCATAGTGCGAGGTCTTAGATTTAAGTCTTTACTCCATTTTGATTTGATTTTTTTATATGGTGAGAGATAGGGGTCTAGTTTTCTTCTTCTGCATATGGATATCTAGTTCTCCCAGCACCATTTATTGAAGTGACTGTCCTTTCCCCAATGTGTGTGTTCTTGGCACCTTTGTCAAAAATGAGTTCACTGTAAATGTAGGGATATATTTCTGGGTTCTTTATTCTTTTCCATTGGTCTATGTGTCTGTGTTTATGCCAGTACCATACTGTTTTTATTACCATAGCTCTGTAGTATAATTTGAACTCAGCTAATGTGATTCCTCCAGTTTTGTTCCTTTTGTTCAGGATAGCTTTGGCTATTTTGGGTCTTTTGTGGTTCCAAATAAATTTTGGAATTATTTTTTCTATTTCTGTGAAGAATGTCATTGGTATTTTGATAGGAATTGCATTGAATTTGTAGATTGCTTTGGGTAGTATGGACGTTTTAACAGTATTGATTCTTCCAATCCATGAACATAGAATATCTTTCCATTTTTTCTGTCCTCCTCAATTTTAATTGCTTGCATCAATCTTTTATAGTTTTCATTGTAGAGATCTTTTACTTCCTTGGTTAAATTTATTCCTGGGTATTTTATTATATTTGCACCTATTGTAAATGGGATTACTTTCTGGATTTTTTTCAGATTATTTGTTGTTGGCATATAGAAATGCTATTGATTTTTGTGAGTTGATTTTGTATCCTGCAACTTTATCAAATTTTTTTTTATCAGTTCAAAGAGATTTCTGGTGGAGTATTCAGGTTTCTCCAAATATTGGATCATATCATCTGTAAACATGGTTAACTTGACTTCTTCCTTTCCAATTTGGATGCTCTTTATTTTTATCTTTTGTCTAGTTGCTCTAGCTAAGACTTACAGTGCTATGTTGAATAACAGTGGTGAAAGAAGGCATCCCTGTCTTGTTCCAGATCTTAGAGGTAAGGTTTTTAGTTTTTCTTCTTCAGTGTGACACTAGCTGTGGGTCCATCATATATGACGTTTGTTGTGTTGAGGTATGTTCCTCCCATACCCAGTTCTTTGAGAGTTTTTATCATGAAGTGATGTTGAATTTTATCAAATCCTTTTTCAGTCCAATTGAAATGCTCATATGGTTTTAATTCTGTTGATATGATGTATCACATTGATTGATTTTCATATATTGGGCCATCCTTGCATCCCTGGGATAAATCCTACTTGATCATGATGAATTATCTTTTTAATATGTTGTTGAATTTGGTTTTCAAGTATTTTTTTGAGGATTTTTTTCATCAATGTTCATCAGGGACAGTGGCCTGTAGTTTTCTTTTTCTTTTTCTTTTTGATGTGTCTTTGTCTGGTTTTGGTATCAGGGTAACACTGTCCTTGTAGAATGAATACAGAAGTATTTCCTCCTCTATTTTTCTGCATGGTTTGAGTAGGATTGGTATTAGTTCTTGTTTAAATATTGTGGTAAAATTCAGCAGTGAAGCCTTTTGGGTCTTGGGCTTTTCTTTGCTGGGAGGCTTTTTATTATGACCTCAATTGTATTACTTGTTATTGGTCTGTGAAGGTTTTGGATTTCTTCATGGGTCAATCTTTGTAGATTGTATGTGTCTAGAAATTTATCCATTTCTTTTAGGCTTTCAAATTTATTGGCATATAGCTGCTCTTAGGTGCTTCTAATGATCCTTTGCATTTCTGTGGCATCTGTTGTAATGTCTCCTTTTTCATCTCCATTCTTATTTTTGGGTCTTCTCTCTTAGTCTGGCTAAAGGTTTGTTGACATTTTTTATTCCTTTCTCAAAATTTTTTTGACTTTCTTGTCAAGTTTTGTCAAGTTTTTCTACTTCTTTGTTATAGGCATTTATTGCTATAAACTTTCTTCTTAGTACTGCTTTCATTGTATCCAATAGGTTTTGGTATGTTGTGGTTTCATTGTAATTTGTTTTGAGAATTTTTTTAACTTTTTATTAATTCCTTCATTGACCCACTGGTCATTCAGGAACATGTTGTTTAATTTCCATGTGTTTGTATAGTTTCCAAAATTCTTCTCATTATTGATTTCTAGTTTAATACAGTGTGGTCAGAGAAGGTACTTGGTATAATTTCATGTTTTTGAATTTTTAAAGACTTGTTTTGTGGCCTAACATATGCTCTATCCTTGAAAACAATCCATGTGCTGAGGAGAAGAATGTGTATTCTGCAACTGTTGGGTAAAATGTTCTGTAAATATCTATTCATTCCATTTGGTCTATACTGTAGATTAAGACTGATGTTTCTTTGTTGATTTTCTGCCTGGATGATCTGTCCAATGCCGAAGGTGGGATGTTGAAGTCTCCAGCTATTATTGTATTGGGGTCTATCTCTCTTTTAGCTCTAATAATATTTTCTTTATATATCTGTGTGCTCCAGTGTTAGGAGCATATATATTTACAATTGTTATATCCTCTTGCAGAATTGACCTGTTTATCATTATATAATGACTTTCTTTGTTCTTTTTATAGTTTTTATTCTTGAAATCTGTTAGGTCTGATCTAAGTATAGCTACACCTGCTCTTTTTTGGTTTTCACTGGCATAGAATATCTATTTTATCCCTTTATTTTCAGTCACTGTGTGTCTTTGTAGGTGAAGCATGTTTCTTGTAGGCAATAGATTGTTGGGTCTTGTTTTTATATCCATTCAGCCATGCTTATGCCTTTTGATTGAAGAGTTTAGTCTATTTACATTCAATGTTATCATTGAAAAATTAGGACTTGCCCCTGCCAATTTGTTATTTTCTGATTGTTTTGTGATCTTTTCTTCCTTCTTTCTTTCCTTCCTGTCTTCTTTTCAGTGGAGGTGATTTTTTCTCTGGTAGTATGTTTTAATGTTTTGCTTTTTATTTTTGTATATCTGTTGTATGTTTTTTGATTTGAGGTTACTATGAGGCTTACAAAAATATCTTCTTATAACCCATTATTCTAAACTCGTGAGAACTTAACACAGATTACATAAACAAACTACAAACAAGCAAATAGAAAACTAACAAAAACTCTACACTTTAACTTCATCTCCCTGTTTTTTTAACTTTTTATTGTCTCTATGTTTTACTATATCTTGAAAAGTTGTTGTAGTTATTATTTTGATATGTTAAACTCTACACTTTAACTTCATCTCCCTGTTTTTTTAACTTCATCTCCCTGTTTTTTTAACTTTTTATTGTCTCTATGTTTTACTATATCTTGAAAAGTTGTTGTAGTTATTATTTTGATATGTTAATCTTGCAGTCTTTCTACTCACAATATGAATAGTTTACATACCATAATTACAGTATTATAATATTCTGTGCTTTTCTGCGTACTTACTATTTCCAGTGAGTTTTGTACATTCAGATGATTTCTTACTGCTTATTAATGTCCTTTTCTTTCAGATTGAAGAACTGCCTTTAGTATTTCTTGTAGGAAAGGTCTGATGTTGGTGAAATCTCAGATTTTGTTTGTCTGGGAAAGTCTTTATCTCGCCTTCATGTTTGAAGGATATTTTTGTTGGATATACTATTCTAGGATAAAACGGTTTTTTTCCACATTTTAAATATGTCATACCACTCCCTCCTGGCTTGTAAGGTTTCCACTGAGAAGTCTACTGCCAGATGTATTGGAGCTCCATTGTATGTTATTTGTTTTTTTTTTTCTTGCTGCTTTTAGGGTCCTTTCTTTAACCTTGACCTTTGAAGTTTGATTATTAAATGTTTTGAGGTAGTCTTATTGGGGTTAAATCTGCATGGTATTCTATAATCATCTTACATTTGAATGTTGATATCTGTCTCTAAGTTTGTAAAGTTCTCTGTTATTATCCCTTTGAATAAACTTTTTACCCTGATCTCTCTCTCCCTACCCCCTCTTTAAGGCTAATATTGCTTAGATTTGCTTTTTTGAGACCATTTTCTAGATCTTGTAGGCACGCTTTATTCTTTTTTATTTTTTTATTTTGTCTCCTCTGACTATGTATTTTAAAATAGCCTTTCTTCAGGCTCACTAATTATTTCTTCTGCTTGATCAGTTCTGCTGTTGAGACTCTGATGAATTCAATATGTGAATTGCATTTCTTGGCTTCAGAATTTCTGCTTGATTCTTTTTAATTATTTCAATCTCTTTGTTAAATTTATCTGATAAGATTCTGAATTCCTTCTCTGTGTTATCTTGAATTTCAATGAGCTTCCTGTAAATAGTTATTTTGAATTTTCTGTGTGAAAGGTTACATACCTTTACATACATACCTTTACATCCTGGTATGTACATACATACCTTTACATACATACCTTTACATACATACCTTTACATCCTGGTATGCCCATCCAGGATTGTTCACTGGTGACTTTAGTTCATTTGGTGAGGTCGTGTTTTCCTGGATGATCCTGATACTTGTGGATGTTTGTTTGTGTCTGAGCATTGAAGAGTTAGATATTTATTGTACTTCACAGTCTGGGTGTATTAGTCAGTTCTTGCATTGCTATAAAAATATACCTGAGATTGGATAACTTATAAAGGAAAGAGGTTTAATTGGCTCATGCTTCTGCAGGCTTTATAGGAAGCATAGCAGTTTCTCCTTCTTGGGGAGCCTCTGGAAGCTTCCTATCGCAGAAGAAGGCAAAGGGGGAACAAGGCACTTCACATGATTGGAGCAGGAGGAAGTGGGGGGAGGAGGTGCCATACATTTTTAAGTGACCAGATCTCATCAGAACTCACTCACTGTCACAAAAACAGCACCAATGGGTAAATCTGCCCCCATGGTCTAATCACCTTTCATCAGGCCTCCACCTCCAACATTGGGGATTACAATTCAACTTGAGATTTGGGGTGGGAACACAAATCCAAACCATATCACTGGGCTTGTTTGTACTCATCCTTCTTAGGAAGGCCTTCCAAGTATTTGAAGAGATTTGAGTTTTGTGATGTAAGTCTTTGGTCACTGCAGCCATATCTGCATCGGGGGGCACCCCAAGCCTAACACTGTGGCTCCTACAGACTTGTAGAGGTAATGCCTTGGTAGTCTTCGGTAAGATCTGGGAGAATTTCCTGGATTACTGGGTAGAGACTTGTTCCCTTCCCTTACTGTCCCCCAAACAGAGTCTCTCTCTCTCTCTGTGCTGAACTGCCTGGAGCTGGGGGAGGGGTGATACAAGCACCCCTGTGGCCACCAACACTGGGACTATGCTGGTTCAGACCCTAAGACAGCACAGCACTGGGTCTTACCAAGGCCCATGGTGACCACTGCCTGACTACTGCTTATGTTTACTCAAGGCCCAAGGGCTCTACAGTCAGCAGGTGGTGAATCCAGGCAGGCTCGTGTCCTTCCCTTCAGGGTGACAGGTTCTCCCTGGCTGTGGGGGATTCCAAAGATGGCATCTGGGAACCAGGACCTGCAGTCAAGAACCTCAGGAAGATACCTGGTGCTCTATTCTACTGTGGCTCGGCTGGCACTCAAGCTGAAAAACAAAGTCCTTCTCACTGCCCGCTCTTCTCTCTCCTTTCCTCAAGCAGAGGAGTCTCTCTCCATGGCCACCACTGCCCCAGCCTTGTGGTGAGTACTGCCCAGCTACTGCTGATGTTCACTCAATGCCCATGAGCTCTTCAATCAGCTTGTGGTCAATGCTTCCAGGCCTGTGTCTCTCCCTTCAAGGCAGTGGGCTCCCCCTCTGGCCCAGGACAGGTACAGAAATGCTGTCCAAGAGCCAAGGCCTGCAAGTGGGGACACCAGCAGCCCACTTGGTGCTATACTCCACTGTAGCTGACCTGGTACCCAAGCTGCAAGACAAAGTCCCCCTTTCTCCTCTCTCTACTTTCCTCAAGGAGAAGGAGTCTCTCTCCCCATAGCCACCACATCTGGGAAGGTTCTGGGTCATGTCTGAAGCCAGCATGGCTCTGAGCCTCACCCAAGGCCTGCAACAAGTAATTCTTGGATAGTGCTGCTGATTATTCAGGACTCAGGGGCTCTGTAGTCAGTTGGTGATGAATCCTGCCAGGACTGGGTCCTTCTCTTCAAGGGAGCAGGTTTCCTCCTGTTCCGGGGTGTGTCTAGAAATGTCGTCCAGGAGCTAGGGCCTGGAATAGAGGCCTCAGGACTATGCCAAGCAGAGGGACGGAGTCTCTTCTGGAGCTGTGAGCTGCACTGCCTGGGATTGGAGGATGGGTGGTGCAAGCACTCCCATAGCTGCCCCGACTGGTGTCTCACTAGGTCATGTGCAGCCCAAGTCCACTGGCTCTTAGCTCAGCACCAGGACTTGCCCAGGGATTACAGTCCTTGTGGCCTAGACTTCCTTCGAGTTTACTTAGAACCCCAGAGCACTTTAGTTCATGGTGTCAGGGCTTGCTGGAACTCAGGTTTTGACCACTGAGATGGGTGGTTTCCCTCCAGCTAAGGTTGGTCTAAATGCTCCCTCCATGATCACCAGCTGAGTTCTGCCATGTGTTGCTTTCTGCTGTGACAGCACAGCACGGAGTTCCAATGCAAAGTCCCACAATCACTGCATTATACCTCCCCAGAGTGCACAGATTCTCCCTCCATGCCACGCGGCTGCTGCCAGGGGATGGGGGATAGGTGGCATCAGCAATTCAAGGCTGACTTTCCTGCCCTCTTCAGTGCATCTTTCCTTAATATGAAGTTAAAACCAGGTACCATGATTGCGCACCTGTATTTGGTTTTTACAAAGGTGCTTTTCTTGTGTGGATAGTTGTTCAATTTGGTGTTCTGTGGGGGGTGGGGAATGGTGATCACTGGAGCCTTGCATTGAGCCATCTTGCTCTGCTTCCCGACCTCGAGATTGAGTTCTATCCACAAACCAGGAGACACAGGAATTACACTTTTGTGGCTGATTACCTCCTTAACATTATTAAGACATGGAGCCATTTCCCTGGACACAAATGTGAAGTCACCGTGTAAAGGGCAGGAAGGAGCCTACCCTGGCAGTGATGTCAGGCAGGACCAAGATGGCGGCCATGGAGACACCTGTGAACGGGTGTGCTTGGGTTAGAAATGATTATCAAGCACAACAGCAACGTGCTACCAAGTTTGTGATCTGGGGAAAGAGAACACAATACAGAAACAAAGGGGGCATTGCACAGGGGAAGGTGCAACATAAAGCTACTGTCTATAGACTCAATCACCTACTGCACATGCACACGAGTACCGAGAACCTGCCTGGTGGTTGATGCACCCTTTTCCCAGATGCAGACATGAAGGAGATGTGGGTCCCTGCCTCATGAGCCAGATTCATGTAGAAACCAATGACTTCAGGGCAATATAGATGCCAGTGGCTTTTTCTGTGGTGTAGGGCTGCCAGATTCAGCAAATAAAAATGCAGGATACAAAAAGATGCTACACATCTCATGTCATCATCAGGGAACTGCACATTAAAAAAAACGATGTAGGCCAGGTGCGGTGGCTCATGCCTGTAATCCCAGCACTTTGGGAGGCCGAGGCAGGCAGATCACGAGGCCAGGAGATCGAGACCATCCTGCCTAACACGGTGAAGCCCTGTCTCTACTAAAAATACAAAAAGAAATTAGCCAAGCATGGTGGTGGGCACCTGTAGTCTCAGCTACTCGGGAGGCAGAGGCAAGAGAATGGTATGAACCTGGGAGGCAGAGCTGGCAATGAGCCGAGATCGTGCCACTGCACTCCAGCCTGTGTGACAAGGTAAGACTCCGTCTCAAAAAAAAACCAACAACAATGTAATGCCACTACACACCTGTTAGAGTGCCCCAAATCTGACACACTAACAACAACAAATGCTGGGGAGGAGGTGGAGCAACAGGAACTCTCATTCATTGCTGGTGGGAAAACAAAATGGTACAGCCACTGTGGAAGACAGTTTGGCCATTTCTTGCAAAACTAAACATACTCTAACCATATAAACCAGCAATTATACTCCTCAGTATTTACCTAAGGACTTGAAACTTAAGTCCACACAAAAATCTGCACACAAGTGTTTATAGCAGCTGTATTCACAATTGCCCAAACTTGGAAGCAACTGAGATGTCCTTCAGTAGAGTAGATACATAAGCTGTGGTACATCCAGACAATGGAATTCTATTAGCAATAAAAAGAAATGAGGTACCAGCCATGAAAAGAAGTGGAGGAGTCTTAAATGCATATCGCTACATGAAAGAAGCCAGACTGAGAATGCTGCACACTTTAAGATCCCAGATAACGATATGACATTTTGAAAAAGGCAGCACTATGGAGACTATGGAAATACGATGGTCGCGATGGGTATGCAAGTACAATGGTTGTGATGGGTTGAGGAGAGGGAGGGATGAAGAGGTGGACCACAGAGGATTTTTTTTACTTTTTTTCTTTTTTTGAGACAAGGTCTCACTCTGTTGCCCAGGCTGAAGTGCAGTGGCGGTATCAGGGCTTGGCTCATGCAGCCTCAGACTCCTGGGTTCAAGGGATCCTCCCACCTCAGCCTCCTGAGTAGCTGGGACCATAGGCATGCACCACTACACTTGGCTAATTTTTCTTTTTTTGTGGAGATGGGGGTCTCACTATGTTGCCCAGGTTGTTCTTGAACTCCTGGGCTCAAGTGATCCTCCCTTCTCAAGTCTCTCAAAGTGCTGGAATTACATGCATGAGCCACTGCGCCTGGCTTCAGGAGATCTTTAGGGCAGTGTAATGATTCTGTTTAATACTGTAATGGTGAAGACATGTCATTGTAACGTTTGTCCAAACCCACAGAATGTGCAACCCTGAGAGTGATCCCTAATGTAAACTATGGACTTTAAGTGACGATGTGTCCATGTAGGTTCATCAGTTGTAACCAATGCACCACTCTGGTAGGAATGTTGGCAATGGGGGAGGCTGTACATGTGCGGAGGCGGGGGTATATGGGAACTCTCTTTCTGCTCAATTTAGCTGTGCACATTAAACTGCTCTTAAAACAAGGATGAGCTGTAGTTGAATCTTTTTAAATGCAGGATTCACAGGCAATATGAATTTCAAGTAAGCAATGGATAAATGTTTTAGTGTAAGTATATCCCATGCTATATTTGGGACATACTTATCTTAAACATTTTTTTTGCTGGCAAGCTTACTTTAGAGAGAGATGTAAGAAGAGTCAGAAAATTCAGAGAAGTGGGTGTTGTTTCTTAGTGAACAAGGGGCCAGAGGGTTTGGACCAGTGGTTTCTGGTTCTGAGGAGGGATGTGGCCACCTGACTGCCTCTGCTTCCTCTCCCAGATGGAAGGTGCAGGTCTCTGTTGTATAAAAGGAGGAGGCCAGAGCCCTAGGCTTTGCTTAAAACAGTCTCAGAAATAGGCAGGTCTGCTGTGTTTCCCCATCCAAGGACCCAGTCACACCTCGCTTAGAGGTGGACGGCATCCCCTGGTCCTGTGAGAGCATCCCCTGGTCTGGTGTGGGCACCACAGGCACGGCTGTAGGGGCAGCCCACAGGCCAGGCTTCATGGACGAGCTGCTTCAAGTTACAGCATTTCAGATGCCCTTCGGCACCTGCCGATGTTCTCCGGGACACTGAGGTTTTGGTCGTGGGCATTATGTCAACAGTTTAAAATAGGCATTTTTAGAATCCTGTGATATAATTGCTTTCAGATTCAGCCTTTAAAAAAAGTTTCTTTGAGCCTATGGTGGCTCCAATTCAGAAGAGAACATCTTCTAAGTCACTCCGTGAGACCCACATTTCAGTAGCAGTCTTATGCCATTTCGTTCATTAAACAAGTATTTATTGAGTGCCTGCTGTATGCCAGACACAGTCTGAAGATGCAGCAGGGAACTAGCCACACCCCTGCCCTCAGGAAGCTGACCTTCCAGTGGGGAGACATCAGCAATAGAAGTAAATAATCAATATGCTGGGGACCACCAGGGATGTAAAGAAAGCTGGGTGCGGTAGGCAGGGTACGGCCTCCCAGTGAAGTGTCCAATCCCGGGAGCCTGCGAATATCTTACCTGATGTGGAAAAAGGGGCCATGTAGATGTGACTAGGGCCTTGAGGCGGGGAGATGATCCTGGATTATTTGGATGGGCACGGTGTCATCACAGAGTCCTTAGGATAGGGAGGCGGGGTCCCTGTGGGTAGGAGATGTGGCAACACAAGTGGAAGTCTATTCAGCATGGGACAGAGACTGGAAGATGCTACGCAGCTAGTTTGGCCTCGCAGGTAGGGACCACGAGCCGAGCCAAGGACCACAGGCGGCCGCTAGAAGCCAGACAAGGCAAGGAAACAAGTTCTCCCCGGAGCCTCCAGCAGAACCCAACCCTGATGACCCCTTGATTTTAGCCCAGTGAGACTCCAGACTTTCAGAATTGCTACAGAATAAATGTCTTGTTTGAAGCTACTAAGTTTGTGGTCCTTTGTTGCAGCATCCCCAGGGCACTCCTACGCGAGGTCAGGAAGTGAATTTAATGTTAGTGTAGGGACGGGGGACAGGAAAGTCCTGCCTGACAAGGTGACATTTAAGCGGATGCAGGGTAAAGCGTGGCTTGTTCTGCGGCAGCAGCCACGCTGATCCAGAGCTCAGAGCCCAGCCCAACACTGGGGGACGTGACACAGTGAGGAAGTATGAAGCTCCAGCAGGAACGCCAGCCAGAGGGAGCACCAGGAATGAGTCATGTCAGCCTGGACGTGCCCAGCCCCAAATTCCAGCATAGCTGCTCACCAGCCAGTCACTCGACCTCCCCAAACGTGCTTGTTCTGTTTGTCATCAGTTCAGTGATGTGGCCACAGAATCCGCTCCAAAGGGCCGCGTGGTGGGTTGCGTGGTGACTTCCCGCAGAGGGTACATCCACCCAGGACCTGTGTGTGCGGCCTTGTTTGGAAAAAGGGTCTTTGCAGATGTGATTAAGGAAATGCTGAGGTTATTCTGCATGGGAGCGGCTGTACCTCCAGCGTCCTCATGAGAGAAGAGAAGGGAAGGGCAGAGGACACGGAGGGGATGTGATGGAAACACAGAGCAGACACTGGGGTGATGCATCTACATTCCCAGGAGCATCGTGGATCACCAGCAGGTACCAGATCCCAGAAGAGACAAGGAAGGACCCTCCCCTAGAGCCTCCAGAGGAACCAGCCCTGTGACACCTTGATTTTCGACTTCTGGCCTCCAGCCGGGCGTGGTGGCTCACACCTGCAATCCCAGCAGTTCGGGAGGCTGAGGCAGGTGGATCACTTGTGGTCAGGAGTTTGAGACCAGCCTGGCCAACATGGTGAAACCCCGTCTCTACTAAAAATACAAAAATTAGCCAGATATGGTGACACATGCCTGTAATCCCAGCTACTCAGGAGGCTGAGGCAGGAGAATCGATTGAACCCGGGAGGCAGAGGTTGCAGTGGGCCGAGATTGTGCCATTGCACTCCAGCCTGGGAGACTCCATTTCAGACAAACAAACAAAAAACTGGCCTCCAGAACTGTGACACTAATAGATTTCTGTTGTTTCAAGCCTCCGAGTTTGTGGTTCCCATTTGTTCTGGCAGCTCTAGGAAACTAAAACAAGCTTCGAGGAGGAAAAAGAAAACAAGCATGAAAAGTTCCTATGCACAGGAGGCCCTCACTACGAATTAGCCCTGATTGCTACAAGCCAAGAGCCATTTCTAGAGAACAGACCAAGGAATAAAAATGTGCGCTCTGTTTATCACAACTGGAAAACCAAAGAACAAAAGGGAGAAGTGGCCACCCAGCGCAGATAAAAATATTTAACAATGTTCTATTTCACAATTTTGCCTGGTCTGCTACCCAGACTTGATGATCAATGAGGAGTTTTCTCTTTTTTTTTTTTCCCAACCAAAAAGAACGTGTTGCATAAATTCAGGTTTCCAGGGACCTGAGAAAGGCAGAAAAACAGCCTCTCAAGCTCTCCCCATCAGCCAGGCAGTGGCCTCAGCTTTCCAAACCTCATCAGTGAAACCCTGGGGACGGACTGATGTGGAATAGCCCAGGGAAGGAGGCAGGGGCCTTTTCTAATGACTCTGAAGAAGCCAGGCACAGCTGCTGCCAGGAAAATGAAAGACACAGGTACTGACAATGGAAATTGAATGGAGGTTTTGGAGAAAATGCAGGCAGAAGCAAAGATTTAGGACGTATCTATATCCGAGGTCTTTCCTGGAGAGATGCCTTCTTGGAAGCTGGGTACATCTTCTTACAGAACAAATAGAAGGCTTGCCAGCCTTCTGCTCTCAGCTTCTGAGAATGACTCCATTTGTCACCGCACGCGCTTGTCCCATCTCTGCAGGCAGCTTTGGATGGTGTCCCTCAGGACTCCGTATCTGGCTAATTTTTGTATTTTTAGTAGATACGGGGTTTCACCCTGTTGGCCAGGCTGGTCTTGAACTCCTGACCACAAGTGATCCACCTGCCTTGGCCTCCCGAACTGCTGGGATTGCAGATGTGAGCCACCATGCCCGGCTGGAGGCCAGAAGTTGAAAATCAAGGTGTCACAGGGCTGCTTCCTCTGGAGGCTCTAGGGGAGGGTCCTTCCTTGTCTCTTCTAGAATCTGGTACCTGCTGGTGATCCACGATCCTCCTGGGAATGTAGATGGTGTTTACCAGGGTGCACAGGATAGGGGATAGTGAGAGTCTGAAATCACAGGGCCAGAGTGGAGTTGGAGGGTGACTGGAGGCCCTCTGTCCCTAGAGACCTGGGCCGAGCCAGTTTCCTCACCCGTTAGCCAGGCTGGGTTGCTCGGCGGCCCAGGACACAGCACGACCCCTGCAGGGGCCCAGCTGGGAAACTTCCAGAGCAACCTGCCTACAGGAGGGCAGTGCTGGTCTGACCTGTGTTAAGGAGGGACGGCAGGATGAACTGCCCACCTCGAACAGCCCCTCTTTCCCCGGCGTGTCATGAAAGCCCCTCCTCTGGGGACCCTGTTAGAGTGAACTGCTTCTTCCACAGTTCTTCCAGAACATGCGGCTTATGGCCCCATCACAACACCTGGCATGCTGCTAAGGAGCCGTCAGGAGACAGAAACCACACGGGTATTTCGGCAGCCAGAATTTAATAGAGAAGAATACAGAAGGGATGCTAGCTGGGTGCCAGTGACTTCTCCCCAGCTGATCCACGCACGGTGAGAACTCAGACGTCATGAAGACAACAACAGCAGGACTCAGCCACTCCCACGGAGGTGAGGCTGCCACCATAACAGCAAGGAAGCCAGGAAGTGCAGCCCACAGGGCGTAAACTGAGACTTCCAAGGAGGAAGCGCTGGCTGGCTGGCTAGCTGGGGGGTGTCTCTTGGGGGTGGGGGACACAGGGTCCCTGGTTCGTGAGGGTTGGGAAAATCATAGGCAAGATCCTTTCTGCTATGGGAAGGAAAGAAAAAGAAAGGAGCAGCAGCAGCAGCCGTAGGAGCAGCAGCAGCAGTAGGAGCATGGCCAGAACAGGATCGAGGGACAAAACCTTCCCCATCCAGCCCCGCAGTCCCCTCCAGCATCCCCTGTGCGAGCCAGCCAGGCGCCAAGAACGCCCAGTGTGCAAGGGCAGCTGTGACATGGAGAGGCCAGGGTCACGCACACCCCTTGGGCTGTGCAGCCTCTGTACGCACCCTTCTTCTCCTATTTGCACATCTCTCCAACAGCAAGGCAACTTAAGCTTCTGTCTAACAAGCTGCAAGCATCCTCCACACAAATGAAGATTTTTCTTACCCTCTCCCCCAACTGAGGAGCTGTAGAAGCCATCAGTCATTGTGTCTGTCTTTGGCAGCTGGTCCTAGCACTACCTCTGGGCCATGCCAGATCTTTCTCCTCCTTCTCCTCCTCCTCTTCTTCTTCTTCTTGACAGGGTTTTGCTCTGTCACCCAGGCTGAAGTGCAGTGGTGCTTTCGCAACTCACTGCAGCCTGGCTAGGCTCTAGTGACCCTCCCACTTCAGCCTTTCCAGTAGCTGGGACCACAGGCATGTACCACCATGCCCTGATAATTTTTGAATTTTTTGTAGAGATGGGGGTCTTACTATGTTGCCCAGGGTAGCCTTGAACTCCTGAACTCAAGGGATCTTCTCCTCTCAGCCTCTCAAAGTGCTGGGATTGCAGGTGTGAGCCACTGCCCCAGCTGAGATAGTTCTTAAATCCAATCACCACTTTGATTAGTCCTCTACAGCTGATGTAGCAAATTACCACAAATGTAGTGGCTTCAAATGACACCAATTTATTGCTGCTGTGGTTGAGGAGGTGAAAAGTCAGACAAAAGTCTCACTGGGCTAAAGTCAAGGCATCAGCAGGGCTGGTTCCCTCTGGGCCCTCTAGGGGACAATCTGTTTCCTTGCTTTCTCCAGCCTCTCGAGGCTGCCCAGTGTCTTGGCTGCTGGGCCCTTTCTCCATCTTTTAAGGAGAAACATTGCCTCTTTCGCTCCACTCTTCCAGCTCCCTCTGAACATAGCTGGGAAAGGTTCTTTGCTTTTAAGGATTCATGGGAGTAGGTTTGGCCCATCTGGAAAATCCAGAATAACCTCCCTGTCTCTGAGATCCCACTTTAATCGCACCTGCCAAGTCTCTCTTGCCAGGTAAGGTCACATGTTTGCAGGTTCCAGGGATAAGGATGTGAATGTCTTTGGGGTCCATTGTTCTGCCTACCACAGAGTCCCTTCCGAAAATTCCGTTGGCTACAGACTAAATCAGAAAGCTGATCCCTAACAAAATATGTTTAAAGAATGAGAAGAGAGACAAAAAAATAGTGAATGTCCATAAAAACAATCCCGTGTATGTAGGGATACATGTGCCCATCAGAAGCAAGGCCAGGACACCTGCGCATGGCCATGGTCTGTGTTTCTACAGCTGCCATCATGAGCCCTCTTCCACCATCATTTCATGTCCCCTTTGACCTCAGTTGGGTGGGGTGTCTTACCTGGGTGGGGGAACCAGACACTCATTCCTGAAGGGTCTGAATCCTCAATGGTCTGTCTTTTTGGGGGATAGTTCACCACTCACTTGTACTATTAATTATGCAAGAACCAACAGGCACCCCAGAGAATCCTTTGGGTCTAGAACTAGTCTCCTTCCTCCCCACCATCCCACATCATGTAGCAGCAACTAAATTTCCCCTTGGCAATTGGGATCCATCACTCTGGCCGGTATAGTGACCTTCCTCTTTTCCTGCAGGTTCAGTGGTGTATGGAGCCCAAAATGGCCATGTAATCATCTCGTTTTCCACTTCACTGGAACCAATGTTGTGTCTCCAGGTGGAAACATCCTGTGCAAACCAGCAACACTCAAAATTGCAAAAGTGGGAAGCAAACACTCTGCAAGTGGGTTACGGGATGGCATAGCAGACCAACCATAGGCATTTACCTCCTTAGAGTTTCAGAAGACAGTGTGGCCTCAGAAGATCTGCAAGGATTTGAGGACTGGGCACTTGTCTGAGTCCTTTCTGAATCCCTAAGGTCTTGTCCAGGGTTTGATACAGCAAGATGCCCCCAACTCAGCAGATATTTCTAAATGCAGATGTACCCAGTCTTTCTTTTCCAGGACATCCTAAGCATCCAGAGAACCACCCTGTGTCTACATCCCCCCAAGAGCCACCTTGCCCAAACATGGACATGGTAAGGTCTCTAGTCTACATCCAGAGACCAACCCATAGAAGATTAATACATGTTTGAAATTGGATTGAATTTCCTTGATAATTAGTCAGAATATGAATGCCTCATTTCTTAAGCCATGATCAAGAATCCATACCCTTCTATGAATTAGTCCATAAACTCTCCATCAAAAAGTGGAATGGGCCCAGGCATGGCGGCTCATGCCTGTAATCCCAGCACTTTGGGAGGCCAAAGTGGGAGGATCACTTGAGTCTGGGAGTTCAACTCCATCTTAGGCAACATAGCAAGACCCTATCTCCACAAAAACAACCAGGCATGGTGGCGTGCACCTGTGGTTCCAACTGCTCGGGAGGCTGAGGTGGGGGGATCACTTAAGCCTGGGAGGTCAAGGCTGCAGTGAGCTATGATGGTGCCACTGCACTCCAGCCTGGGAGACAGAGTGAGAGACTCTGTGTTCAAAAAATAAAAAAGGAGAATGGAAAAAGAGAGAGAAATAGTATGGAAGCCCAAGACATGCTGTAGCGGGTTAAACAATGCCCCTCAAAGTACATGTCTAAGTCATAACCCTGGGACCTGTGAATGTCCCCTATTTGGAACTAGTATCTTTGCAGATGTGATTAAGTGAAGGATCTCTAGATGAAACCATTCTGGATTCAAGGTGGGCCCTAAATGCAATGACGCGTGTTCTCATAGAAGAGAGAAAGACTCAGAGCCTCCAAGGAGAAGGCCATGTGAGTGAGGACAGAGGCCAAGATTGGAGCAATGCGTCCACAAACCAAGGAGTGCCAGGCCTGCTGGCCACTACCAGGAGCTGGGAGAGGCAAGGAAGGATCCTCCTCTAGAGCCTTTGGAGGGAGCCCGGCCCTGCTGCCACCTTGATTTTGGACTTCTGGCCTCTGGAACTGTGAGAGAAGACATTTCTGTTGTTTAAGCCCTCCAGTGTGTGGCGAATCATTACAGCAGCCACAGGAAACTCACACTTATCCCTAGCGGGATGTCAGGCCAGGTGCAACCGCACAAGGGACCCATATGGGCGCCATCGGCCAGCAGAGAGGGCTATAGAAGGCGCGGCAACAAAGAGGGGACGGGTGCCCCAGGAAACACACCCACCTGCCCCTCCCAACTGTGTCCAGCACTCCTGGTGGGCAGCAGACTCGGGGCAGTCGAAGTGGAACCAGCTCTGCCAATGGGAGCCTGGGGATCTGCAGTGGCCCCTGTGTGGGCTGGGAAGCTCCAGACTCATAATTGGGGACACGGTAGAACCCTTGGTCAAACTGACGCCCACCTCCAAGAGGAAGGCTTTCCAGGCAAATTCAGCAGGTGGAAGGGGCTGTGCGTCTCCACACCTTACGTGACCAGGTCACTTAGGGCTTACGAGACAGTGGCAAAAATACAATTGTTCTCCCGCCAGGGCGGGACCCAGAATGAACTAACCCACAGCCTGAGAGGCAGGAGGGCAGCATGGAGTCATCCAGAATGTTTTCCTTCAATGAAAGAATGAGGAGGGACCAGGAAACCAGGAGAAAATGAAAGTGCCACTGGAAGGGCTGTGGGTGGGGGGCGGGGACAGTGGAGTCATCAGGGAAATGGGCAGACCTCAGGTTCCCTCTCGTTTGAACGTGTGGGGACTTAGAAAACCTGAAGCCATCCAGAGAAGAATGAAAGCTGGGCCAGGGTTTGCGGAGACACTTTCTTTTCTTTTCTTTTCTTTCTTTTTTTCTTTTCTTTTTTTTAGACAGAGTTTTGCTCTTGTTGCCCAGGCTGGAGTGCAATGGCGTGATCTCGGCTCACTGCAACCTCCGCCTCCTGGGTTCAAGCAATTCTCCTGCCTTAGCCTCCCAAAGTAGCTGGGATTACAGGCACCCCCCAAAATGCCCAGCTAGTTTTTTTGTACTTTTAGTCAAGACAGGGTTTCACCACGTTGGCCAGGCTGGTCTCGAACTCCTGACCTCAGGTGATCCACCTGCCTCGGCCTCCCAAAGTGCTGGGATTACAGTCATGGTCCACCATGCCTGGCTGTGGAGACTCATTCTAACCAGACAACTTAATCGCTTCTATCTGCAAATACACAATTCCTCTGGAAGCAAAGAATGAGGCCGCAATTGCGTAATTTGAACTTTTGTGCAGCCTTATGAACTGATGCCTGGAAAAGACTTTGCCTGGTTTTCCTGTGCAAACATAAAAAGTGGTGAAGTGTTAGGCAGGTGGTCCGTTCGGCTCCCCAGCAACCCCTTCCCACATGTCTGTTGGGCAGTGAACACATTTTTTTCTTTTTCTTTTCTTTTCTTTTTTTTTTTTTTTTGAGACGGAGTCTCACTCTGTTGCCCAGGCTGGAGTGCAGTGGCGTGATCTCGGCTCACTGCAAGCTCCGCCTCTTGGGTTCACGCCATTCTCCTGCCTCAGCCTCCCAAGTAGCTGGGACTACAGGCGCCCGCCACCATGCCCGGCTAATTTTTTGTATTTTAATAGAGACAGGGTTTCACCGTGTTAGCCAGGATGGTCTCGATCTCCTGACGTCGTGATCCACCCGCCTCGGCCTCGCGAAGTGCTGGGATTACAGGCGTGAGCCACCTCGCCCGGCCCAAACACATTTTTTTTAAAGTGACACCTTTCCAGCAAAACGTTCAAGGTCCCGTGTTGACACAGCGCCTGTGAAAATCTGTCACAGGGGAGAGCAAAAGCAAACACAGCCTTTCTAGAGGTGCTGCAACCTTGGCTGTTCTGTAAAGGGCATGAAGAAGGGTGATCCCCCTTAATATCTCTGTGCCCCTAACCAAGGGCTGCAGGCTGTGCCCCCAGGATCTTGCAAGTCACATGAGAACTTTGTTGCGTGCTCTGGTAACGAGCCAGCCCAGAACCCAAGCAGCTCGTAGCAGCTTTAAAGCAATGACATCGTTTATGTTTCTCTTTCACACCACATGGGTGTGGGGGGGTAGGAGGGACCTGGGCATATCTGCGGGGGGCTAGTGTGTTTGCGCTGCTCAGATGGTGGCTGCTCTGGGGTCATTTGAAGGCTTCCTCCCTCGTCTGATGGTGGCACTGTCTGCTGACTGGGACCTTAGCTGGGCTGTTGGCCAGAGCTCTGTTAACTTAAAAATCACACAATCTGTAAATTTAGCAAAGGAGACCCTTCCATGTCTTGTAAAGGACTGCAGCCTGCAGGGTGCTCCTTTGGAGAGGCTGGGAAGCTTGGCCTCTGGTAGAGACTGGAAACTGGCACTTCAGAGGAGGAGGAGTTGGATGAGAATTTAAGCTGAATGGGTTGGCCCGGTATACATATTTAACAGGTTACAAGGGGAGCCATAATATGTTTATAATTTGGTCTCTTATTACCACAAAGAGTCTGTTCCATCAGTCTCATGATCTCTATTTTAACATTAATGCTGGTCACTCATGTCTAAACTGCGTAAAGGAATGGGTATAACGGGCTGTGTCTGACTTGCCATCTCCCCATGGTCATCTCTGACTCTGTGGCTGGCAGCTGTCTCTGCACATGTCTGCAGGGCTCTGCACTGGGTCCCCATGAGCAGAGTCAGTCCCAGCTCTTCCTCTCCAGGGTCTGGGTTATACAACTCAGCAGGAACATCCCTAAATCAGCTCACTCAGGAGGCTGGAGGTGGTGGCAGGTTCTCTCCCTCTGCCCGCCCCAGCCAGCAGCAGCTGCTCACTGTCAATCCCTAAAGGGGACCCAGAGGATGCCAGGAATGGGGATGGGGGCAGCCTGGGGAGCAGCCCCTCCCTCTCTGCACTGCAGATGCTAAACCCTGCTGGGAATCAAGGGGGTCTCACACCCCACTGTCACTCTGGTTAATGAGCAATTTGCTGGAAATCAACTCCTCTGCCTTTGCTCTAGCCTATTATCTAGCAAATGAATAATTTTTGATCATTATTGACAAATTTCTGAAGCAGCATTATTGGAGTGTTTAGTGACTCGGAGCTTACACTGTATGATGGCCTGTTACTCAACGGCAGCTCTGGGGTAGCTTTCTGCTGCAAAGTCAACTTTAATGGGCCTCAAAGCATCTGCCACAGGAAATGACAATACAGCCTTTGTGTATGTGCCTCCACCTGCCCCACCAAACCAGGTAAATTGATGCCACAGTGGAGGACCCATGTGCTTATTTGGAATGAGAATAAGGTGGACTGGTAGAATTATCTAGAAGGAAAAAGTAGGGTTTAGTAAAGCCTTTAATTAGGTAGTGCTCTGTGCCACCAAGTCCATTATGATGAGTCAAACACACCCCTGTCCACAGAGTGAAGCCAAGGAGATAGTTGGTGTCAGGGCTCCCTGACAGCATCTCTTTCTGAAGACATGCACCTTAACTCCTAAACTTTGACCCCTGAGCAGCAGGTGGTCTTAAAGAAGACACTCGGCCAGACGCGGTGGCTCACGCCTGTAATCCCAGCACTTTGGGAGGTGGAGGTGGGCTGATCTCGAGGTTAGGAGTTCGAGACTATCCTGGCCAAGATGGTGAAATCCTGTCTCTACTAAAATACAAAAAATTAGCCGGGCCTGGTGGCAGGCGCCTGTAGTCCCAGCTACTCGGGAGACTGAGGCAGGGGAATCACCTGGACCTGGGGGGCAGAAGTTGCAGTGAGCTGAGCTGGCACCACTGCACTCCAGGCTGGCAACAGAGCAGGACTCTGTCTCAAAAAAAAAAAAAAAAAAAAAAAGAAGAAGAAGAAGAAGACACTCTAGGCTGCTCGTCAGGAGGCCTGGTTTTAGTCCTCCGTGGGACCATGAGTGAGCACCTTACCCTCTGTCATCCACTCCGTGATGGTGTGCTTCCTGTGTACCAGGTGTGAACCCAAATATCTGAGACAGGCCTCAATCCATTTGGAAAGTTTATTTTGCCAAGGTTAAGGATGTGCGTGTGCCACAGCCTCAAGAAGTCCTGGTGACATATGCCCAAGGTGGTCGGTCAGGAACAGCTTGGCTTTAGGGAGCCATGAGACATCAATAGATACATGTATGACGTACATTGGTTCAGCCCAGAAAGGCAAGACAAGGCACACCACACCCAGCTGTGCACACATCAGCAATCCAGGCAAGCTGTCCCCACTGTCGTTGAGCTCAGAGGCTCTCCGGGGAGGTGGACATTAAAGAAACGCTTAGACAAATAGGTCATTAAAATGGTGACAGACTCTCAAAGGCAAGATGCTAAGGCCAAGATTCTTAGATTCTAAGGCTTACAAAACCATGCAGAGTGCATCTACACTGGCTGTCCCCCCAAGTCTACTCCTATTCTCCTTATTCCTAATAACAAACAGATTTTCTTAGGGACTACCCCTCTATGGGGCAGACCTGGGATTGGGAGGGATGGCCCCTGCCCCCAGCTCAGGGTGGGCTCTGATGGGGATCACTGCTGTGATTGGTCAGTGCAGGGCATGTGACTCAGACCTAAGCCAATCAGCACACAGGCATCGCCTCTCTGGTGCAGCAATTGATTGGTAGATAATCAGGGTGGACCTAAGAATTTGGTACAATGTTTGGGGATGGGGGACCTTTGTGGCCCAGCAAGGTTGGCTGCAAAAATTTGGTACAAATTTTCCCCAGTTCAAATGAAAATGAAGAGCCTTTGTTCAAAAGTCAGGAATAACGTGTTATAAAGCTATTGTAAGATAAACTTGTCACTGATTTCTTCCATTTCTCTCTTGATGTCCTATTTTTAGATTTGCAATGAATATCATTCTAAATAAAGAAAAATTTAAAATTTAAATTATTCGTATAAATTGGTTTTAAACTCATGTATAAGATCATTGAACCTGTGTGTGGAATTGGAGAAATTATACCATTTGTCTTTCATGGCTCACACCTGCACATGTATTGTGTTCTTGTAAGACAAAACAGCAGCTTTTCTTTTACTCCTCCAGATGCATACATTCTAAACTCTCTACCTTCCACTTACTGGTGGGTAAGGAAGAAGTGAAAGGCGAGGGGACTTTTTCTTTCCTTCTGTGTCATAATTCTCAGCATTAATGGTTGGCTATAACACAGAAATCACATGAGTAAGAAAGAATATGATGAGGCCCAGTGTGGTGCCTCACGCCTGTAATCCCAGCACTTTGGGGGACTGAAGCGGGAGGATTGCTTGAGTCCAGGAGTTCGAGACCAGCCTGGGCAACATAGTGAGACCCTGTCTCTACAAATAATAAAAAATTAGCCAGGTGTGGTGGTGTGTGCCTGTAGTCCCTGCTAGTTGGGAGGCTGAGGTGGGAGGATCACTTGAACCTGGGAGGTCGAGGCTGCAGTGAGACATGATGGTGCCACTGCATTCCAGCCTGGGTAACAGAGTGAGACCCTATCTCAAAAAAATAAAAGAATATGATGGGTTGTTCCCCTCCACCACCAATTCATATGTTGAAGCCCTATCGCCCAGTGCCTCAGGATGTGACCACATTTGGGTCTTTAAAGAGGCAAATAAGTTAAATTGAGGTCTTCAGAGTGGGTCCTAGTCCCACATGACTGTGTCCTTATAAGAAGAGAAGGACTCAGACACACACAGAGGGTTGACCCTGAGAAGACATGGGGAGAAGGTGGCATCTACAAGCCAAGGAGAGAGGCCTCAGGAGGAACCAGCCCTGCGACGCTTTGATCTCGACTTCCACCCTCTACGACCGTGAGAGAAAAAGTATCCGTTGTTTGAGCTCCCCAGTCAGCAGTATTTTGTTACAGCAGCATGAGCTGACTAACACAGACTCCTCAGTTGTTCTGGTTCTTATTTGTTTATTTTTCATCTTTTTTTCTTAATAAAAATAAAACATAGAAATGGGGTCTTACTATGTTGCCCAGACTGGTGTGGAATTCCTGGGCTCAAGCGATCCTCCCACAGCCTCCCAAAGTGCCGGGATTATTGGAGTGAACTGCCATGCCTGGCCTGTTCCTTTTCTTCGAGGGCCATCTTTCTGCATTTGAAGCAGGCTCTGACTTAAGTGGAAATGGCATCCTCCGGGGCTGTACCGCGTTTAGGCATTTGCGGACCTTACACACTGGGCTTGCACTCTCTTGGAGTCTTGCTTAGTGACACTACAGGAGAACTGTGCAAGGCTGGTGAGCATACACCCAGCTTGAGCCTCCTGCCACAGACACACTCCACTGTCCCATTGGACTTCAGTTACAAGACACATGTTCAAAGATAGACTACTAAAAATGATAAGATGGTGACAGCAGAACATTAAACCAAAGCTGGGGCTGTTCCAAGCACAGGCCCCGTGTGACGGCAAGTGTTGTCCTGGGTCTAAGAAAGGAAGCACAGAAACCTCGTGCCCGGAAGGGGAGCCACAGCTCAGGGACAGAGCCGAGAAGCAGGGCTGAGCAGAGCTGGGGGAACCCAGGGAACACACCCATGGGGCACAGAGTGACCGCCCCTCCACACCTGCTCTGTGCTTCCAGCACCAGAGCCCTGTTGTTGGAAGCACTTTAGTCTCTCACTTATTGCAAAAGACTGACCTGATTCCCAGACCTCAGTCTCCCCATCCTGTGGAGTGGGGATATCAGGTGCCCACCCTGCCTGTCTGCTAGTGTAGAGGTGCTTCGTGAAAAGCCAGAAACTCAACAAAAATGTCAGAAATCATTGTGCATACGAGATGGGAGAATTCCCTTGACCCCTTCGCTGGACTTTCGACAGGGGTGTGGCTCACTTACTCGCACTCAAACCCCTTCGGGAGGGGGAGCATGCAGGCAAGCAGGTGCTGGGGCTAGGGCGAGCGCTTTTAGGCTCTGGCACCCTGGCAGTGTCTAGGGGTGTGTTACAGTTAATGCCCTTTTAACAGTTGCCATCCACAGATAGCTAAATATTAACCAGCTCAATGGAGAGTCAGGGTGACAGTTTTTTACACCCTGCCCTCTTGGTACCCTGGTTCTTGTTCAGCATCCAGGAAGAATCAGGTCGCACGAATGGTTTGAAAGGTGATGAATGTGGAGGATTTTATTAAGCGGTGGAAATGGCTCTCAGCAGAAGGTGAGCTGGAAAGGGGATGGTGTGGGAAGAAGGTGATCTTTCCCTGAAGCCTGCCATCTTCAGCTGGGTTCGTCTCGGAAGCTGTGCCGTCTGAAGTTAAGCTGCATCTATCCGTAGTCTCTGATGTTCAGTTGCTTCTTCTCTCGATGTTCAGCCACTTGTCCTTCTGCCAGCTAAGGTCTGGGGTTTATAAGCACAGGATAGGGAAATGGGGCAGGCCAAAAAAGTAACATTTGGGTGGGAAAACAGGGATAACTGTTCTCTTTTAGGGCTGAGGTTTCCAGGCTTGAGGGTGGAGCCTTTGCCGGGGAACTGCCTTTTGTTACCCAATATTTCTCTGCCTTCTGTTCGTATCACATATGCATAAAAACATAAACATGGCTGGGTATGGTGGCTCATGCTGTAATCCCAGCACTTTGGGAGGCCGAGGTGGGCAGGTCACCTGAGGTCAGGAGTTTGAGACCAGCCTAGCAAACATGGTATAACCCTGTCTCTACTAAAAATGCAAAAATTAGCCGGGCATGGTGGCGCATGCCTGTAATCCTAGCTACCCAGCTACTCAGGAGGCTGAGGCAGGAGAATCACTTGAACCTGGGAGGCGGAGGTTATGGTGAGCCGAGATCGCGCCAGTGCACTCCAGCCTGAGCAACAGAGTGAGATTCTGTCTCAAACACAATAAATAAAACAAACATATCTTCATCATCAGATCATTCCTGTGATTGTCCAAATTAACAGAGAAAGGTACTTCATAAAACAGCCCTTTTTTCTTCACACTGTAAGCAACCTGTTTCAGCTCCACAGGAAAGTCTTCTGCATGCTGATGTTGAACATCGATCCCCCTTCTTGGTGCACCTGGAGACCCCTAATTTCTTCCAGCTGCTGCACTCATACTGCCAGAAAGCAGCCAGAAAGGCTCTGTGATTTGGGACCTGGAATCCTGGGTCAAAATTTCTTGGATCTGAAACCAAAAGGCCAAGACAGTAGTATTAGTTTTCTGGGGCTTTCTGACACAAACTGAGTGACTTAAAACAATGGAAATGTACCCTTTTACCATTCTGGAGGCCAGCAGTCCACAGTCAAGGGTTGGTTCCTTCTCTGAGAGCTCCTGTTGCTCCGTTTGCATTCCCAGTGCTGGGATGAGAGCTCCTGTTGCCCCGTTTGCATTCCCAGTGCTGGGATGAGAGCTCCTGTCGACCCACATCCTCACCAGCATTTGGTGCTGTTGGTGTTAAGGATTTTAGTCACTTTCATAGGTGTGAAGTGGTATTTCCTTATTTTAATTTGCATTTCCCTAATAGCATTTTATATTGAGCATCTTTTCCTATACTTTGTTATGGACTGAATGTTTGTGATCCCCGAAATTCCTATGTTGAAGCCCCAACCCCAATGTGGATGTATTTGGAGATAAGACCCTTATGGAAGTAATTAGGGTTAAATACAGACATTAGAGGGGAACCCTCATGATGGGACTGGTGTCTTTTTAAGAGGAAGAGAGACCCGAATTTGCTCTCTCTCCATACACACACACTCAGGAAAGACCATGTGAGGACGTGGTGAGGAGTCACCATCTATAAGCCAGGAAGGAGGTCCTTACCAGGACTCAACCCCATTGGCACCCTGACTTTGAACTTCCAGCCTCCAGAACTATGAGAAAACAAATTTCTGTTGTTTAAACCACTCAGTCTGTGACATCTTGTTACAGCATCCCGAGCTAAGGCATGCTTACTTGCCATCTGTATATCTTTTTTTAAAAAAACAGAGACGGGGTCTCCCTATGTTGTCCAGGCTGGTCTTGAACTCTTGGACTCATGCGATCCTCCTGCCTCTGCCTCTCGAAGTGCTAGGATTACAGGTGTGAGCCACTGTGCCTGGCCTATATATCTTTTTTGATGAGATATGTTTTCAGATCCTTTGTCCTTTGCCCATTTTAAAATAGAGTTGTCCTTTTTTCTTATTGTTGTATTTTTAAAATTCTTTGTATATTTTGGATACATGTCCATTATCAGGTATGATGCATTTTGCAAATATTTTTTTCCTATCTTGGCCTTGTCTCTTCATTCTTTAGCAGAGCAAAAATTTTTGATTTTAATAAAATTCAACTTATCTATTGTTTTCTTGGATGATGCTTTTGGTGCTGTGTCTAAAAACTCATCTCCAAACCCAGGGCACGTAGATTTTATTTATGTATTCTTCTAGAAGTTTTACAGTACATTTTATAGTATTAAATATAATCCACTTGGGTCTATAATCCATTTGAGTTAATTTTTCTGTAATAATTTTTGTCTAGATTCTCTTATTTAATGGCTATCTAATTGTTCCAGCACGATTTGTTGAAAAAGATTATTTTTTCTCCACGGAATTGCCTTTATGCCATTGTCAAACATCAGTTGACTGTATTTCTACAAGTCTATTTCAGAGCTCTCTGTTTCATTCCATTGATCTATGTATTTATTCTTTCACCAATACCACAGTGTCTTAATTAATGTAGCTTTTAGTAAAACTTAAAATTGAGTAGTATAAGTTCTTCAACTTTGCTCTTCAGTATCATGTTTGCTATTCTAGGTTTTTTTGTCTTTCCGTATAAATTTTAGAATTAGTTTGTCAACATCTACAAAATAGTTGGCTGGGGTTTTTATTGAGATTGCATTGAATCTATGGATCAAGCTGGGAAGAATTGATATCTGAGCAATATTAAGTCTTCGTATGACCCAGAAGTTCTCTCCATTTATTTAGATCTTATTTGACTACTTTCATCAATGTCCTGTAATTTTCTGCATAAAATCCTGGATGTATTTTGTTAGATTTATAAAGTGCTTGATTCTTTTGGTGCTACTATAAATAGTATTTTTTTCAATTTGAAATTCTAATTGTTCATTGTTGGTTTATTGGAAATCAATTGACATTTGTATATTGACCTTGTATCCTGAGACTTTGCTATACTTGCTTTTTAGTTCCAGGAGTTGTTTTTGTAGATTCTTTGGAGTTTTTCCCATAGCCAATTATGTCATCTGCAAAAAAATTGAGTTTCTTTTTCTTTCCCATCTGAATACCTATTTCGTTTTCTAAATTTATTCTGTTAGGCAGAACTTCCTGTATGATGTTGAATGGGAATGGGAACCTCCTTGCCTTCTTCCCAATGTCAGGGGAAAAACATTCAGTCTTGCACCGTTAAGTCTGATGTGAATCATAACATTTCTTTTTTAGAGTAAGGAAGTTGCTCTAGTCCTAGTGTTTTGAGAGTTTTTATCATGAATGAGTGTTAGATTTTGTTGAATGTTTTTATTCTATGAAACATGATGTTGACTGTTTCAGCATCTATTGATATAATCAGATGGTTTTTCTAATTCAATGTGTTAATATGATGAATTACATGGATTGATTTACGAATGTTGAACCAGCCTCACATTCTAGGAATGAACCTCACTTGGTTGTGATGTATTATCCTTTTTATATATTGATGCATTCCATTTGCTAATATTTTTTAAGGATATGTGTATCTATGTTTATAAAAAATGTGGTTCTTAGTTTTCCTTTCTTGTAATGTCTTTATCTGGTTTTGGTATCAAAGTAATGCTAGACTAATAAAATGAGTTAGGAACCATTCCCTCTGCTTCTATTTTCTGGAAGAAATTATGGAGAATTGATTTTACCTCTTCCTTAAATATAATATTTGGTGGAATTCACCAGTAAAACAATCTGGAACTGATTGATTGAATTTCTTTGGTAAATATAGGTCTGTTCCAGTTATTTATTTCTCCTTGTGTGAGTTTTGGTGATATGTGTCTTTCAGGAAATTGGTTCCTTTCATCTAAGCCATCACATTTTGGGGCATAGTTATTTGTAGTATTCTGTTACTATCCTTTTAATGTCCAAGGAATCAATAATGATGAAACTTTCTCATTTCTGACACTACTAATTTGTGTCTTCTCTTTTTTCTTGGTTAACCTTGCTAGAGGTTTATTAAATTGATTGATATTTTTAAAGAACCAGCTTTATTTTGTCTCATTGGTTTGCTTTATTGTTTTCCTATTTTCAATTTCCTTGATTTCTAATTTTTATTCTTTCATTCGCTTTGGGCTTATTTTGCCCTTTTTCCTTTACTTTCCTAAGATGGGAGTCAAGATTATTGATTTTAGAGCTTTCTTCTTTTAAATATATTCATTTAAGGCTGTACATTTCCCATTAAGCACTGCTTTAGCACATCCCACAAATTTTGATAAGTTGTATTTTCATTTTTGTTAGTTCAAAATATTTAAAACTTCCATCGAAACTTCTTTTTTGACACACAGTTTACTTAGAAGTGTTGCTTATTTTTCAAATATTGCAGAATTTTCCAGTTATCTTTCTGCTTTGGTTGCTAGATTAATTGCACTGAAATCTGAGATCATACTTTGTATGGATTCTGTTATTTTAAATATTTTAAGGCATGTTTTATGACTGAGAATGTGGTTTGTTTTGGTGAGTGTTCCATGTGAGCTTGAGAAGAATGTGTGTTCTGTTGATGGAGTACTCTGTAAATGTCAATTAGATCAAGTTGGTTGCTAGTGCTATTCAGGTCATCAATGTCTCTACTGATTTCCTGCCTGCTTGATCTATCAATTAGTGATAGAGGAATATTAAAGACTCCAACTGTAATAGTACATTTGGCTATTTTCCCCTTCAGTGTTACCAGTTTTTGCCTTATTATTTTTATTTTTATTTTTGAGATGGAGTTTCGCTCTTGTTGCCCAGGCTGGAGTGCAATGGCACAATCTCAGGTCACTGCAACCTCTGCCTCCTGGGTTCAAGTGATCCTCCTGTCTCAGCCTCCTGAGTAGCTGGGATTACAGGTGCCTGCCACCACGCCTGGATAATTTTTTGTATTTTTAGTAGAGACAGGGATTCACCATGTTGGGCAGGCTGGTCTCGATCACTTGACTTTAGGTGATCCACCTGCCTCAGCCTCCCAAAGTGCTCAGATTACAGATGTGAGCCATCGTGCCCAGCCTGTTTTTGCTTTATTTTTAAGCTCTTTGGTTACATATAAATATTTAAGATTGTTATCTTTTTTGGAAAATTGATCCCTTTATCATTATCTAATGCTTCCCTTTGTTCCTGACTAATGTTCATGCTCTGAGGTCTAAGAGAGCTACTCCAGCTTTCTTTTGATTACTGTCAGCATGGTCTATTTTTCTCTATCTCTTAACATCTATCCTAGCTGGGTCTTTATATTTAAAGTGGGTTTCTGTAGACAGCATATAGTTCAATCTTGTTTTTAATCTACATTGGCAATCTTTATTTTTTTTAATTGGTGTAGTTAGACCATTCACATGTAAAATAGTGGTTGATATATTTGTTTTCTATTTGTTGCATTAGTTTTTCATTTCTCTCTCCCTTTTCTGCCTTTTCTGGTTTTGAAATTATATTTCTTGTATACATTTTCCTGTCATTGTTCTAGAGTTTACAATATACATTTTAACTAATCTAAATTCACCTGAAAATACACTATACTACTTTATGTGTGTGGTAGAAGTAACTTACAAGAGTATTCTCTATTCCTCTTTCCTGTTCCTTGTGACATTGCTATTATTAATATCATTCATCCATATGCTATAATCCAATATGTGTAACTCAATACACTGTTACCATTATTGCTTATGAAAAAAAGTTATCTTTTAGGTTCATTAAGAATAACAAAAATAAATGATTTTATTTTACTTTCACTTATTTCTTCTTTGATGCTCTTCCTTTCTTTGTGTAGATACAAGTTTCTGACCCACACCATTTTCTTTCTGCATGAAGAGCTTCTTTGAAACATTTCTAACAGGGCTGGTCTGCAGATGATGAATTCCTTCAGGATTTTCCTTTGTTTCCTCTAAGAAAGTATTTCTTTATTTTTCACTTTTGATGGATAATTTTTCTAGAGATAGAATTCTTGTTGGTTTTAATTTTTTAATGTATTTTTTATTTGTAGAGACAGAGTCTCACTCTCTTACCCAGGCTAGAGTACAGTGGCACAATCATAACTCACTATAACCTTGAACTGCTGGGTTTAAGTGATTGTCCTGCCTCAGCCACCCAAGTAGCTGGGACTACAGCTGTGTGCCAACATGCCTGGCTAATTTTTTATTTTTATTTTTTGTAGAGACATGGTCTCACTATGTTTCCCAGGCTGTTCTAAAATTCCTGGCCTCAAGCCATCCTCCCATCTTGGCCTCCCAAGAAGCTGCCATGCTCTGCCTTGTGTTTTTTTGTTTGTTTGTTTGTTTGTTTTGTTTTTTCAACATGAAGTATTTTATGCCACTCTCTTCTTGCTGGCATGGTTTCCAATGAGAAGCCCACTGTAATGTTCACCACTGTTCCCCAATAGATCAGATGTTTTATTCCTTTGCCTTCTTTCAAGAATTTTTCTTTATCTCTGGTTTTCTGCAGTTTTAATGCAACATGTCTGGGGGGGGTGTATGTTTGATATTTATCGTGTTCAGTGCTCACCAAGCTTTCTGCATGTGTACTTATTGTTTCTCATTAATTCTGGAAAGATCTTTCCCATTATTACTTCAAATATTTCTCTCCTCTATCTTTTTTTCTTCTTCTAGTATTCCAATTACATGTATGTTACATCTTTGTTTTTGTTTCTGTTTGAGACAGGGTCTCACCCTGTGACCCAGGCTGAAGTACAGTGGCATGATCATAGCTCACTGCTACCTTGAACTCTTGGGCTCAAGTGATCTTCCCTCCTCAGCCTCTTGAAGTGGCTGGAACAAGAGGCACACACCACTGTGGCTGGCTAATTTTTTCATTTTTTGTAGAGATGACATCTCACTATGTTGCCTAGGCTGGTTTGGAACTCCTGGCCTCAAGTAATCCTCCTGCCTCGGCCTTCCAAAGTGCTTGGATTGCAGGCATGAGCCACCACACCTGCCTCTATTGAATCCTTGAGATGATCCCATAGTTCCTGTGTGTTCTATTCTCTGCTCAATTCTTTTTTCTCTTCGGATTTCATTCTGAGAGGTTTTCATTCCACTGTCCAGATGCTCAGACCCTTGCCAGGTTGTGTTGAGGCACTGATGAGCCCTTTGGAGGCATTCTTCTGACTGAGTTTTTCATCTAGCATTTTTTTTTATTGGTTCTTAGAATTCCTATCTCTCTGTTTACATTACCCATCTGTTTTTGCATGTTGTCTACTTTTTCCATTAGATCCTTTAACATAATAATCATAGTAATTTTAAGTTCCCTGTCTGATCATTCTAACACCTGTGTCACATTTGAGTTTTGTTCTGATGATTGCTTTGTCTCTGCAGACCATGTTTTTTTCTTGCCTCTGAGCCAATGCTAACCCTCTGCTGCTCTCCTTTAGAAAACTGGTTTACCAGCCCACACCTGCTTGAGACCTTAGGCTTGTATTCTAGGAGGGAGGGCCAAGACTCCTGGCCAGCCAGACCACTGACATGCTTTATTTTGTTTTGCTTTCTAGTAAATCTGAAAATAAGCCAACAAATTTGAAAAACTCCAGTTCCCTTCTGCTTTCAGGAGAAGGAGTTTTATGTCATCGCTGCTGTCTCCAGCAAATTCAAAGGGAATGGTTGCCGGCTTGGCAAATGTGCAGGCAGTACTAGCTGGGTGTCTCAGTGTAACTTGTGTTACACTGAGAAGCAAACATATCATCCCGAATCAATCACCTAATTCCACGACAATCACCCACATCAGACCTGTCCAATCTGTGTGACTTGGCTCACATGAAAAACCAGTTAAAAGCCTGGTAACCTTGGGGTCACTGCATTGCTTCTAGCCTTGTCAACATGATGAGTTTTCATATTAGACTTGTTATTTCTGCCAGAGCAGTGGTAATTTGCTACAGCCATCGGCATACAGGTAAGAAGGGGAAGAGATGACGTTCTACAGGTGCTGGGGCCAAAGACTCACCAGAACTTGTCAACACAAAGGGCAGAAGGATGGCCCAGGTCATCCCCCTGGTGGTCCCACCTCCTGACTTATTCAAGGTCACACAGTAAGTGGCTTTGATCCAGAGCCCTGCACTTTTACCCACTGGGAAAGGAGGATTAGGGCTGAGGCTTCCTTCTCTAGTGGCCCTGAGGCAGAAAGGAGGTCCACAGTCCAGGTCTCTCTGACCATCACCTCCCACCTGCCTCATGCTTTGTCCCAGTTGCAGTGTTGAGTAAGGAAAATCACACCACATCTGCAGCTGCTTAATCAGCCCTGGAAGGGTCACTGCAGGAGAAACAGTCTTCAAACTGAACCTCCTAAGCCTGGTCCTGTGCACATAAGTGTTCCATAAATATTATTATCCAAAACATGCTCCTCAACATACATTAAGATGTATATGATAGATGCTAACAATGTTCTTAACTTAAAAATATTGGGAGCTCAGTATAAGCCAGCCACCACACTGATCCTGTACATACATTTCTCTAATATCTGACCCCTGATCCTGAAATATATGTACCCGATCCTGTACATACATTTCTCTAATACCTGACCCCTCTTCTTACCCTGGCTCCGAGCTCCGTGAGGGCAGGGACCATCCCTGTACCCATTTGCTGTTGTCCTCTGGTTCCTCCCTCTCTTATTCTATGAGGAGTTATCAGAAAGCAGAACAAGTGAGGAGAGACACGGAAGCATTAGGTATCACTAGGCCCACGTTCATGAATGAACACGCTGGGAAGAGAATTCGAGGAGCTAGGATTTGGGAGTTTGGGATTCCTTGGTTTGCCCCTTCCTGCTTCCACCGCAGGGTATCCTGACTGCAGCAAATCCCTTAGCCTCCCTTAACCTCAGCGTACTCATCCTCAAAGCTGGCCCCATGTCCCCTGATAGGGTTTGGATCTGTGTCCTCACCCAAATCTCATACTGATTTGTAATCTATAATGTTGAAGTTGGGGCCTGGTGGGAGGTGATTGGATCTTGGGGGTGGTTTCTTATGAATGATTTAGCACCATCCTCTTGGTGGTGTCCTTGTGATACTGAATGAGTTCTCCCAAGATCTGGTTGTTTAAAAGTGTGTGGAACCTTCCACCTCTCTCTCTTGCTCCTCCTCCCACCATGTGAGCTACCTCACTTCCCTTTCACCTTCTGTCATGATTGGAAGCCTCCTGAGGCCTCCACAGAAGCAGATGCTGCCATGCTTCCTGCATAGCCTGCAGAACCATGAGCCAATTAAACCTCTTTCTGTATAAATTACCAGCCTCAGGTATTTCTTTATAGCAGTGCAAGAACAGACACATGCACCCCTGCTTGTAGAGTGGCTTGCATGAGATCATTGTGCAATAGCCTAAGATGCAGTCGACACATGGCAGCTCTCACTCATTGATTAAGGGTAGGTTGGAGGGTGCAGGGAGGTGTAGTCCCTGTGGGAGGTCGAAGGGCAAGGGTGTGGGCTTTGAAGTTCACATGCCACTGCTCTCCACCTGACATGGGGAAAGTCACTTATCCTCTCTGCCTCAGTTTCCCTATCTTCAAAGGAGAATTATACCCTTTCTGGGTTACAGGACACACTGTGAACCAGGCTATGCATTTCATAAACTATTCTTTGGACGTGTACTGACACTGAGCTCATGGGGCATCCTGAGAGCCAGAGGTAACATTGGGCAAGGGCAGATCACATGTGCAGGGAGCCCAGGACGTGGCGGCTGTCGCGTGGTCATCCCAGGGACCACCAGGGGGTGACCTGGACCATCCTTCCGCCCTTTGTGCTGACAACTTCTGGTGAGTCTTTGGCCCCAGTGCCCTGCAGAACATCATTTCTCCCCCTTCCCTCCCGCGTGCGGATGGCTGTAGAAAATTACAACAGCTCTGGCAGAAATTACAGGTCTAATATGCGAACTCATCATGGTGACAAGGCTAGAAGCAAGGCAGTACCTCAAGGTTATGCAAACTCATCATGGTGACAGGGCTAGAAGCAAGGCAGTGACCTCAAGGTTGCCAGCCTTCTAATTGATTTTCATGTGAGCCAAGCCACACAGATTGGACACGTCTGATGTGGGCGACTGCTGTGGAATTGGGTGATCAATTTGGGAGGATATGTTTGCTTCTGAGGGTAATTAGCTCCGTTACTTGGCTTACCCAACCTCCACCTGCTGGACAGGAAGATTCCCCGGCTGGGAAGACCGGTTGCTGGGGCCGCTCTCAGAGTTCTGTCTCTGCTCCGACCCCCTCGACCCAAACCCAGTTGGGCCCCACCCAGATGCTGCCATGCCCTGAGGCCTGGGCGCCTATTCAGGGAGAAGATGCCCATTTCCTAATGCAGTGCCTCTGTGGCAGGACCACCCAAAGCCGCCTCCCGGGACAGACCTCATGGAGGTTCCAGAGTTGAGCACACTCTTGGATTCTTCTGTTGAGTATTTTAAATTAGGACTGCTCACTTTCATGCCTGGGTTAGCCTTTGTCAGACACTGTCAGGGCAGGCTGAGGAGCAGAGACTTCCTTTCTTTTGATCTTTATCCCTCCATCCACTTACACCAAACCTGAATCTTAACCCCCAAGCATGAAGAAGATTGCACTCCTCAATTAACTTTAAATCAACCCAAACTCGGCCCCGTCTCCCATCTGAGGTGCTGAGGGACGATGCAATCTGTCACTGTCAAGACATCTTTTCCCCCTCCGGCCAACGCCTCCCTGGTCCTGCCAGGTCTGGGGTGCTCTTGTCCCCGCTGTGTTCTTAAGATGCTCCTGGCAGGGCCTGTGGATCTTCCCTGCTTTGGGAGGCCCCAAATGGAGGGTTGAACCACTCTGGGTCCCCTGATCCCTAACTTCTTCCCAGGCTGCAGAGCTGTGCCCGTCTCCCGTCTTGTGACCCTCAAGGGCTTCCCCCAACACGCCTGCATGAACAGTTGTTGTTTTTTGCTAGTCCAATGTCCTCTGGCCTTCTGCTGGTGACAGTACCATGGTATTCCGGTGAGGTGGTCACCCCAGCCCACTCTTGGACTCCATGTCTTAAGTGTCTGTGTCAGTGGTCAAACAGGAGGCTGCTGTTGCCAGAGGCTGAGGAACACACCCAGTGCCCAGGCCCAGGGAGGTAAATGCTGGGGATGCCAAAGCCAAGGACAGAGGCGGAAGAGCTAGGGAGAGCCAGTTCTGTGGGAACCTAGGGAGGAAACCAGTGCCAGGAGGCTCCATCCAAAGGGCCAGGGTCAGAGTCAGGGCCACCGGCTGCCACAGGAGGCCTGAAGGCAGGTGGAGCCCCAAGTAAGGAGGGATCGGAGAAGCCTGGGGGACAGGGGGCTGCTCAGCCACAGCAGTGAATCCATCTTCCCGAGCCCACATTCACTGTGCAGGAAGAGGCTTTCTAAGCCCCATCAGAATCTACAAGGCCATCCTGTGTATCTGCTTGTTGAGGGTGCAGTCCTCAGGAGGATGGCATCCAGGAGGGCAGGGTCCTTGCCTATCCAGGGCTATGTCACCAGCCCCTAGGGCAGTGCCTGGTGCTTAGTGGGGGCTCTGTAAATACCTGAACACTTAGATCCTATACTGAGTCTGGTTTTCAGAAGCAATGGCTTTCTATAATAACTCAGAGATGATGTCACAGGGCAGCTCCTTGACTATCCGGGAGGCTGCCTTAGCTCCTTCCCATTCGAGGTCCTGGCACCCAGGAAGTACCATCATGTCTCTAGGGAGCTGTCTCAGGCTCACCCACACTGGCCTGCACCCTGGATCTGCACAGGGCATCCCATCCCTGCGTCCCCTCCCTGGGTCATTCATTATTCCCGTCACTCACCAGGCACACCGGCGCCTATTCCGTTGCCTCCAAGGAACTGCAAGTTGATAGGTGACACTCTGCAAAGACACCAAGAAACGTGTTGCTACAACCTGCCACGAGTGCTATGCAGGACAGGCACAGGTGCAGGGACAGGGATTCTGGTGAGGTGGCCTCTAAGTGGGGGCCTGAGTAATGAGGAGCCAGTACAGAAAGTGGGGGTGGTATTTCAGGCAGGACGTCTGTGCAAAGGCCCTGAGGCTGGTCAGCATGAGGAACCACCCAGAGGGGAGTTCCAGATGAGAGGGCAGGGAGCCTCTGGCCCCGCAGGGCCCTATGGGCACAGTAGGGAATGGACCATATTCTAAGAGTGGTGAGATTCTTCTGGAAGATTTTAAGATAGGAACTAACAATCTAATTTGTGTTTTAAAAGATTATGGCACCAGGCATGGTGGCTCACGCCTGTAATCCTAGCACTGAGGCTGAGGCTGGCAGATCACTTGAAGTCAGGAGTTCGAGACTAGCCTGGCCAACATGGTGAAACCCCGTCTCTACCAAAAATATAAAGAATTAGCCAGGTGTCGTGGCACATGCCTGTAATCCCAGCTACTCGGGAGGCTGAGGCAGGAGAATCACTTGAACCTGGGAAGCAGAGGTTGCAGTGAGCCAAGAGTGAGCCACTGCACTCCAGCCTGAGAGACAGAGGGAGGGGGACTCCGTTTCAAAAAAAAAAAATATTATGACATCCATTCTGTAGAGAGTGCACTGTGGGGAGCAAGAATGAGGCAGGAACCCCCCCAGGAGGTTCTGTCCGAAGTCCAGGAGGGAGACGGTGGTGGCCGAGGAAAGGGAGAGAATTGGACCCATCCGTGGCTTTGGGGTTTCATGGGGAGTGAGGAGGAAGTAAGAGAGGAGGGTTGAGGAAGATGGCCAGCAGGAGCGATGGGAGGGTGGTGAGGCTGCGGCCTAAGACCACTGGGAGAAGAAAAAGCACACAGCAGTGGGGAGGGAGCATGGGGTTCCATTTTGGGAACAATAGGTAGAGATGCCTGCAAGACCCACACGTGGAGATATGGAGCAGAATGGTGGAGAAACACACCTGGACACCCAGCGCGGGAGTTTGGGTTGGAGATGGGAGGAGGCCTCTACCCGGGATGCCAGCACGGCACCTGCAGGGGCTAAAAGAGTCTGCCAGTGAGACATGTCTGATTCCTAACTCCCACCACCTGGGAAAAGAGTCCCCCAGAAAGACGTGTCCCTGTCCCAACTCCCCCCACCTGGGAATGTGACCCTCTTTGGAAAAAGGGTCTTTGCAAGATTTGATTAAGTTAAAGATTTGAGCCATGTTCATCCTGGATTTTCTAGATGGGCCCTAAACCCAGTGACGAGTGACCTTAGAAGAGAACGGATTGGGGGTTGAGACACAGAGAGAAGTGGAGGAGGCCCTGTGAAGGGGAGGCAGGGACTGGAGTGGAGTGGTCACGAGAGACGAGACCCCCGGCACCGGAAGCTGGAAGGGTCCTTCCCCAGAGCCTTCGGAGGGGGCACAGCCGGGCTGACGCCCTGATCTCAGACTTCAGGTCTGCAGAATTGTGAAAGAATAAATCCGTACTGTTTTAAGCCATCCTGATTGTGGTCATTTGTTTCATTTGTTACAGCAGCCACCGACATAAATATGGCCCTCCAGGGAGGTTGGGGGAAAATGAAGGCTGGTTGGAGGCGACACAGCCAAGGTGGGGCTGCAGAACCACGTGGACCCGCTCTGCTCACGAGGGTGGGCCACAATCCCATCTGATTGGGGTGCCTATCAGAAGAGGGGGCGAGGACACAGGCACACACAGAGGGATGACCGCGTGAGGACTCAGGGGAAGGTGGCCAGGAAGAGAGGCCTCAGGAGGAGCCAGGCCTGCCACACCTTGATCTCGGCCTTCCAGCTGCCAGGACTCTGAGACAGTAAGTGTCTGTTGCTTAAACCACACATCTGTGGGGCTTTGTTAAGGCAGCCACAGCAAAGGAATACAGGTGGTATTGCACAAATTCCATTTCCCAGGGGCGGCGGAAGCCAGCCTGGGCCTGGATCCTATGGGACTAGGAAGAGTGCCCTGGGGTCAGGTGCCGTGGGAAGCAATGTTCAGTCTTTCAGGACTAGGCACATCCTCATCTGTCCCCAGAACAAGCCTGGTCCTGGTGACCTCTTCCTTCAGAGCCTTCACAGCCCCTGCGGGTGGCCACAGGTTTGCACCAGGTCCAACTCGGTAGGAAGCGTCACTGCTGCTTCAGGGAAAAGCTTGGCAAATTGAGTTCACGTTGCTTGAAGGGCCAGGAAGGTGGTGTTTCCTTGCTGAGTGTGAGGATCTTCCAAGTTTCAGCACCATTCAATTACAAATCACCTACAGTTGGCCCGGCCCCAGGAGACCCTTCCAAGGTGTCAACAGCACAGCCCACTCCTGGATTTACTGCCACTCCAGAGGCCGGTTCTCCTTGGTCAACTCAGAGCCACGGAGGAGCCAGCCACCGCCAGATTCCATGCCTCTCAGCATTTCCAACACCAACCCCACGGAGGAAGATCTGTCACTTACTGGTGATTTGCTTGTCTGGGGTATTAAATGCCATGGCTGTCCTCTTCCTGGGATGTCCAGCAGACAAGTGGCTGCACTTTCGCCCAGCCCTCCTCTGGCCAGTCGGTGGACTGTGGATATGTGGCATCCAAGAAGCAACCCCAGGGGAGGCTGGGAGGTGAATCAGGCAGCCATCCTACTTGCAGCCCAGAGACTTCAATAATATCCTGAGGCTTGGAGAAACGTGGGCTGAAGGCATGATGCCCTCTTGGGGCCCATGCAACTCCAGTGTTCATGGGGTCAATGCAGATGTGCACGTTTGGGCACATGGGCCGCACGACGCTGGCAGACTGCTTTCCTTACTCAACTACCGCACCTGGGGGAGGCATGGAGCCTGCCTCAAGGGCAGGGGCCAAGTGCAGATGGACACAGGGTCTCCTGTCATCCAAGCCTCTCATTTCTGCTGTGGTCTGTGTGATGCAGAGAAACACAGAACACATCTGAGGACCCATCTGCAAAATTGTCTGGGTCTGTTTTTCCAGCCTCTGGCTTTTAAACTTAGCACGTCCAGGTCCTGAGCCCCCTTGCCCTGGATGGTTCAGTCTCTCCTGTCTCCAGACAAGAGCAGTTGCAGGCAGGAAGCCGGCAGTGGCCTCTAAGGCCTCCTCCCTGTCCTTCTGGAGACCTGGCATGAACACTCCCTTCCACCTGGTGCAGGTGGCACCTCATAGCACTGTACCAATGTACCCCTGTCCCCACTCCCAGGCTGCACGTCTGCACCCCAGTGAACAGACAGGTTTGAATCCCTGTTCATGCCGAGCTGCCTGACTTCTGGTCCAGCCCCGGCTCCCAGCACCTTGCTCTGGGCCCAGCCCCTGTCATTAGCCTGACTTTGCTTTTGAGTCTGCCTGGTGGACTTGGTCTCTGCACCAAGATCCTGGGGACCGCCTGGGACTTGGCTGTGCATCCTGACCACGGTGTATGAGGAACTGCCCAGGACGCGGGCTCTGAACCCCATCTTGTGAGCAGGCGTCCTCTGCAGGCCCTGCTTGCCTGTACACCTGGCTGTGGGAGCTGGGCTGTGTTTCTGAGCGTTTGTTTCCTCAGCTGTAAGATGTTGGTAGCGATGGTCCCTGCTCACATGGTGGTTTCGAGGACCTGAGGAACCCATCCAAAGTGCTTTCATTAGGGTCACTCAGAGTGACCACTGCATTGCCCAAGCACGGTCAGTCCTCAGTCCCCATCGTGTTGGCCCCAGGAACGTGTGGGTAGTGCCCCCTCCTCCCTCTGTGGTGTTGGCTTCCAGGGCTCTGTCGCCCAGGCTAGGGTGCAGTGGCATGGTCACAGCAGCCTCAAACTCCTGGGCTCAAGCGATTCTTCCATCTCAGCTTCCTGAGTAGCTGGAACCTTAGGTGTACACCACCATATCCAGCTAGTTTTTATTTTTTTGCGAACGATGGGGTCTTGCTTTGTTGCCCAGGTTGGAGTGCAGTGGTGCAATCATGGCTTACAGCAGCCTTGAATTCCTGGGTTCAACTGATCCTCCAAACTCAGCCTCCTAAGTAGCTGGAACCTCAGGTGTGTACCACAATGCCCAGCTCATTTTTTTTTAATTTTAAATTTTTATTTATTTATTTTCTTTGAGATGGAGTCTTGCTCTGTCGCCCAGGCTGGAGTGCACTGGTGCAATTTCGGCTTACTGCAACCTCCGCCTCCTGGGTTCAAGTGATTCTCCTGCCCTTGCCTGCTGAGTAGCTGGGACTACAGGCATGTGCCACTATCTCCGGCTATTATTATTTTGTGTGTGTGTGTGTATTTTTAGTAGAAATGAGGTTTCACCATGTTAGCCAGGATGGTCTCAATCTCCTGACCTCATGATCCACCTGCCTCGGCCTCCCAAAGTGCTGGGATTACAGGCATGAGCCACTGCGCCTGGCTCCTATCTTCCTCTTAAGGCTGGAACAGCCCAGCTGGACATGTTCTTTCTCTGCCTGCAGTCCCTTCCTTGCTGCTCTGCTCCAGGCGTGTCTCTCGTTCCACCCAGGTGCCCACACCCCCAGCCCAGACCTTCCTGCACTCCAGCTATATAGGCCTGAAAGCTCATGGCTGCATGTATGTCTGCCAGTATTTTCAGTCCAGCTCCTAACTGTTCCTGCCAAAGGTGCCACACTGGATCCTGCTACATCTTGGGTGGTGGCACCTCCAACCTTTGGGTTCGTTGCTCAGTTTAAAACCAGCCTCCCTCACTGTCTCACACCCAGATCAAACATGTCAACAAGCCGGGCATGTGGGCACAGGCCTGTGGTCCTAGCTACTGGGGAGGCTGAGGTGGGAGGACCCTTTGAGCCTGGGAGGTCAAGGCTGCAGTGAGCTGTGATTGCCCCACTGCACTCCAGCCTGGGTGACAGAGCAAGACCTTGTCCAAAAAAAAAAAAAAAAAAAAAAAGTCGATTCTGTTAATTCTGCTTTGAAGCTAAATCCCAGCATGAACACTTCACAGCCTCACCACTGCCACCTCCCGGGCTGAGTGGCTGTGTCATCGTGCTTAATTGTTGCAGTAGCATCTTCTCTGGTCTGCCTGCTTCCACTCTTGAGTGCTTAGAGGTTCTGTGCGGCACAGATCCTGGTGTGATCCTTTAGAGCAGTGGCCCCCATCCTTTGTGACACCAGGGACTGGTTTCATGGAAGACAATGTTTCCACAGACAGGGAGGGCGGGGATGCAGGGGGGATCTTTTTGGGATGATTCAAGCACATTACCTTTATTGTGCACTTTATTTTTGTTATTATTATTGTGCTATAATGAAATTACACAACTCACCATCATGTAGAATCAGTGGGTGCTGTGAGCTTGTTTTCCTGCAACTAGATGGTCCCATCTGGGGGTGATGGGAGACAGTGACAGATCATCAGGCATTAGATTCTCATAAGGAGTGGGGAACCTAGATCCCTCACATGTGCAGTTCACAATAGGGTTTATGCTCCTATGAGAATCTAATGCTGCAGCTGATCTGACTGGAGGCAGAGGTCAGGCCGGAATGCTTACTTGCCTGCTGCTCACCTCCTGCTGTGCAGCCAGGGTCCTAAAAGGCCGGGGATCATTACCCCTGCTTTAGAGGGTGGGTCACAGCATGTGACTCTGTTCAAAACCCTAGAGGGCTCCCCATTTCTCCTTGAATAAAAGCCAAAGCCCTTAAAAAGGCCCACTGGACCTGCCCCAACTGCAGAAACCCCATTCCTTGCATTCCCTGCCTGGCCTTGTCTCCTTCTCCCCCCATCACTTGCTCAGCTCCAGCCCCACAGTCTTCCTTGCCCTTCCCCAGACTCCCCACCCATGTACCCATCTGCCCTGGAGTCTTTGCATCAGCCATTCCTGTGTCTGAAATGTTCTTCCCCATGCCACCTCCTCGCCTTGACTCATACATCACCTTCTCAAGGTGGCCGTCCCAGACCACTCTATCTAAACGTGTCGTCTGCTCCCAACACTCATCCCAGGTCCCTGATTGCCACTTTCCTTCCTTCTCCATGTTACCACCCTTTGACAGTGACCTATTCGTTAGGAAACTGACCTCTTCTCCAGGTCAGTTCTTATCCATCAGACATATTGTTAGGGCAGGAATCGGTCCCCTTGAACTCTGTTATGCTCCAAACGCCTAGAAAAATGCCTGGCATGGACTGGGGCTGGCTGGATGTTTGATGGGTAAAGCACACGTGGGAGAGGTGACTTCCTGCGTGACCAGGCCTGTGCATTTCTGCCGGCCTCAGTACACACTGAAGAAACAGAATTCTAAAATGACAGCCAGAGGTGGGCCAGCCACTCGATTCTGTGGTGTCACAGTGAGGTCCGGGGGCCTGTCCTCCTCCCCCCACCTCTTTCTTGAGCCCAGCCTGCTGCTGCCTTGGCTCAGCTCCCACTTGGTGCCCCTTCCCCACCTCCACGCTGAAGGTTGGAGAGGACAGAGCCAGGTGCCCACGCACACGTGACGTCAGAGGCCTCCACAGGCAGCAGAGGGGCAAACGGCTGACAAGGACGTCTCATGACCATGGACATACCTCTAGGTTACTTGCATACTTTACTTCATCATGAAGCATTTTTCAATCTGAGAAACACTCATGAGAAATCTAATTCTCAACACAGCCACCAATGGCCAAGGAAATAATGCATTGGTGAAAAAATGGAATCTCTGATTGTGAGGCAGAGCATCACAGCATTTAAAATAAGTGAGTAGGCAACGGTGGGCTTTCTTGTGTGTTTCTTGGGAAGTCTGATGATGTCCAGTTCCGGATATTTAAATTGTGCTGGGAGAGGTCCCACGAAGAGGCAAATTTTGCAGAGCAGCTCCCATCACCTTGGTCTAGCCACACAAGGCCCCTCAGATGGAGAGAATGGAGGGATTACCCCTCCCTGATCCCCAGAAGCACCTGTGGCGTCTCCCTGGGTAGGGACCTGAGGCAGGTGAGGTGGGTGGACCAGGTGCTCTGTTCTCTGAAGGCTTCTTTCTTCCCTGTGCAGCTCACTCCTGGATCCAGCCCCTCCTTCCCATGTGGGTCAGAGTCTCTGGGGAGTATGCACAGTGACCTGGAGGCTCTGATGGACCGGGCTGTGCCGGGGTTCTCACTGCTTGAACAAAGATTGATGGAGATGAATGACTGAGGAACCCATGACACTCCATCTAATTTTTCTATGAATGCACATGTGCATTTTCCTGGGAGGAAGGTCAGTTCCTCTCATCAGATTCTTAACATTTTCATAACCCCTGAAATGTTCACACCACTGATCTAACTGGAGAGAAAAGCTGCTCCCACCATTTATTTCATGAACACCAGCTATGTGCTGGGCAGGAGCTATGACATTTCTCTAATATCATCTCTTGGATATGGGGATGATTCTCTCAGCATTAAAGGGGAAAACACTGAGGCCTGGAGGTGCCTACAGACTCACCTGAGGCCGGCAGACACTGGGAAAACAAAAAAGCCTCCTGGATCCGAGGCTAAGGCAGGTCCCTGAGGACCAAGGGGCATTCCTGCTGGTGTTCCCTGGATAGGGGCATTCAGGAAAGAGCTGGGATTTGGCCAGAATGGGAAGGGCAAACAGCAAGGGTGCCAGGACCAGCCACCCAGTACTGCACAGAAGGTTGGCCACCAATGCCTGGGGCACCTGAGGTGGGGGCAGGGCAGAGAACTCAAATATCTGTGAAGAAACAGGCAGGGTGGCAGCAGCAATGGAGCATGAGTTCAGAGTCAGGGGCCAGCTTCTAGGGTGACCCTGCATGCCTCGGCCGCTGCCCCTCCCTGACGGGGTTCCCCTCCTGTAGAAGGAGAATGGGGGCTTACTCACCCAAAGGCTCCTCCTACTTCCTATGCTAAGCCTTGCTGGGAGCCCTTTCATGACAAGGGGCTACAGATGAGTCTCCAGGGCTGCACTCATAGACTTGGGGGTATGAGGCTGGGGCTGTGCCATCAGCAGATGGCCAGTCCAGCTTTCCTCCTGCTTCTGAGTTTTGGCTCAGCCTGGGGACACCAGAGCAGAGAAAACTGCCTCTTCCCAGCCCACATCCTGGGAGGACCAGGCAGACGCTTGATTCAGTGCAAATCCTGGGGCCGCCTCCAACCTCATGCTAAGTGTCTCCACCCTACTCCTCTTCCCACATATTGCAAACCTGCCCAAGCCACAGGACAAAAGGGCTCCCATCTTTTCAGGGCTCATTGCCTTGAGGGTGCTTGGGCAGGAATCAGGCCTGATGGGCACCCTGGGCACTGGCCATAGAGGCCACAGCTGTAGCCCCAGCCACAGCGGCAGGTGGGACCATCCAGCACTTCCCCAGATGCTTGGCCTGCATGAGGGACATTAAAAGCATTGCAGCTTGATCCTGAAGATAGATCCATAAAACTGTAGCTGAAATGAGATAGCAAGTGATGGGCCCGCCTCTCCCTTTTCGCTAATCTCTTTATTCAAGCTCAATTTGGTGTTGAAACGCACCCCGATGCAAACCCTGCCTTTGCCAAAGAGATTTAGAAGGGCAAGGTAGAAGATTATGCAGTTTCACATTCCAAAGTGTGTGCATAAATCTGCATATCACATGCATATATTACAATGGATCATAAGTGCATAATCAACTCAAAATAATAGGTTTTTGTTTCTTGCATTTTTAAATTTGTTTTGTACAAATGACATGGATCCTATTACTCGTAGCTCTACAATGGAATTGTGCTGATGACTGGATGAAGAGTTGACGCCAAAGCTCCTTTGGGAGGGAAATACTTTGGGATTCGAGGTGGGCAAGGATCCAAAGACTAGCACAGTAGGTTTCACTGTGTCTGCACCCCATCCCTTTCTTGCCCAGAGCTGAGTCCAGGGACTAGTCTTAGCACCAGGAACAACTCTGGCAAGACTCTGGGTTGATTATCCCTTCTGTGCCTCAGCACCCTAATCTGTGAAATAGGCACAATTTTTAAACATTTTTTTCCCTCTTCCTTTAATGAAAATCACCAGAGTCATCAGTCAAGCTTCAGCTGCAGGAAACAAACACAATCTAGATTCAGAGTTTAAGACAAGAAGAGTGGACTGGCCAGAGTGGCCAGTCCTTGGCTGGATATCCAGGAAAGTCTTAGGCAAGAAAATGGGGAGAAGAAGGCTGCCCTTGGAAATACTGACTTCCAGAATGTTCCATGGGGCTGTGATGCAGGGGTCAGCTGCTGCCACCTGCACGGCTGCCTCTTGTCACCAATAAAGCAAGTGGCCATAGGCTAAAAGCTCAACATCCCTGTGGTGGTGCCCATCACAGAAGCTGAGAGCAGCTGTGGCTCACACAAGTGTATAATTGGAGGAAACTCATTTTCATACAATGCCTAATTTGCATACAGGGCCCACACTGCAAGGGCACCTGGGAAATGTAGTTTTTAGATTTCTGGCATCTGCAATACAAGAAGCCCCCCCAGAAGGGGTTGGATGGCCGAGGGCCCTTTCACCAGGCCAATTACACCTGGCCAGCTGGGCACTGCTGGCCCACCAAGAGGCTGACTCAGTTCCTATCCCTAGCTCATTACACTTCAGTGACTGGTGTTTCCTTGCGCAGTGATTGCTCTCAGATACGGGAGCAACCCAGTTCAGAGTGATGGAGAGCTGGGTTCTGCACTCAGACTTGGGCTCTCACCTGGACTCCACCCCTTCCTAGCTCTGCTGTCTGGGGCACGTTACAGAATTTCCCCAAACTTTAGTTCCGTCCGCTATGATGGGGATGGGATTAAGACAGAGGACTATTGGGAAATACAGAGGGCTATTGGGAAAACCCAAAAATATGATGTGTATAGCATCTCACTCAGTTCCTAGCAGGCAGTAAGTGCTCAGTAGACACAGGCCATGGTGGTTATGGAGGAAAACAAGGATGGGGGGTTGGGGAGTGGTCACTGTGGTACTGGACAGACTGGTCCTAGAATCACACACAGGGGTTGGGCCTTTCAGAGTCACCAGGCAGTGTTATGTCTTGAGAAAGCATCTTCCTTGTGGTCTCCTCATTTGTGAAGCAGTACTTGGACCCTGAGCACTAAAAGCCCTCCCAGCAGGGCAGATGTGCACCAGGGGAGGGGCAGAGCTCAGGCTAGGCCCAGGAGAAGGAGGGAGGAGGACTGGCTCCTGCATTTCCCCAGCACCCCACAGGTCCCTGCCCAGCTGGGCTGAGTTGGGAGGACAGCTATTTCCAGGCCCCCGCTGGGCTGTGCACATGGAGAGCCCATTGCCTGGCTCCTTCCCACTGGCCCCCATCTCTGCACCTGCTGTGCCCATTAGCCAGCCCTCCCCAGCTGCAGCCCCCCAGCCTCCCCAGGCTTTGCTGGTCAGAGGAAAACTGAAGACAGGTCTAAGAGGGTCATGCTGCTGTGGCCCCCCTGTCCTTGGCTGGGGGATGGGAGCTGGTTGCAGTTCTCCAGAAGCTTCTCAGAGGGTTTCCACATGGAAGTGGCTCTGAGAAGCTGCCTGCACCAAAGCCCTGCAGGGGGCATGAATCCACATCCCCAGTCCCTGCCATCTGTGTCTGTGGGAATGATCCTCATCCAGGGACTCACTACTTCCTAAGACCCTTACTCTGTGGCCGACCTAGAAGCTTCAGGAAGCAGGGACAGGGTCAGTCACCTCCTCTGTCACCCCAGGGACCATAACAGTGTGGATACATGACTGTACTAGAAGGTTCTGTATGTGGAGAAGCATTTGTGGTTCAGAGCACAGAGGAGGCCTGAGCCCAATAGGACTTCAGGCTCTGGCTGTATGATGTGCACAAGTTACAGAAGCTCCCTGAGTTTCTGGGGTTGGTGGGAGCATTGCAGGACTGCCAGTGCAGGGAGGTCTCCAGCCTTCAAAAGAGAGTGTGTGCACAACGTCCTCTCAGAGCCAGGCACAGGGTAAGTGCTCAGGACATGGGAGTTGTTGTCATGCTGAACTGACCTCCAACCTATAGCTCAGCCTTTTGGGGTGTGCAGGCCAGGTCTCCACTCTTCATGGGGGATGATTTCCACAGGAGAAAGCAGCTTGCTCTCTCCTGGGCATTGACTCTTCTCCAGGCTGCAGGGCTCCTGCCTTTGGTTGCTCCTGGGACTATTTCTTCTGGATCCATTCTGAAGGGGATCCATCCCCTTCCAGAGTCTACTGCTAGGAAGCAAATTCTGTACTTCACAGTGTTTGGGGTTGGGATCCCAGAGCCTAGCTGGGTTCTCGCCTCCCTTTTCCTGGACATAATACTCCTGTTAATGCAGCCCAGTTCTGGGGCAGCCTGGTGTGGTGATGAATGGCCCAGAGTTTGCAGTCCACCAGGCTTGCACAGGGAGGTGGACAACTCACCCTCTACAGAGGTGTGGATCTAGGGTGACTGCTGGGCACTGGCTTCTGCCAGCTGGCCTCTGGGCTGTGTGGCTACTTTTCCCACCCTTTGGTCCTTCTGAACCCAGGGCCTTTGCTTGGCCCAAGACCTCCACCCTGGTCAGCTGACTCTCCTGCTTGGTTTGGGCAGAGCTTAGTCTGAGCAGGGACTCCTGGCCTGGGTAGGAGAGGACAGGGGACAGATGAGGCCAGGGAGATGCATTTGGCATTGTGGCTGTCCTGGGACTGGGCACAGTGAGCAGAGTGGCTGTTCATCAGCGAAGCTGCAAGCCCAAGGCTCTGGGAGGTAGGGCTGATGTTAACAGAATAGACACTGCAAAGACTCAATGTTGCAGACCTGAGACAGAACCCAGAAGTTGGAAGACAGCCCTGGAAACTTCTGGGCTCTGGAGGTGGCTCTGTGCTCACCTGCAGGAAAACTTCCTCATTAGCCATTAGAATGATGGAGCTGCCTCCTGTGCTTTGGCCAAGGGCAGTTGACTGGAAGGTGTTGCTCTGTGCGGAGCCCTGAAGAGAAATCACCCTGACTTTGCTGTGTTCCAAGAGTGCAGCTGAGAAGATGTGATCTTGGGAGCCAGAGGCCACAATGTCTTTTTTATTCATCTCAATTTATGTTCCTGGCAAGAATAACAAAGGAAATGCTAGAGGTACAAATGAGCAGAAAAAATTATGAGGAAGACCACATCCAGGTGCACGGTGGTGAAATTGCACCAGGACATGCCAAGCCCATCTTTAGTTCAGAATTCCTCCTCATCTGTAGGGGACCATCCATCATCCACATTGCACAGTTCTGAGAATGAGCACCAGTGCCATCAATAATTCCACCAGGGCAACAGGTGTAAAACAGGGATTGTCCTAGCAAGCCGGACCATATGGCTGCCGCCCTTATCTGTGCAATCGGCTGATTTGCAGGGATAATGAGATATTCGATGAGAAAGGTTTTGTGACTTAGAGCAGCACCAGAATCAGTGCCAAGCCATTTTTGTAGCTCACTTATTTGTCCCACAGGCAGTGTCCTCTGGCGATGTGCTTTGCTGTTTGAGCTCTGAAAGGTGGTGCTGGAGAGGCTTATAGAGAGGGGTACCCCATGGCTTGTGAGCCCACCCAGGGCCCAGGCTTGCCCAGAGGCAGCACGGAAAATGGAAAGAACAGGGGCTTTGGGGCTGGACCCGTCCAGGTTCCCTTTAGTTTCCCACCCCACGGCTTCATAGCTGAGCACAGATATTGGTTGTTGGTGCTGTGTTTCTCCAGGACCTGCCTCCTTAGGTCTTGGTAAGGATAATCTGCCCTTCTAAGACACACTCTAAAAGCACTGGTCCCTTCTGCTTTCCAGCCTCCCTGGAAGCTGGGCATGGGAATGTGGATTGACTCAGCCAATCAGATGAGCCTGCCCTGAGTCATTTGTCCAATCAGGTGTCCTTTCCCTGAAAGTCTTGCCCAATCAGATGCACCTGTCCTAAACAGGGACAGTCAGATGCAGCCACTGTAAATTGTGTCCAATCAGATGTCTGCCCTGAACTGTGGATCGGAACCATGGGAAAAGGAGGCTGAGACTGGGAGAGGCCAGTGTGACCTGGTGGCCTGTGTCTGGGGCCGGCAGGGCATATGTCCACGCACACCTCCTGTCACCAGTTCCGCAGCGTTTTCCCTTCCTTCTGGCCATGTTTGTGCTGCCCTTTATTTTTCTAATACATTTCTGTTCTGCTTATGCAAGACAGAACCTGTTTTTCTCTTGCTTACAACTAAAGAACCCTGGCTAATGTGCTGCATGAGCTAGAGCAGTTCTTGCCATTCTCTGAGCCTTACACAGTTATCTTCACAATGGAACAAGGATCCCTACCCTGCAGGGTTTTTTAAAGATGAAGGAGCATGCTTTCTGCATAGCACTGCATCCAGCCACGTAGCCCTGGAGCAGCTGTGGGTGCAGCCTGCACAGAGGGGAAAAGGAGCTGTCGTGGTTTTGATGTTTGTCTCCTCCAAAGCTCATGTTGAACTGCAATCTCCAGTGTTGGAGGTGTGGGCCTGGTGGGAGGTGATTGGATCATGGGGGTGGCTCGTTCGTGAGTGGCTTAGCACTGTCCCCTTGGTGATGATGTGATAAACAAACTCACCCATCCAAACCCAAAGAATGGACTCAGGCACCTGGAGAATGGTGAACATGAGACTTTTAATGATGCCTTTGCAAGATCAGGTGTCGATGGGCAGGCACACCCAGCACGGTTTCAACAAGCAGTTCATCCCCCAGTGCACAGGTCGCTCCCCTGGTTCTTCATAGGCTGAGTACTGTGGGGTCACAATCTTCCCAGATGTTGCCTATTGATTGTTAGGCAGGGACTTCAGGTGTTTTATTTTTGGGAGTTGTCCTGCTGCACTTTGTTGCAGCCCACAATGCACTGCAATCCTAGTCAGCTCGGGGGCTCTTCAAGTATTTGACTTATGACTTAAGTATCTGGGCAGGCTGATAAGAACAGAAAAAGCTAGCTATTTTGCAGGCTAGTACATTTTCATTTTTTTTTTTTTTTTTTGAGACTGAGTCTCGCTCTGTTGCTCAGGCTGGAGTGCAGTGCCACAATCTCAGCTCACTGCAACCTCCACCTTCTGGGTTCAAGTGATTCTTCTGCCTCAGCCTCCCGAGTATCTGGGACCACAGGCACGCGTCACCATGCCTGGCTAATTTTTGTATTTTTAGTAGAGATGGGGTTACACCATATTGGCCAGGCTCGTCTCAAACTCCTGACCTCAAGTAATCCGCCTGCCTCGGCCTCCCAAAGTGCTGGGGTTACAGGCGTGAGCCACTGCCCCCGGCCTGTAAACTTTCATCTTAGACTAAACTTCTTCAGTTCACGTAAGGGCAACCAAGGGGGTTGGAGGGCTGGCAAGCGGGCCTTGGCTATCCAAGCAGGGGCCTAGTATATCCTGTTTCTTCTGTAGTTTGCTGACCTAAGCCAATTTAAGGCACTTTGTCTTGGAAATGGGCCACTGCATACATTATTTCCTTCAATGAGTGAGTTCTTGCTCGGGAAGTTTATGCAAGATCTAATTGTTTAAATGTGTGTGGCCCCTTCCCCCGTCGCTCTCTTGCTCCATCTCTCACGCTGCGACACGCTGGCTCCCTGCCACCTTTCACCATGATCGGAAGCTTCCTGAGGCTTCACCAGAAGCAGATGCTGGCACCATGCTTCCTGTTCGTGAGACACAATGACACCTCTTTTCTGTATAAATTACCCAGCCTCAGGTATTTCTTTATAGCAATGCAAGAACGGCCTGACAGAGGAGACTACCATAGCAAATAGCAGCGTGTGAACTACCCATTAAAGTACTTGCTAAGCTAATCTCCTCCTTTCTGCCAAGGGGTTAAAATGTTCAGAAACAACAATTCAACCTTCAGAAATGATGGCAAGCCAAACTCATTTAATGTGCGGCAGGCAGAGCTTCGCTCCCCGTACAGGGCTGCCAGATAACATGTGGGATAAACAGTGGGTTATTATTTATTTTAGTGTAAGTATGCCTCATGCACTATTTGGACATACTTATATGTAAAAAAAAAATACTGTGTGTCTGGGATTCCAATATAACTATGCACCCTGTTACTTTTATTTGCTAAGTCTTGGCCCCCTCACACCCTGGTTGCCTCCTCCAGGATTTTTTCTCTTGACTCTCATGTCCTACGTTTGCTTTGCTTTGGGGGAGCTCTGCAGACAGCCAAATGCTGTTTTTGCAGCGTGACTCTGAAAGCCTGCATTTGCTCCAGAGCTTATTAAGACAAGCCATTTCCACCACGATGAAGAGCACGCACGCACAGCCGTATCCCAGAATCAACGGTGTCTCAACGACAAAATTGAAAGCATTCTCACGTATTCCACCACTGGGAGTCCAATATGAAGCAGCAACACCCTTCTGGGTCATTATGGCTCATTTTCACTTTCAAAAGCACATGCTTCTGGGTGGTCTGGCCCCCGCGCCTGCCTCCGGCCCTCCTGTTCCTCACACCCACGCATAGTTAAGGTCCATTATGCACCCGACTCTGTCCAGGCAGGGAGCTGCCAGGGACAGTCATTTTCCAAAGAGGAAACACATTTGCTTAGCAAGTCTAGGCCTGCTGGTCTCCCCATCCAGACAGACAGGGAAGCTTCTCGTTACTTCTAATGCATCGCCCTGGGAGGCCGAAGGAGACCATTTCGGGAACTGTGCTTCCCAGCACAGGCTCTACCTCCAAAACACAGCAGGCAGGGGACAGAGCCTGGTGGCTGCCGCATGGTTACCTGTAACCAAGAGGTCACCCAGGGCTGAGGTGTAGGTGAGTCAGCGGCTACCCGTGTGTGGTCTCTCTGGAGCCCGCAGAGCTGGCAACTCAACTAGGAGTTCAAAGCTGTGATTTTACACGTCCGTGGAGCAGATATCAGGAGCTTAAAGAAATCATCTTCATCCCTTACAGTCCCTGGGGATGCATCTCCTGTGCTTCTCTGGTCTTTAAAGAGAAGGGCGATTTGGGTTAATTACCATAGTTACTGTCATTGCCTATTGGGCTCTGTGATGCTGGTTTCTCAGGATTAGTCATAAAATACGTGGATGGCCATTCCAAAGATGAGTTCTTACTGTAGTTGATTTTAAAGGCACTTCAGGGGAAGCCAAGGAACCAAGCTGCCAAAGGGCTACTGATGTTCTTTTTGGACCGAGCGCAACGGTCCTTTCATGTCTGCGTTCCTCCATCCGTCACTGATTCGCTCCAACGACACTGGCGGCACATTCACTGTGCGCTGAGGCTTCTGGGTGGGGTGTGGGGCCTCTGTGGTGAAGGAGGATGAGATAGGGAGGCCCATGTCCTGCAGGTCACAGTCCAGTGAGGAGTGCTCCTGAGACAGAGTTCAGCCTACATGCCGTGGAAATGGGCAGCTCCACGGTGAGCAAGCCTCAGGGGGCTGCACAGCAGGCAGTGGGTGTCAGGGGTGCAGTGGGGGCAGCTCCAACTCCACCTGGCCACAGACTCATACTCCGTCTTTCTCAGCTTCTGCCCTAATCCTGGTCCTCCTCCCTGTGCCCCCCACCCCTGCATGATGACACCTAGCATTGGTGCAGGCTGGGAATGTAGCTCTTTAGCTGAGCTGAATGCCTGCCTCAGCCTCACCGGGCCACTGTCATAGGGAGAAGGAAAGGGTGGTATCGGAAAGGCCACCATCACGGTCTGATGTGCCCTGGGGTTTACACTCTCAGGGGATGGTCTGTCTATGCTTAGGTCAAAATTCCAGCATCTGCCTTGCTTCCTCTTCTCTTGCAACCTTTATTGACCCTAAGCAAGTTCTCTTAAATCTACTTTGAAAGCATAGACTAGTCTGCACACATTTCTCCAGCTTTACTCCGTCACCCTCGCCCTGGTCACTGGTAACTCTCTCCTGGGCTTCTATAGTAACCTCCTAAGGGGTCTCTTTGCATGTCCCTTCTCTGTTGATACTGTCTTCTTAGAATGGCCAGAGTGATGTTTTGTTTTTTGTGGGGTTTTTTTTGAGACAGGGTCTCACTCTGTGGCCCAGGCTGGAGTGCAGTGGCACAATCTCGGTTCACTGCAACCTCTGCCTCCCAGGTTCAAGGGTTTCTCCCACCTCAGCTTCACGAGTAGCTGGGACTACAGGCACAAGCCAATACGCCCAGCTAATTTTTGTATTTTTAGTAGAGACAGGGGTTCACCATGTTAGCCAGGCTGGTCTTGAACTCCTGACCTCAGGTGATCCTCGTGCCTTGGCCTCCCAAAGTGCTGGAATTACAGGCGTGGGCCACTGTGCCCGGCCCAGAGTGATCCTTTAACTGCATAAACCAGATCATGTCCCATCTTTACTGAAAACTCTCCAGTAGCGTAAGATCCAGATCCCTTGCCTGGGCTTACAAACTCTGCAGGCTTCAGTTCGCAGCCTCCCCAGGTGCTCGTGCTGCCTGCTTCCACAGGTTCCACCGATGGTCCTTTCTTCTCTTCCACAGACATTCCACCCCCATCCCTACCTCAGGGCCTGGGCGCCAACTGTTCCTTCCACCTGGGGTGCTCTTCCCTGGCTCCTTCTTGTCATGTGGGTCTCCACTAAAGACCACGACCTCCAAAAGGAGACCTCACTCTCCACCTGCCACTAGCCTGACATTGGTTTATTTTCCTTACCCGTCTGCCTGCTCTCCGCCTTGCCCTGCTGGAGCCTGTTTGTCTCGTGTATGCTCTATCCCTACAGCACTGTCCAGCAAGGAGCAGGTGCACGGTGGGCAGATGTGCTCGGGTGAGCTGAGGTGGGAGCACAGACATGCAGGGATGGGGTGGCTCCTAGGTGGACCCCCATAGGTGGGAGGAGCTGGCCAGGTGACGAGTCAGGGAGGACATCTCGGGAGGAGGCAGCAGCTCTGGACAAATCTCAGGTGAGGGAAATAGCTTGGGACATTCAAAAAATGGAAAGATGACCAACATAGACACGGCATGGGTTGCACGGCTGGCCACTCAAAATGTGGCTGAGAGGTCCATGCCAGGCAGGGCCCTGCAGGCCAGGCTGTGAAATGTTGTCCGAAGGGCAACAGGGCAGCACTGAAGGCTTTGAGGAAGGGGGTGACATGGTCCAGTTTGCATTTCACAAATGTTGCAAGGAGGAAAACGGAAGGGAGTAGAGCTGGGGGTGCCCAGGAGACCAGCGAGGGGCTCGCAGTCGTCCAGGCAAGAAACCAGGGGCTTGGGCAGGAGGTCTGCATTGAAGGGAGTGCCAACAAGTCCCGGGAGAGTCAAGGGTGACTCCTCAGGTCTCGGGGTGCTTGTGAGGCTTCCCAGTGGAGAACGTGAGAAGTGGGTTGGGTAATGTGATTACGTCACATCTCAGAGCCAGAGGAATGCAGAGTCCTCCGACCACAGCCACGTCAGAGCTCAAGTTCAAGCTGCGACTGATCCCCGTGGGCTGAGATGTGTCTCCCCACAATTCCTATGTTGATATCCTAACCCCAGCACCTCAGCATGTGACTGTATTTGGAGACCGGACCTTTGTTTTGATTATTTATTTGTTTTTTGAGACAGAAATCTCTGTGTAACCTGGGCTGGAGTGCAGTGGTGCAATCATGGTTCAATGCAGCCTCGACCTCCTGGGCTCAAGGGATCCTCACACCTCAGCCTCACAGGAAGCTAGGGCTACAAGCGCGCACCACCAGCCCAGCCGACTTTTTTATTTTTTGTAGAAACGAAGTCTTGCCATGTTGCTCAGGCTGATCTCAAATTCCTGGGCTCAAGTGATCCTCCCGCCTTGGCCTCCCAAGTAGCTGAGACCACAGGCATGTACCACCATGCCTGGCTAATTTTTTTAAAAATATGTTTTTAAGAGACAGGTTCTCACTATATTGCCCAGGCTTGTGTCAAACTCCTGGGCTCAAACAATCCTCTTGCCTCAGCCTCCCAAAGTGCTGGGATTACAGGCATGAGCCATCGTGCCTGGTGGAGATAGGGTCTTTATAGAGGTGATTATTTTAAAATGAAGTCACATGGGTGGGCCCTAAACCCATCTGACTGGTGTCCTTATCAAAAGAGGAGATGAGGGCACAGACATGCACAGGGGAACACAGGGAAGGTGGCAGCTATAAGCCACAGTGAAGGGCCTCTGGAGGAACCAACTCTGCTGCCTTGATCTTGGGCTGCAACCCCAGAACTGTAGAGGATAAACACCTGTGGGGCTTTGTGACTGCAGCCCCAGCTGACTCATGCACTGATACTGAAGCAGAAGCAGGCAGGGAGTGGGGAGAGAGAGAGAACCCCAGACCACCTTTCCCAGCCAAGCTTCCAGAAGAGCTGTCCCGCTCCCATTTCGCCTCCTCACTTCCCAGCCCTGCATTCGGGGACCCTCTCTCCAAGAAGGCCTGTCCCCACGCCCTGGTCACGCTCCACTTGCCCCATTCCCGGGGTCCATTGTGGGTTCCGTCCCTTCTTCCACCCGTTCCGATGCTGTTTTTCCCGGGCTCTCCTCACCCAGGGAAGGGCCCTCGCCCCACCCACAGGCTGGGGACTCAGGAAGCCCACCTGCAGCCACATTCTCAACGCCCATGCTCCCATCCACCCTCCCTGCGGCCCCTGACACGGCTGCTCACACCCAGGCCTACCACGTCCTCCTCCCGATGTCCCTGTGCTCTGCAGCAGGCTCAGGCTCAGGGACAGCATTGTCATCACCCTGAGCACCCGTTGTGGAACCCCAAGGCCACTCCATGCTCCTCCCTCCCACCCGGAACCCAGTCAGCTGCCAACTCCTTTGACCCACATGCTCCCTCTGCAGGCTGGGATTAGAATTCGCGTCCTGACCTGGAGGCCAAAGCCCCTGCTGGTCCCCTGCCCTCCTCGGGTTCTGCAGGCCAAGAGCCGGGGTTTTGGCAGAGCCCTGAGTTTGAGCATTGCCACTCAGGGTTGAATGGCCTTTGACAAGTTCCTGAAGTTCCCTACATCTCAGTTTCCCCTTCTGTAAAGTGGGGCTAGAAATACAGCCTCCCTGGTAGGGCTATTGTGTTATACCAGACAGAGAATGCACAACACCGTCCTGGTCATTGCTGAACTAGTGAGAGCTGCTTTCCCTCCTCTTCCTCTTGCCCTCTCCCTCCTCCTCCCTCCGCTCACTCCCACTCCTCTTCCTCCCGCTTCCTCCTGCCCGTCCCTTTCCTCTCCCCTGTTGCAGCCCCTCATCTCCTGGCTCACCCTGTTTAGATCTGCAGATGCCCTAGTTCTGTGCCAGGCTACAGTACAGCAGGTACATTTCCTTCAGGAAGCCGTGCCCTGCTCCTGACCAGGACGAAGGAGCCACTGCCCACCCCTCCGTGAGGCCAAACCTGCTCCTGTTCCCCCATCTGTGTGTCCCCTTCTCAGACTCCTGTACGGGAGTTCAACCATTTCCAGAGACCCCACGGAGGCTGGAGTTTTTGTTCTCAGCCTAAAGGGTCTGTGTTGTTTTCCCAACCAGGAGACTGGGGCCAAAGCGTCCAACAAACAGGAGAGCAGGCCCAGCATCTGCAGCCCCAGCCCCAGCTGATACACAGCTAGACGCCCCCTCCTCACAGCCCCCTGTGGAGTGTGCAGAGACATGGGATTTAGAGAAGGGAATGAGGTGGTCCTGAGCAGTTTACTTTGAGAAATTAACCCCAGAAACTGCTGAAAGTCACTGTAGTGTGAGTGGACAGGTACTTCTGCTTTTCTGGGAGAAGGAAGTTGCTGGGGGGTCCTCCAGACAGCATTCCCGGCCTTGCTCTCCCATGTCTGCACCTGGCATTGGAGAGGAGCAAGTGCTGCTCTTAGATCCTGCATTTATTTTAGGAGGTGGGGAGGGGACCCCTGGCCCTGACTACCCCAGGGTGGCCTGTGAACAGCAGCATTTCATCACGGGGGTGCTGGTCAGAAAGGCCGAACCCCAGGCCTGCCCCACGCATAGGCACCGTGCCTGGTGCATGTGGGCTTCGTAAGTCAACAAGAGAGTGGACTGTGTCATTGGTTCAGTGACCAGCCGTATTCAGAAGGACTGGAACACGGGGTGTACACGGCAGAGCCGTGGGAGGAAAAGCGAGTGGGGTAAGCGTCTGTGAGTGGATAAAACCCAGCTCCTGCCCTTGGAGAGCTCATAGGTGAATTGGTTCATAACCTCAACTTGCAGGATTTCCCGGGACTAGCCTGTGCCCCAGTGAGTTTGCTACTCAGGGTATGATCTGAGGTCAGCAGCAGCCCCTGAGAGTTTATCAGGAAAGAAAAGTCCTGGGCCCAACCCCAGACTGGCAAATTGGGTGTTGAGGCCAGGAATCTAGGTTTTAACAAGCATTCCTGGTGATTTTTTCTTTTTTTTTTTTTTTTTGAGACGGAGTTTTGCTCTTGTTGCCCAGGCTGGAGTGCAGTGGCGTGATCTTGGCTCGCTGCAACCTCTGCCTTCTGGGTTCAAGTGATTCTCCTGCCTCAGCCTCACAAGTAGGTGGGATTACAGGTGCCCATGACCACGCCTGGCTAATTTTTTTATTTTTAGTAGAGTCAGGGTTTCTCCATGTTGGCCGGGCTGGTCTGGAACTCCTGACCGCTGGTGATCCACCCACCTTGGCCTCCCAAAGTGCTGGGATTACAGGCGTGAGCCACCCCGCCTGGCCTAGCCTGTCCTTTTTAAGCCACTTTCCCAGAGACTTCATCCTGCAGCCGCCAGTCACATCGCGTGGTTCTTAGATGTGTCGCATGACGAGACCTAGCAGGGGCGCAGGCTGGGAATGCAGCTCTTTAGCCGGGCTGCACGCCTGCCTCAGCCTCACCAGGCCACTGTCATAGGAAGAAGGAAAGGGTGGTATTGGGAAGGCCACCATTGCGGTCTGCTGTGCCCTGGGGGTAACTCTTAATGCTGCCTACCAGATTGTCTGGTTTTCCTCTGTGCATGAACATGGCAGGATTGCCTGTTCTGTCTCCTTTGCAGGGAGTAGTGAATATGGTACAAGCTACTCCCCATGGACTGTGGGGAGAAGTAGGCAAAGCATTTAAAATGCTGGCATGCGACTCCAAGAGCACTCTTCCTTTGCCTGGCAGCTGAGGGGCTTGAGCACACAGCTGTTCCCTCCCTACACCCTGGCCCTGAGGGACATCTCTGCACAGAGCCTCCTTGCTCACTGTCCCTGCTGCCTGAGGACCTGCAATGGATATGTGGTCTCAACAAGAGATGATCTGCTGTTCTTTTAAATGACTGGGATATGGGGGATGTTTGATACTTCAGCATAACCTTGATCATCCTGACTGATACAACAAATATTGTAGTCCTATAAAATAATTTTTAAACAAATTATTTCTTCGTAATCTGCTCATGAAACTCTTGTCCCTTCTTCAAGATGCAGTCCCTCCTCTGGGAAGCCTATCCTGACTTGAGTCTCAAGTTGAATTGACCTTGCGTTTCCACTCTTCTTTACATGGTGCCTCTATAGAGTAGTGGCTTCCTAGATTGTCAGTTGTCTATGTACCAAACTCCCCTCCCCAAACTGAGTTTCTTAAGGTCAAGGTGGCATTTATCTCCATATCCTAGCTCCAGAACAGTGCCCAGCATGTATGAGGCCTTCAAGTTGGTCTTGCTGGATTGAACTGAAGTAGAGACACAGATAGACAGGTGCATCAAACTGCAGAATTTTCTTGTCCATATGCTTTTGCTCATTCTTCCTTCTGTGCTTGCAGTGTTCTATTTTGCTTCTTGAATCCCCATCTTTCTATTTATATCATAAATTATATTTATATTCACCTGTAAGGGTGCTGTCTCTTGAAGGGAAAGTGATTGATCATTCAATAAATGTTTTTTGAGAAACTACTATGTGCCAGGTACCTTTCTAGATTCTGGATATACAGTGATGGATGAAATAGACAAAGGTATGTTCATTCCAGTAGATAAGATAGAAATAAAAATACATTAGGATATAATAAATACATAACGTCAGCTGATGACAAATGCTGTGCAGAAAAGTAAATCAGTGGAAGGGGTTAGAGAGTGATGGGAGATGCTGCTTTTAAAGGGAGGTATAGAAAAGCCTCTTTGAGTAGGTAACATTTGAGCTGACCCATGAAGAAAATGAGGAAATTCACAATGCACATACCTGCAGGAAGAGCATGTCTAGTAGAGGGAACAGAAAATGTAAAGCCCATGGTGGGAAGCACAGGCAGGCCAGTGTGACTGAGTGCAGTGAGTGAAGGGAAGAACAGAGATGAGACTGGAGAGGCAGTTGGGGATGGATCTTTTAGGGTCCTAAAAGCAGGGCTGAGCGGCTTGAATTTTACTGTAAGCTCAATGGGAAGCCAGGATTGTTTTAAGTAGGACAGAGACAAAATCCAGCTTGTGCTTTAAAAAGATCATGCTGGCCAATAGTTGAAGAATAGATTGGGTTAGGGGGAGTCTCATTAGGAAGGCATTGAGTGTCCCAGGTAAAGGTTGATGGTATTCCAGGTGAAAGTCAATAGTGGCTTGGGCAGAGGGTGTCAGGGAAGGTGCCACAGGGGAAGAACAGTTCTGAAGGCATGGGAAGTGTGAATCCCACACTGTATTTTGGACACGTCTGATTCAAGATGCCTGTTAGACACTGAATGGTCTTTCCAGGAGACCAGATTCACTAGTCTGGAATCATGGCAGTGGATGGGGCTTGGCATGTAAGTTTGAGAGTTCTTAACATTTAGGTGATTTTTAATTCAGTAGGCTGGACTGGATCACCTGGAAAAGCTGGTAGATAGATCAGCACAGAGATCTGAGGACAAGACTGAAGGTTTCATCTAAGTTGTGAAGGAGAGAGAGTTAGCAAAGAAGGAGAAAGAATGGCTTGGAAGGTAGGCACAAGGAGAAGCGCAAAAGAAGAGTGTGTCCAAAAGGCAAAATGAAGACTCTCATTGAAACATGAAATGAGCACCTAAGATGCTATTTAACTCAGGAATAAATGAAGGAACTAATCAGATGTTACAACCAGTTCAAAGGAGGAGTCAAAGCCCCAGCCATTCTAGAGGCACTAAAGAAACCTGAATCAAATTTACAAACATTCATGGCAGGTCTACCAGAGGCCAATAACCAATTGCATTCCAGCAGACACAACTAATTTGCCTTTCTAGAAACAAAAGTTATTTGCATTGTTCTCAGTTTTCTACAACTTTTCTCAATTCATAAAGTAGCCCAATGAAAGGTAGAAAGAATCCAGAGGGTGTACTAGACAGGATGCTCAGTAAAGTTTGCTTGGTTTTTTTCTTCCCACTTTAAATTCTTCTCCCAATTTTTCCTGACACAGGGACTACAGTGTCTTAGAACTCACAGGAATGAAGTCTTTCCCGAAGGAGAAAAGATCAGCTGTGTCAAAAGCTATGGTGAAAGGAAGATGAGAATGTGCTAATGGATTTGCCAGCATGGTGGTCATTGGTGACATTGACAAAGATAGTTTTGGTGGATTGGGGGAAGAACCTCAGCTTGGATGGGGTTCAGGAGAGATTGCAGGGTGAAATAGTAGAGACAGAATGGACACTTTGGGGAGTTTAACCACAAAATCCTCTGAGAGAGGCTCAGAAGGAACAACTCTCAGGGCCCCACAGTGATAAGGTAAGTTCTTAACACATCCCTTGAGGCCACCTCCAGAGACTCGTTCCTTCCCTTGAAAATGCCAATCTAAGCCATCGTAAGCCACCTGTCCCATGGGAGAGCATTAAAGCAAAAACCCTAATTATCAAAGGAGAAAGAATTTTAGTCGGTGCAAACAGGATAAATACCATTACTTTTCCCAAGTGTGCATTTTCTGAACCCGGAATATTGGGGCCCACCAAAAGGCTGCAACAATTTTCTAGGTTCCAGGTCAGGGTTTTTCTCTTCTGTCAACTCCTTGCTGCCTCCATCTTCCAGTGCCCAAGTGCCCTTCTTTCCCTACTCTCCCTCCTTCCCCTAAAGCTGCTCAGCACTGGCTCAGAACCAGTGGCTGAGGGCTGACAGCTATTATGAAGCGCAGCAGGAATTTAACCTGCATTCGGGGCTCCAGAGCCCTTGCTCTTTTAGCTGCATTGGTGCTGCTATGCTAGCGTCTTCTGCCGAGAGAAAATGTGTTGCAAACACCTATGTGCTTCCCCAGGTGAAGCGCTGTGCTCTGCAAATGTGTGATTTTGTGCACTTGCCTCAGATAATTATCTGATCATACCGAGGATTACCTTTGGGAAAAACAAATAGGCCAAGGGAAACTGAGAGAGGAAGAGAAAATGAGGGAGGAGCGTGGAAGGCTGGGGCTGGGGCGGTGCGGGAGGGGCTCGGCCTCAAGCCGCCCCATCCCCAGCACTCATGCTTTGCAGGTTCCCTCTCACTGAAGCCGTCTCACAGCAGACACTGTGGGAGTTGGGCTTCTTCCCACTTCACAGAAGCAACTGAGGTTCTGGAAGTTTGGTAAGGTCCTGGGCTGGGAATGACACCCATGTCCAGGTGACTACACGGTCCTATCCTCGGCCTCCCAAGCAGCTGTGAACCTGGAGGAGCTGCCTTTGAACTTGGAGCAGCACTGGATTTTCAGGAAAAGCAAAACTAGAGGCAAGCGGGAAAGAAGAGAGTGTGTTTTTGTTTTTTTGTTTTTTAGAGGAACCAACAGCATCGGCCAGGGGCTGTGCCCCCCCAGGAAAAACCCTGCTGTGGGGATGGCAGGCCATTGGCCATGGTTAAGTAGGGGCCTTGCTGGGGGAGCAGGTACAGCCTGAGGATCCCCTTTGTTCAGCCGCACATCCATCCGAGGCTCAGGCTGTTGTTCCCCGTTCACTCCCACAGTGAGTCAGGACTGGGTGGAAACAGGGCCAGTCACTCAGAAGGGTCTCGACCAGCTTCCTGGGTCGGGGATGACAGGGCCAGCCCGAGAGAGGCCGAGGGGAACAGGGAGCTCAGGTGGTTGGGCAGGAGCCAACGCTGAGAGTACAAGAGAGGTGGCTGCACAAAGGGAGTGAATCTCCATGACGTCTCTCTCCTGCACAGGGACCCAGAGTTACCCTGTGTGACATGCACGTGTGCAGCTGCAAGTTACGCAGCTCCTAGAAGCTGGTGAAGCGGGCTGATGTTGGTCAGAACCCACACAAGAGAAGAGCCAGCCTCCTGTGAGGCTTGTTCCCTCCTGATGTGGAGCCTTGGGATGTGGCTGGAGTGCCTTTATGTCCACCTCTAACCACCAAATACACCCCGTTTGCCACCAGGGGTTAGCTGGCCACTGTCACAGCAGGCGTGGCAGCAAAGGCGTACAAGGACCAAGTGGCTGGACCACAGCTAAGAAGGAGACAGAAGCATGAACCCAAATCTCCAGGCACTCCTGGGTTTCACGATTCTCTGGTGTTCTTTGAAAGCATAAAGAAAAAAAATGAGGATTTTAAAATGGCATGTTCTTGTAATGATGATGAGATCTGGGGTTTTCCAGAGATGCACCTGTAAGCATTGTAACCCCTGTCACACTTTTTTTTTTTTTTTTTGAGATGGAGTCTCACTCTGTCACCCAGGCTGGAGTGCAATGGCACCATCTCGGTTCACTGCAAACTCTGCCTCCTGGGTTCAAGTGATTCTCCTGCCTTAGCCTCCCGAGTAGCTGGGATTATAGGCGTGTGCCACCATAGCCAGCTAATTTTTATATTTTTATGTTTTTAGTAGAGCTGGGGTTTCATCATGTTGGCCAGGCTGATCTTGAACTCCTGACCTCAGGTGATCTGCCCACCTTGGCCTCCCAAAGTGCTGGGATTACAGGTGTGAGCCACCACGCCGGGCTCCCCATCACACTTTCTTAGACATCATCACTGTCTGTCCTTGTAGGAGGCAAGGGCTTGTTCTTTTTCTTCTTCCTTATCCTCCTTTTGTAAATCAAAGTAGGGCGTATGTGTGTGTGTCTCTGTGTGTGTGTGTGAGTGCATGCCACATAGTGCCAAAGGGATTGTAAGGATAAACAGCAGCCCCCACATGCACCCCACCCAGCTTCTTTAATTCTTTTAAGTATTTAAGTATTTCTTTTATCTGTATTATTAAACAATATGTTGCTTTTGTTGCAATCTCTTGATTCATCAGTTTTAAGCATCTCTACAGAATGGTGAATATTTACCTCTCTTTAAATCAGGATCTTAGCCAAAAGCAGTGGCTCGTGCCTATAATCTCAGGACTTTGGGAGGCTGAGGCAGAAGGATTGCTTGAGCCCAGGAGTTCAAGACCAGCCTGGGCAATACAGGAAAACCCCATCTCTACCAAAAAAAAAAAAAAAAAAAAAAAGGGCCAGGCACGGTAACTCACTGTGAGTGCAGTGGTGCAACTATAGGTCACTGCCTCCTTGACCTTGTGGGTGTAAGTGATCATTCCGTCTCAGCCTCCCAAGTAGCTGGTACTACAGGCACACGCCACTATGCCTGGCTAATTTTTTGGTTTCACCATGTTGCCCAGGCTGGTCTCAAACTCCTGGCCTCAAGCGATTCCCCCACCTTGGCCTACTAAAGTGCTGGGATTACAGGCATGAGCCACCATGCCTGGCCCAGGATCTTTCTTCTGAGCTGCTGCCTTCTTGGTTGTTTTTCCCACCTCTGCATAAGGCTTGATATAGTTTTACAACCATTTTCCCTCCTGGAATGTGAACTGCCAAGGGCCTAGGCAGCATGCATCATGATTCTTTGCCCAGAGCCCGTATCTGATAACCACTTTCATGAATAAAGATTGACATCCTTCCAGCATGCCATGTGTGTGATCTTCAAAACCAACCGCACCCTTAGTGCTCTTAGATATCAAGAAAAGGAAAAAGACCTCCCTCACATGTGTAGATTTTGGCAAACATCTTTCACTTGGCCATTATTCACTCTGTATCCGTTTAGACTTGGTCAAAACCAAGTCTCCCAGGAAGAGTCTGCAATGAAGGAAAACAATCACAAAAACATCTTGAGTTATAGAACTAGTAAACTGTCTGGTTTTGTTGTTGTTGTTTTGGATATTTACTGCTTCTCATAAGCAAGATAATCTGCCAGGGTTTGGGGTGTTATTGATCAAGTATTGGTAGAAACATAGCTAGCTTCCATCATTCCTACCAGAATTTTCCCAAACTGCCTCTTTTTTTCCTGCTGGCAATTATATGGGCTGCCCCGTCAGATGAGGGCACAGGACTCCCTCTCCCTCAGACTAATAAAGGCCCGCCTTGCAAGGCAGGTAAACAGGGCTGTCCTTTACAACTTTGCCAGTCTATTCTGCCCCAAGGCTGCTGGTAGCTTCTGTTGTGTTGTTAAAGACAATTTAGCCAAGTTTATTTTTTTCTCAAAGATTTTGACTTTAAAAAAAAAAGATTCCATTGTGTAAATGTCTTAGTGCCTCACCCGCTCTCTAGATGAGGTTTTGGGCTGTGGAATTGGGGCCTCTCCATTTCTGACGTCCCCATTTCCCAAAATAGGCCATGTGTGAGCCAACTCGCTGGCCCAGATCACCCGCCGGGGCCCTTGGGTATGTGACTGCGCCTGCCACAACTCTCAACTTGACCAATACTTTGTTCAAATCCGTGCAAGGGGCCCAGGATGCCTTCAGCGTTCACCAGGTTTCATAGGGCCAGACTCAAGTTTAAAGGCCTCCTTCCAGAATCTTCAAAGGAGACTAGTTGGCTTCTAAGTCATTGAATAAAATAAAAATGCAGAATTTTCTTATAAATTTATAAGTATGCTCAGAAAAATGTAAAGTGTCTTCTTTCCTAGTGTTGAACGGATCATGAGAAATGTCTACCTCCCTCCCAGAACACTTTATTTCCTTCACTTGAGCCTCCCAGCCACCTCTCCTAAGATGGCACGGCTGCCTTGGACCAGAGAGTGGCCCGTTGCCACAGACAAGAAGTGGTGCTGGGATGGCCCCCTAAGAAATGTGACAAGTGGTTCCAAGTCTTGGCTACAGGCTCAGATTGAAGGATACCTAAATCCCCTTCCAGCCTTCAAGGCCCTTGCCATGCTGAGAACTCAAAGGATCAAAGGTGAAGGTTTACGCAACCTCAGTTACAGCCCAATCCATGCCTGGATGTCCTGACGTCGGCAGCTGGACAGGAACTTCCCATTTTCTTCCTCCTTGGCCCCTGCACTCCAACCTCAAGTGAACAGGGGCCAAGGGAGCAACAACTCTATTCAATGACTTTAGGATGTACCGAGCATTTACCCACAAAACAGGAATGAGATGGACAGGAGGCCCTGGACCAACCCAGGGAGGGAAGTGGGGGTCACCACTGGGGAGGTTTCAAAGCAATCCCTGCCTCTAGGAGGTTTCAGTGTCATGGAGAAACATAATTTTTTTCTGAATCTTGGGCAAAGAGTAGCAAGTATTTTTAGAAAACCAACCAAAAGCCAAAGGGAATATTTTCCAGCCCCAACCTCCTTCATTTTCCTCCCATCCTAGCCAGTTCTTCTTTCCTTCACAGAATAGAGCACATTCGTAGTTATTTTACCTATTTGGCGATTATTGTTTTCTGCACCACACACTTGGAAACTCATGTGTGCAGGAGCTGGGATGGTTTTGTCCCCCAGTGCCTGAGGGAAGTTCTCAACGTGGACTTGCTGAATTGAAGGGCAGGTGGATGATTGGATAAATCCTATTTATTAAATCAAAAGGCAGCATTAAGCATATAAAAGTAGGTTGGGTGTGGTGGCTCACATTTGTAATCCTAGTACTTTGGGAAGCCAAGGTGGGAGGATCACTTGAGCTCAGGAGTTCAAGACCAGCCTGTGAAACATAGCGAGACCCTGTCAAAAGAAGAAATGAAAGAAAGAAAGAAGGAAAGAAAGAAAGAAAGAAAAGAAAAGAAAGAAAGAATGAAAGAAAGAAAGAAAGAAAGAAAGAAAGAAAGAAAGAAAGAAAGAGAAAGAGAGGAAGGAAGGAAGGGGAAGATGGAGGGAGGGAGGGAAAGAGGAAAGAGGAAAAAGAAAAGGAAAAAAGGAAGAAAAGAAAGAAAGAGAGAGATGGAGTGAGGGAGGGAGGGAAAGAGGAAAGAGAAAAAGAAAGGAAGGAAGGAAGGAGGGAAGGAAGGAAAGAAAGAAAGAGAGAGAAAGGAAAGCCACAGACTGGGAGAAAATATTCACAGAATATTTATCTGACCATGGACTCATGTACAGCCTATATAAAGTACTCCTTCAGCTCACTATAAGAATGGGCAAACTATATGAACAGACACTTCACAAAAGAAGGGAAAAATCCCTTCACAAATGGCATCTGTCACTCAACAGGGACTTGTTTCATTTGCTGATGGAGCATCCTCTGGCTTCTGGCATTGGCCCCTGGTCTCTTGGCCAATAGCCCCATGCTCCTCCTCTGTCCATCAGGTTGCGTGGAACTCACTCTCCCTCTGTGCCCTGAAGGAGGCCATCAGGACATTACATTCCTGTAATACAAAGTCACCTCCAAGATGGGCACATGACCCAATCAGAGACAGGGAATTCAGGGACTTTCTTTAGAGCCATGGGGAAGAGAGACTTTTATCCCACCAGACCTGAGGTGGGAGGCCAGAGTCCCAGAGCTACAGGTGGCCAGCTTGCTGGGCCACAGAGAGAGCTGGCCTGAGAGTGGATCTGACCAAGAAAGAAGCAGAGCCAAGGGGGAGGAAACCAAGCCCAAAAGACATCACTGAGTCCCTGGATCCAGCCTAGCCTGAAATCCATGTGGTAGTGTGCAAAGGGGCCATACTCCTTCTGTCTCTGAATGCATGCTGCTCTTCATTGTAGCTTTAGAGTCCTCAGTCTCCACACCTTTGAATTTGAACTTGGCCACGTGACTTGCTTTGGATAATGCAAGTAGCAAACGTGACACAAGCAGAGGCTGGAAAAGTGCTTCTGCACAGGGCCTGCTCTCTCCTGTTGCTCTAGGGCCAGACTGCTGGTGGGTGAGAATTTCCACAAATAGCCCAGTCACCCCATCACCCTGCTGACTTTTGTACCAAATGACAGCCAGAGCCAACTGGCCGTGATGTGACTCAGGATGTCCTAGAACACTGGTCCCCATTTGCTTGGCCAGGTGACAGCCAAACTGCCCAGTTCACTCACGGCCTTGTGAGCAATCATCCAGTGGAGGTTGTTTCAATGCACTGTTTTGGGATGGTTTGCTACATAGCAAAGCTAGGGGGCACATAGATCAACCACTGAAGTTTTCAGTTATACAAGACAAAGAAATTGCTCTGGCTGGGTTGTCAAAGCTCTCTCTATTCTTCCATGTCATCCTGATCACCATTTATGGGTCTCATATAAGCATTTATCTAAAACATTTTTTAATCTACATACATATTTGAATCTCTTTCTACATATACACACACTATATAGATTCTATACACACATACATAATACATATGTACACACACTATCTATATACACACACACAGTTGACAAGCGTCATATAGATATACAGTTGACCCTTGAACAACAAGGGTTTCAATTGCAGAAGTCCACTTATACTAGGATTTTTCTTCCACCTCTGCCTCTCCTGAAACAGCAAGACCAACCCCTCCTCCTCCTTCTCCCCAGCCCACTTGTATTAGTCATGGTTCCCTAGAGGGACAGAACTAATAGGATACACACACACACACACACACACACACACATATATATATAAAGGAGTTTATTAAGTATTAACTTGCATGATCACAAGTCCCACAATAGGCTGTCTGCCAGCTTGAGGAGCAAGGAGAGCCAGTCCAAGCCTCAAAACTGAAGATCTTGGAGTCGGATGTTTGAGGGCAGGAAGCATCCAGCTAGGGAGAGTCCAGCTAGGAAGCATCCAGCTAGGCCAGTCTTGCCTTTTCACGTTTTTCTGCCTGCTTTATATTCACTGGCAGCTGATCAGATTGTGCCCACCAGATTAAGGGTGGGTCCACCCTGCCCAGCCCACTGACTCAAATATTAATATCCTTTGGCCATACCCTCACAGACATACCCAGGATCAATACTTTGCATCCTTCAATCCAATCAAGTTGACACTCAGTATTAACCATCACACCACTCAGCATGAAGATGACAAGGATGAAGAACTTTATGAGGATCCACTTCCACCTAATGACTGTCTTCCCTCTTCCTTATGATTTTTTTAGTAACATGTTCTTTTCTCTAGCTTATTTATGGGAAGAATACGGTATAGAACACATATAACATATAAAGTATGTGTTAGTCAACGGTTGATGTTATATGTAAGGCTTCTGGTCAACAGTGGGCTATTAGTGAAGTTTTGGGGGAGAAATTTTGGAGAAGTTATATGCAGATTTTCAACTGTGCGGGGGAGGGGGTGTGGGTTCCCCTAACCCCTTTGTCGTCAAAGATCTACTGTATGTTTAGACTAACCCAAATCTTATTCAACACTTGGGTGCTTGTGCACAGCAAACAAAAGAGAATATTTTAATTTTGTCTCTAAGGCCACCTCTAGTGATGCCTGGAGGTTTCGTCTGCCATCCATCCACATTCTCTGGTCTTGGGCTGACTCTCACTCAGCCACCTTCTTCCCGACACCTTCCAGAAGCCTCTTCCCATTGGCTGGTGACATGTGCAGACTCAGAGGTGACATGTGCGTGCTCTTGGCCAGGGCCTCTGACAGTGACCCATTTCCTCTCCAAATCTGGGATGAGCTGTGTTTATCAATTAATCATGGTGACCTTGCTTAGCGACTCCCCTTCCTCTACCTTCAAATAGAGGGAGGCAACCTGCAAAGCTGGGTGCCATCCAGGCTCATGATGCACAGGCCTCACCCAGTGGGGTAGGGGTGGGCATGGGGTCCATCCTCCAGGCTGAGGCCAGGCAGCTGGAACTGGGTCTTGAGAGCTGAGGCTGGCCGCTTCTGCTTCCCTCACAAAGGCAGCATTCTGTGCCTGGGTAGGAAGGACAGGGCTTCTGTCTACTGCACCCTCTGGTCTCTGGGAATCGAAATGGAGGATGCCCCCAGGAGAGCCTGAATAACTATGGAGGGCTGCCCTTTCTGGAGCTGGAAGAGGCAGGGAGGCAGGCACAGCAATTGTCCTGGGGCTCAAGGCTGGGGCTGGCCCCATCAAGAGATGCCAACGTTGGGGAGGCATGGCCGGGTCATGGAGCTGAGGCTGTACTTGGTGGGATGCTAACTTGAGGGCCACCAGGATCAGCACAACTGCCCTCAGGCCACCATGGTGTATTCTTCCCCTGTCGCACCTGCCTCTCCATCTCAGAATAGTCTTAGCTGGTCTGGCTCCTAGTGGGCATGCACAGCAGCAGCCCAGAAGCCAGGGCTGTCCCAAGGCCGTTGTGGCCAGCCAGCCTGGGCAGTGGTGACGCTAGGCCCTCAGGGAGAAGGAAATGAGTGGCAGGTGGGGAGTTTTCTGCGTGAGGCTCCAGGCAAGGGCTGACATAAGGCAGTCACTGGTGAAGGGAAAGGCTTCCCTCGAGTGCTGGAAAAGTCAGAGGACAGGAGGAGGTTGCCCTGGTGTGGATGGGAACCAAGCTCCCTGTGAGGGAGGGACATGAACATGTGGTCTTGGTGATCCTCCTTCCCTGCTCAACCCCGCAAGTCTCGGTGAGTGGCTCCCTGCCTTCGTGCCCTCCCTGGGGGCCTCTCCACTGGCTCTTCCCCCCGCCACAGGCCCAGCATCATCTGCTCTCTGCTTCTGAGTCCCACCCACGTGGAAGCGCTCCCACTCCAGGCATGGCTACCCAACCCTGGCCCATGCAGAGGTCTGGACTCCCGCATCTGGGAAGGGGAGTTCAAACCTGAGAGATGGACTCGTCCTTCCTGAACAAGGAGTCCTGGGCTGGAAGAGAACAGAGCCAGGACCATCACCCACTGCCCCAAGATGCTGGAAGGAAATGCTCCATGGTCACACCCAGGACAGCGGGCCACTCTCTGCAGCCTGTGCTGGTTCTCCAGGGAGAGGCAGTGGATCCCAAAGGTGGGATGGGACTTCAGGGCCCTCCAGGCTTTGCTGGAAGGTGATGGTGGGAATCCTGCAGTGGACTGCAGGATGCTGCAGGGACCTGGGGCTTTTGGGACCAGGAGAAAGACAGGGGCAGAGATGAAGAAAGACCCAGGTTCTGGAGACCAGCAGACCCTGAGGTTAAATTCCAGCTCTGATGTATACACTCTGCATCAAAGAACTCCCGCCAGAGGCCTGCCTTCCCATCTGCATTATGGGAGAGTATCAATAACTACCCATGGGGATACTGTGCAGATGAAATTAAATAATGCACAGCAGGCACTCTGTTCAGCACCTCACCAGTTTGGCACCATCAATAAGTGGGAGAGGATACTACTGATGCTGCTGATATTGTCATCGCCTTCATTATCACCATCATCATCATCATCACGGTCCTTATAACTTGTCTGGGGAGGTGGAACAATCACCAATATGGGACCAGAGTAATAACAAATATCCCTTAACTCAGCAAAAGCTGTACAATTACAGAGCATTTGGCTCCCTCTGCTCCTGACAGTATACTGACGCAGCACAGCAGTGATGTCCAGCACTGGGATGGGAAGGAGGGCCGAGGCTCAGAGAGGTTGACATCGGCCCCAGGCCACCCAGTTTGTCAGCAGCAGAGCTGGGAGGAGCGCAGCTGGCAGCTGCCATCCTTGTGTCCTCTGTCTCCAATCCCGCCCTAGTCAGCCTGGACTCTGGGCAGGGCAGCAGCTGCAGGGGACCTCCTGGCAGTGGGACTTGCCTGCTTAGCTGCTGGTATTGTGAGCTCCCATCATGGGCATGAAGGAGTGGATCATTTGTGAGCACAGTTTCCCTGCTGTTAGTGCCCACCAAGGGGACCTCGTCGTCATCCACGAAGAGAA